>NC_000008.11:24405557-24708587 GCF_000001405.40 Homo sapiens | reverse complement strand
TGGAATGGTAATCCCCACGTGTCGAGGGAGGGACCTGGTGGAGGTGATTGGATTATGGAGGCGGTTTCCCCCATGTTGTTCTCATGATAATGAGTTCTCACAAGAGGTGATAGTTTTAAAGTGTGGCACTTCCTCACTCGCTCTCTTTCCTGCCACCTTGTGAAGAAGGTTTCTGCTTCCCCTTCACCTTCTGCCATGATTGTAATTTTTCTGAGGCCTCCCCAGCCATGTGGAACTATGAGTCAATTAAACCTCTCTCTTTCTTTTTTTTTTTGAAGTGGAGTTTTGCTCTTGTTGCCCAGGCTGGAGTGCAATGGCACGATCTCAGCTCACTGCAACCTCTCCTCCCAGGTTCAAGCGATTCTCCTGCCTCAGCCTCATGAGTAGCTGGGATTACAGGCATATGCCACCATGCCTAGCTAGTTTTTTGTATTTTTAGTAGAGACAGGGTTTCACCATGTTGGTCAGGCTGGTCTTGAACTCTGGACCTCAGGTGATCCGCCCGCCTCCCAAAGTGCTGGAATTACAGGCTTGAGCCACCGCACTTGGCCAGTGAAACCTCTTTTCTTTATAAATTACCCAGTCTCAGGTAGTATCTTTATAGCAGTGTAAAAGTGAACTAATATAAATAGCATGATGGAAAATGTCCCAACAATAACCCTAAATGAATAAAAAGTTATTTTCTTAGAGCTATTTCTGATTTGAGTCTAAGACATATGCCAGTACGTCCAAATTAGTTGCAAATGTTATGGTAAACATGATTCTTTCCTGGGCAATAAGCTAAGTTAGTGTGATCTAGGTATGTCATATTTCTATAACCTGACTTGTAACTATTATCTACTTAAAATGCTTAGAGATGTATATAGATAACATGTCATTGAGGCTGTCTTTGTTGGAGATTGTTTGTCCAAGTTGGGCTTTTGAAAAAGTGAACAGTGAGTAAAATGTTCAGAGTCACCAGTCTCTGAAAAAGTCCTGCAAAGGAGGTATTCCATGGCACTGAACAAGGGCATTTGATAAATATTTGATGAAGAGATGGTATGCTGTTCTATTATGATGGTTCAAGTAGAAATTATTAAACTTGGAAACAGAACATCATCAATGAATTGGCCCCTAAATTTTAAAAGCTAATAACAATATTTTTAAAAAAACACAGAGAGAGAGAAAGAGAAAGAAAAAGGGATCCCATGTTTCTAGACACCACTCTTCTCTCTCTGCTCCTCCCTCTACTCACAAATGGCAGTTCATCCCATCTTTCCATGGATGGGCAGGTGGGGGGCGGTATTCAAATATACCTGAGAGGGAAGTAGGATAACAAAGTACAATAATAAGTACAATGATTTGTCCAAGATCAGAGATAAATAATGAAAAAGTCATGGTCCCAAGTTCTCTGACTCTGGTCTAAACTCACTGCTCTTTCAACACCACCAAAGTATTTATCTAACTTAGCAGCTACGCAAACACTTGATTCAAGTATTTAGACTTGAATCATATAACTGATGTGAACTGGATTCAAAACAGACCTGTTTCCTCTGTTTAATCTGTTGGATATCTAAGGTCATGTGAATAGTAGAATTCTGAGATAACATCTCTCTCCATAAATAAGCAATTATCAAAAGGACAGGCATAATGTCCAATCCATCTAGGGAGCATTTCTACAGACATGGCTCAGCCCTTATTTGGATCACAGATTGAATGCCATTGTTCTTACTAGGGAGGAGCAGAGGGAGAAGAGTGGTGCCTAGGGAACACAGGATCCTTTTTTCTCTCTCTTTCTGTCTCTATGTTTTTTAAAAATATTGTTATTAGCTTTTAAAATTTAGGGGATAATTTATCAATGATGTTCTGTTTCCAAATTTAATAATTTCTACTTTTCTCTTTAATATTGTTTACCTCCTACTTGTATTAGACTTTGTTCATTGTTCTTATAGATTCTTGAGTTGAAAACTTAGTTCATTTATTTTTGATCTTTCTCTTACAATTATGAGACAAGTCAAAATAATTTTACTATATGTGTAGTTTTGGCCATATCTCCATGGGTTGTTCTGAGTAAGATGTTCTGTATCATTTTCTATATTTTCTGTAAAAGCTGATTTAATTTCCACTTTTATCTGGAAGTTGTTTATAATAGTGAATTGAAATTTCTAGGTGGATTTAAACATTATAAAACTTGTATTACTAATCCAGATTTAATGAATTTATTATATATTCAGGGATTCATAACCTAAATGATTTCTGTCTCGAAAAATGTATTGGCAAACTCTTGAATACTTTTCTAAAACTATATGTGATATGCGATAAACTTGTGTAATGACTGTGTGAATTTTTAAGGCAAACTTTTTTTGAAGTTAATATACATATGTTAAATATAGAGATATAAGAATATAGCTTGATTAATTTCCACCCTGAGAAATAAATAGACCATCCCTAATATTCAATAAATCTTCCTTGTATCTCTTCCCAGTCAAAACTCCTTTCTATAAGGGTAACTACTATTCCATTTTCTATTGCTATTGACAAGTTTTCCTGATTTTAAGCTTTATTTGGATAAAATCTTAGAATATATTCATTTTGGTAATGGGCTTCTTTGTTCAAAATTACATTTGTGAGAATTATCCTGTTTGTTCTATATAGCAGTTCATTCATTCACTTCCTATTAAGTGAATATTTCATAACTTATTTATTCATTTAACTCTTGATAAATTTGGGGGTTATTTCCAGTTTGGGGTTTTTACAAATGGTATTGTTATTAACATTCTCATATTTCTCTTCTGATGTAATTTCTCTCTTTTTTCCTTTCTTTCTTTTTTTGTTTTGTTTTGTTTTTAGATGTAGTCTCGCTCTGCCACCCAGGCTGGAGTGTGGTGGTGCAATCATGGCTTACTATATCCTCAACCTTCTGGCTGAAGCAGCCCTCCTGTCTTAGCCCCCTGAGTAGCTGGGATTACAGGCATATGCCACTATGCCAGGCTAATTTATTTTTTGTAAAGACAGGGTCTCACTGTGTTGCCCAGCCTGGTCTCAAACTCTTGGCCTTAAGCAATCCTCCTGCCTCAGCCTCCCGAAGTGCTGGGATTACATTCATGAGCCACCATGCTTGGCCTTTTGACGTAGTTTCTGTTGCATATATACCTAAAAAAAGAATTGTTGTATCATGGTATCTGTATGTTAACTTTTAGTAGATAATTAGAGTTTTTCTAGATGCCTATATTCCTAACGACTTGGGAGGCTGAGGTGGGAGGATGTCTTGAGGTCAGAAGTTTGAGACCAGCCTGGTCAGCAGAACGACATTCTCCCATCTTTAAAATTAAATAAATAATAAATTGTATCACTCAAGTAGTATATCAGAATTCCCTTTGCTCCTAATCCTCCTGTATTTTTGATGTTTTATCTCATTTTCATTTTACCTATTCTAATCAGTGTTTCGCAGCTTCACTTTGTGAATTTAATTTTTACTTTCCTGATGACTAATGATGCTGAGCATCTTTTATTAGGTTTTTCATTTGACATCTTCTGTGAAGTATCTGTGTAAGTCTTGCCCATATTTCTACTGGCTTGCTTTTTCTCTCTTTTTCTTAGTTTCTAAAAATTCCTTATAAATTCTGGCGATGACTGATTTTCCAGACCTACATGTTTCATGAATGTCTTCTGTTCTACGGGTTCACCTTTCATTCTTGTAATGGTGCTCTTTTGATAAACTAAAGGCTTTAGCTGTAGTATATTCAAATTTTAAATCTTTTCTTTGTTGTTTCATACTTTTCATAAAATAACAGCTTTCAAGAGATATAATTCACATTTAATGAGACATAATTTTACCCACTGAAAGTGAGGAATTCATTGGCTTTTGTATAGTCACAGAGTCAGGCAAAGATTGCCACTATTCAGTTTTAGAATATTTTAATCACCCCTAGAAGAAAGTCCTTAAAGTCACTTCTTAGTTCTTTTTTTTTTTAAATTATTCTCTGGGAACTACTTATCAATTCTATGAATTTGCCTTTTGACTTTTCATATAAGTGAAATCATATGATATGTGGCTCAAGTGTTTTGCTTCTTTCTCTTAGCATAATATTTATAAGGTTTTTCCATGTGTGGCATATATAAGTACTATATTGCTTTTTATTGCTGAATAATATGCCACTGTATAGTTATATCACATTCTATCCATTCATCACTTGATAGAGTTTTTGGTTTGTTTTTACTTTTTGGCTATTGTGAGCAGAGCTGATGTGAGCATTCATGTCCATATTTTTGTGTGGACATATGCTTTTATTTCTCTTGAGTATATATCTAGGAGTGGAACTATTAGAATAGGCAGATAGTCAGAAATGAGCATGGCAAGAAAGCCCCTGGGAAAAGAAGTCCTGGAAATGCTGCCCTCTGATAGTCAACACTGCCCACCGAGAGTCACCAAAAAAGACAATGGCTACATTGGCTATGCATGGCCTTGTGGTTGGGCTCCTCCAGCCCTGAAGGGGATGGCTCTAGTTGGAGATAATCATGGTGTAGCGTCTTTGCCCACTGATGAGCATGTGTACTCCTCCAATAACTTGCCCTAGAGTACTGTTTTGCTCATTATAATAGTAAAAACCACACACCTGGGTGGAGATTTTAAATGCTAATGAAACACGTAACACATGTATTAGCATGCACAACCACAGAGCACGTGCCCACAAGGGGACTGCCTGATATCGTTTGGGTCTATGTCCCTGCCCAAATCTCATGTCAAATTGTAATCCCCAGTGTTGGAGGCAGGGCCTGGTTGGAGGTGACTGGATCATGTTTTGTGGATTTCCTCCTTGCTCTTCTCATGACAGTGCATGAGTTCTCACGAGATCTGATTGTTTTAAAGTGTGTAGCACTTTCTCCCTGACTCTCTTCCTCCTGATTTGGTCATGTAAGATATGTTGGCTTCCCCTTCACCTTCCACCATAATTGTAAGTTTCCTAAGGCCATTCCAGCCATGCTTCCTGTACAGCTTGTGGAACCGTGAGCTAATTAAACCTCTTTTCTTTATAAATTACCCCGTCTCAGATATTTCTGCCTGAAACATGGTTGCAAGTGACACCCCCTCATACCCCATCATGAATAATTATGTAAGATTCTTATAGAGTCCCTCAGCACTGGCTGCTGCTGGCTTTTCTTTCAGAGTGTACTACTGTCTCTTTAAATAAACACTGCTTCTGCTATTATTCCAAGTAGACCAGTTCAGAGCTGTTTTCCAGAGAGGTCAGCCTGCTCCCCTTTTACAGTGTCCTCTTAACTTCTTAATAATCCTTTCGCTTAGATTACTAGTTGCTTCTTGGCCAAATTCTTTATCTCAAGTTAGAGAAGAGCTGAGGAGTCTTACAGTTCCTGGTAACAGAATTGCTGGGTCATGAGGTAACTGTGATTAACATGTTGAGGAAATGCAAGATGGTTTTCCAAAGAGTCTGTATCATTTTATGTTCCTAATAGCAATGCATGAGATTTCCAGTTTCTCCACATCCTACAAACACTTGGTATTGACTGTCTTTCTTATTTCAGAATTCCTAGAAGGTGGAAAATGACATCTCATTGTGGTTTTGATTTTTATTTCCTTAACAACTAATGATGTTAAACATAATTTCTTGTGCTTATTGGCCATTTGTACATCTTTTTTTTGGAGAAATGTCTATTTAATTCCTTTGACAATTTAAAATTATTTTTCCTTTTATTGAGTTATAAAAATTCCTTATATATTTTGGGTAAAATTCCCTATTGAATATACGACTTGCAAATATTTTCCCCCATTCTGTGCATTACCTTTTCACTTTTTTGGATGATGTTCTCTGAAGCACAAAAAGTTGTAATTTTCATGAAGTTGAATTTACCTATTTTTTCTTTTTTCTCGTACTTTTGCTATTATATCTAAGAACTATTGCCTCACACAAGGTCTCAAATATTCACTTATGTGTTCTCCATCAGTTTAATAGTTTTGGCACCTATGTTTAGGTGTATAATCTATTTTGAGTTAATTTTTATATACATTGTAGGCTAAGGGTCTAACTTCATTCTTGTACAGGTATTTTAGTATTATTTATTAAAATGACTATTCTTTCTCCCAATTGTTGTGGCACTATTGTTGAAAATCTATTCATTTTTAGTCTTTCAGTTTTTTTTTTTTGTGATAGTCTATATGTCTATCTTTATGCCAGTGCCACACTTTCTTATTATGCAGTTTCATGATAAGTTTTGAAATTAGGGAAATGTTAGGTCTGCCAGTTTTGTTCTTTTTCTAGACTGTTTTGGCTATTCTGGGTACATCCCATATACATTTTGGGATGAGCTTGCCAATTTCTGCAAAGAAACCAGCTGGGATTTTGATAGAGACTGAGTTGGATCTGTTGATCGATTTTGGGCGTTCTTGTCATGTTAATATGAACTATTCCAATCTATGGGCATGGAATGTCTTTTGATTTATCTGGGTCCTTTTAACTTTCTGTCAACAATTTTGTACTTTTGCACTTTTCGGTGTACAAAGGTTAAATTCCTTTTGTTAATTTTATCTTAAATATATTATTTTTATTGACACTGAATGGAATTGCTTTCTTAACTTCATTTTCAAATTGCTATTCTACTCATGTTATTTTGACTATGAGATTGCATTGAGTAGAATTTAAGGTAAAGGTAAGGTAACTAATCTTGTTAACGACTGACCCCAAGTGATGGTGCTACTCTCATACTTCCAAAATTGATGCCACAACACTGGTCATAAAATCAAGGGCACTCAGGTGTACATTGGAATGAGTAAAGGTGATGTACTGTGTTGGGTTGGTATTGAGATTTTCATTCTCTCAAGCTGGAGTGACATGGGAACTGAGTAATTTTTCCAAAATTCAGACAAGGCATTACACTTTATCCTGTGGTAAGGACATTAGTTCCATTAAGCCAAGACCCTCTTTTTCATGCTGTCTACTTTGTATTACATTTTTTTTTATATACTAGTCTATTTCACCTGCCATCCCCAATGACAGTAATATTTTATTGTTAAATTTGTCTAACCATTATTCAGTTTTTAGCCATTTGTGTTTTTTTTTCTTTCAACAAAATACAGATTTGATTATTTTCCTGGCATTAAAATTTGCATGAAAATAAATCATTGTAAAAAAATCCCATTATCCACAATCATATCTTCTTTTTTCTTCCAGAAAGTCTGCAAATGCAGTAATTGTCCATAGGGTTGAGCAGAAGGAACTGAATTACAGAAATATTTTAAAAGTTTGATACGGAGCTGGGAAAACTTTTGTGTTTTACAATTTTAATTTTGTATCAGTGTCACTATTCTGTGGTGAAGATAGATGTGTCCACTTCTGTATTTGCAGTAGTAGCTTTTAGAGTAATCCTTCAATTAGGTAAGGAAAATCTAACGGCACAGATTTTGCCTACTATTATGTTTTTATTTGCATTTATCTTTACCTGTTTATACATACATGTATAAATTTTTTTCCTATCTGAATTTTTTTCAGGAACTTATAATGAAGTGGAAATTTTCCAGAATCTTCTCGATTTTTTTAATCTTATAAGTAATGATAGTGGTAACTCCTAATTGGGACAATAACAGGAAAAGCCAATTCTCTATTTGGATGAGGACTTATCTTACACCAATGTAGGCAGTGGGCAAGGACTACACTGGGCAAGGACTACATTGGAGGGTCGGAGCACAGAGCACGTGCCCCCTCCCAGAAATGATCATTGTTGTCATTTCTTGTTGGGAGGCCACAGACAGCAAGGGAGCATGGGCTTGAATAACTTCATGTTAGATGTGGGCTCTGGAGAAATTAATTTTCTTATGCATCACAGTGAGATTACTTGGAAACTGGAAATATAACAATTTGATGTGCTTCCCAGGCTTGTGGAACACTGAACTGAAGTCATGCATAGAAAGCACCAGGCACAGAGCAGGCATCGCAGGTGTCATCCTTCCCTTCTGGCATTCCCTTTCCTACTTCAAGGCTATGTCTTATCTGAGCAAACTTGATTTCAAAGTTTACTTTAACTAACATACATCTTTAAAAGAAAGTATTTTGTATGGTAAAGATTTTCTTTTCAATGCAAGGTGATTAGCTGAACAGGTAAGTAAGGTTGATTTAATTATTATGTCATTGTGCATTTTTATTGATAGATTAACAAGTTAGAAAGATCCATGAATTTTTATTTTTAGTTGAGATTATCCACTTATCGTTTCCATGCCCCATCCTCTGTTTTTCTATTGCCTCTGCTAATCATTCAGTAATGAGCTCAGCATTGAGCATATGCACAATTCATCAGATGCTAAGAGACGGTTTATATCCAGTTGAAGTATCTGCAGTCTGACTGTGTTACTTTTTGGAGATTTTTGCTATCACAACTGCAATTAGTGGAAACCATGAAACATAGTGAACATCTGTGAACATCAATGACTGCATTTGCCCATATATCCAAAAAAAAAAAAAAAGGAAAATAAAAACATAATACTGAATCATTTGTGAATTCAAATTGTTCAAAATACAAAAAGCATTTGCCCATATATCCAAAAAAAAAAAAAAAGAAAGAAAAGAAAAATGTCCGGGTGTGTTGGCTCACGCCTGTAATCCCAGCACTTTGGAAAGCTGAGGTGGGTGGATCACCTGAGGTCAGGAGTTTGAAACCAGCCTGGCCAACATGGTGAAACCCCATCTCTACTAAAAATACAAAAATTCTGTGGGTGTGGTGGCACATGCCTGTAATCCCAGCTACTTGGAAGGTTGAGGCAGGAGAACTGCTTGAACTCGGGAGAAAGAGGTTGCAGTGAACCGAGATCCCACCACTTCACTCTGCCTGGCCGACAAGAGCATAACTCCGTCTAAAAACAAAACAAAACGAAACAAAAAAAGGAAAATAAAAGAAAAACATAATACTGAATCATTTATGAATTTGAAGTGTTCAAAATACAAAAAGTAACGTGTCCAGAACTTGATTCTTTAATAATAAATACTAAATGTTTAGGTGAAATAAAGAGCCAAACACAGCTTTAGATGCTGAAGAAAGACTTTCATTTAATTTTTAAGACTACCGTATAAAATATGCGCAGGAGAGTCTTCCATACTCTTTGGAGCCATAAAGCTATACTTTCTAATTAGATATATAAAACTTGGTTTGCTCAGAATCCATTTCGACTCTGAAGCCACCAATCTCTAGTAGCTGGGAGTTTCTAGCACTCTGTGCTGTGGTTGGAATTGCCCCCATTGTACTCCTGCCTCGAAGGAGAAAAATGACCCCTATGCTGCATGTGCCCAGTAAAAAGATATTTTCTTATTTTACAGACACAGAAAAGGATTCCAAGTATGAAACGTGGGTGACGTTCAATAACTTATAAATACTCAGAGGGCCTTAAGTGTATTAACTCTTATTTCTGCTTATAAGCCCTTGCTCTCAACATTTCCCCAACCCAAAGTGCCCTCTCCAGCTTTCCTGATTCCTAAAGCGACTCATTCTTCAGGGCCAGCTCAAATTCCGTATCCCTGCGCCAAGCTTGTTTACGTGATTCTAAATAGTTTGTCCCATCTGTGGACATCTGTCATACCTATTGTTTGTTTCATTTAGAAACAGATGCATACATTGCAAAGGGCACTGAATTTAGTTACAACTGTGCTTAAGATACGGGTCACACACTTGTTTGCCATGTGACCTTTAGCACATCACAGTGTCTCTGAGACTCCTTTTCTCCTTGTCAGTATTTAAAAGAAAAAAAAAAAGCCCTCACTACAAACTTTCTCTAAGGTGAGTCAAGATTACAAATGTAAAAATGGTTTATAAAACGTAATCCACATAAAATGCACTATACAACATATACTATGTTGTCATTCTAATCTCTGTTTTAGCTCCCCAAACAAATCATAAACTTTTAAAGAAAGAAATTGTAATTTAAACTTGTTTATATGTTAACATCTAGCTTAGTGTGTTGACTATAGTGGGTGTTCATTAAACATCTGCTGATTTGATTTGCAGATGAATGTGATTTTCCTTCCAGGATCTATTTTTAGTTCTTTATCTGTATTGCCACGTTTTCGTTTTTGTTTTTAATCAATTTGAACTTTAGTGTATCCTTCTACTCTTTTTGTTTTCCACTTTCATTCTAGGAATATATACTTTCAAATGTCAGGGGTATGTGTGTGTGAATTTTCATTTGTTGCATAGATGAAGATGTGACTACAGAGAAAAATGAAAGGAAGAGGTGTAAAGCGTAGAAAAAATACAAGGTTAGCTTCATGTTTTTGTGGGGAACTAGTGGCTGACAGAAAGTTAAGGCTTGGAATTAAGATGATAAGATGGATTTGGGAGTTAAGGTAGGTGAGATGGTGTTGATTAGTCAATTTTTTTTTTTTTTTTTTGAGCAAAGAAGTAGAATATTGGTTTCCAGGAGCTGGGGGGAGAGGTAAATCGAGAGTTACAAATCAGTGGGCATAAAGTTTCAGTTGAGCAAGATTAAAACACTCTAGAATTAATCTGTTGTACAACATTGTACCTATAGTCAACAACAATGTATAGTACATTTAGATTTGTTAGAAACGTGAATCTCATGTTAAGTGTTCTTACCACAATAAAGAAATCTTTTAAAATTATAAAATGTAATTTTTCCAAAAGTTACTTTAATTTGCTTGAGATGGTGATGTTATGGGCCTCTGTGGGGAGTTTCTTTAATCCTGCCTATAGGAAGAAGCCAACATATGGCCAACTCCTCTCCCACAGTCTAAGGTAGCTCCCTGTTCCTGTTGTGGAGAGTACAACCTGACTCATTTTTTGCAAAGCAAAGGTGGCAGTTGGTCCCATTCCCAAAGGCTGGCTGCACTTTGTGTCTGACTTAGAAGCTATTGCTAAGGTGTTTCCCATCCTTTCAAGTCCCCACTGTGTCTGGGCTCCTGTGGGACATCCCAGAGCAACAGAAGGATGGGCTGATGGGTGGGAAGCTAGATAGCAACTCAGCCTCCCCACCTGGCTCTGTAACCTGCTCCATCTGTCAGTTGTTCCGGGTGGCTGAAGAGTGCAGCAGTTCAAAGCTCCACTCCAGGCTGTTTCTGAACATTTCTTTGCTCCCCAAGGACCTGATATTTCTGGTCATGGAGAGGGGATTGAAGCCAAGTGTTCCTCAGCTCAGCAGCCCAGGTACCTGGGGTTGGCAGCCACTAGACCTCGTGCTGTGCTGCTCCTTAGACCCTTAGACATTTGAATAAGAAATGTTGGGCTTATTTCTATTCATTTTACTATCTTCTTTTTTTCATGATCCATCTGTGTGAAGTTTGGAATGATATTTGTACATTCAAAAGCCAATCAGGCATGAAGCTAATGTAGTGCAGCATTTCAGTAACTGCACAGACAAGAAAGCTGAGGATTTATCTAGTAAATCTGCCAAGAAGAAAACACCATTAGTGTGGAAGGATGATGAGCATAGCCGACCCAGCAAGACCCCTTTCTGGGGGAATCAGGAAACAAGAATTCACACTTAGGTTGATGTGTGTGCTGTTTATTTTTGAACTCATTTTGAACAATTATGTTTTAAGGATTAGAATTACCAATCCATGTCAGACCTGCATGACTCAGAGCAACAAATGAGGTCCCTGCATTAATTTTCTATTGCTACATAACAAATGACTACAAATTTAACAGTGTAAACTAATGCATATTTATAATCTCACAGTCTCTGTGGTTCAAGAATCTGGGTTCTGTTTAGTTGGGCCCTTAGCTCAGGATCTCACCAGGCTGCAATCTAGGTGTCAACTGGACCGTGTTTTCATCTGAAGGTTAGGTTGGGGAAGAATATGCTTCCATGCTCACTCATGTTGTTGGTAGAATTGGTTTCCTTGAAGCTTTCAGACCCAGAACACCAGTTTTTCTCTGGCTTCTCTCAGTTCCTAGGGAACACTGGTCATTCTGGCTTCTCTCAGTTCCTAGGGACCACCGGTCATTCCTTGCTATGTAGACATCTATGTAGGATCTCTTACAACATGGCTATTTACTTCTTCAAAGCTAGAAAGGGAAAAAGCCATTCTACTATAAGACAAAGTCTTACCCGGGTAACGTAGTCACTGGAGTGGCATTTTATCACCTTTCCCATATTGAATCAATCAGGAGCAAGTCAAAGGTTTTTTCTACAGTTAAGGGAAGGAGATTAGATAAAGTAGTAAACCCCAGGAGGTGGAGACCGTGAGGGCCACCTTAGAGTGTGTCCCCATAGTGCCTGTTCCAGAATCCATTCTTATGTGGCCAGTTAGTGGTACTTTGTTTGTGGCCAGAAATTAGGTTTTAATCTCAGGTCAGTCCTGGTATAAATGTACAGAACATGATGTGACAAAGATGGGTTTGCATCTTGAGTCATAATGGAAAATAATGTCTTTGATGCTTAATTTCTATATTTGCAAAATGGTGGGTGATGGTCTGCATGACTGGCTCATATATACTCCTCCAAATAGCACAGTCCCAAGTCTTGCAGTCCCCTTTCTCCCTTAGCTGCAATGACTCAAGACCCTCAGCTCTGCACTCCTGACTTGCTCTCTCTTCCTATGTTTCTTAATACTCAATCTTGGGTTTGTTTCTTATTTTCAGCCTTTTACCCTATCTTTTATTTCCTCCTCTACCTTAAATTTTTTTACTGATTTCAATTTACACTTTAAAAGATTTTGGCTCAGATTCATCTCACTCTTCCTTCCTTCAAAAGATTTTGCATGGGATTATGAATGACTTAGTTCGGTGGTCTTGAAATGCCAGTACTTGAATTAGCTGAACCAGAGTTACCTGGGGAGACTTTTCTAGCATCCACTTTTGGAGAGTCGATTAAATCAGGTTAGAACTATCAATTGAACCTGGAAAAAATATATATGATATATATTTATATATCATATATATGAATATAAATTTATAATATATATCTATATATATAGAGAGATATATATAACATATATATATTTATAAAACTTTCCCAAGATTTTTTTATAAGTAACCCCTGACTTTCGTCACATGGTAAGAACAAAACTTAAAAAAAAAACTGCCAATAAATGCACAATGACAGTGGCCATCACATACAGATGGAATAGAAGTTTAGCAGAGAATTCTAGGATTCACCAAGATATGTGTTCCCTTCTCTGTACTGAGTCCTTACCTAGACTTCATTATATAAATATGTATTTTTTGAGACAGGGTCTTGAGCTGTCACCTAGGCTAGAGTGCAGTGGTATGATCATGGCTCACTGCAGCCTTCATCTCCCAAATTCAAGCAATCCTCCCACCTCAGCCTTCTAAGTAGCTTGGAATAAAGGTGTGCACCACCACACTTGGCTAATTTTTGTATTTTTTGTGAAGATGGAGTTTTGCCATGTTGCCCAGGCTGGTTTTGAACTCCTGGGCACAAGTGATTCTTCCACCCTGACCTCCCAAAGTGCTGAGATTATAAGTGTGAGCTACCATACCTGGCTATAATTCATTTTAAGTTCAATTTGTAGTTAGTTGTGGCCACAAAACCAAGTCCTCCTCATGGAATGTGAACTGATTTGATGTGTGTCTCTCTCCAACCTGACCCTTAAACATCCTCATTGTAAATTCCACAATCTTTTTTCTATCCTGTTATTGAATAGAGAAAACTCAAGAACCCAGAGGAAGGTGAAGCCAGGGTGGAAGTTATTCAGGAAGATCCCTGAATAACTGCATGGAGCAGAGTGCTACTCTGTCTGCTTGCATTGGACAGTGTTGTCACCAAAAAAGGAACTGACACTTTGTTTAAGTAATGGATACCCTAATACAAGTTTCTTTTTATGTGTGCTAATTCAAATGTCTCTGAGTAGGCTTTCACCTCAAAATAATTCTAGAAGAAATACCTAAAATTCCACAATAATGCATTTGTTTCCCAAGTGTGGTGATTACCTTTTCCATAGCAGCTTTTAAAGTGAGAATACTCTATGAAAGATGAATACGTAAATCCTTAAAATTTCAATATGAATTCATTTAACAAATCCTTGCTTGACAAGAGAAATGAGATAATAACACATGAGAGAGAAGGAAGGATGAAAAACAAAAGAGGAACAGATGTTAATTTATTTTACAAATGTTTTTTGAGTATCTACTATGTGGCATGCACTCTGCCAGGCTTGAAATATAAAGAATACTGAGCCTCAGTCCCTATGGTGTTCATATTTCAGAAGTGAAGTGGATCTTACATTAAATGTGTGCATATAAAGAGATCATGTTTCTTTACTTCTCACAAATCTGTTGTTAAATCAGTGTGTCTTCATTCATACTATAGTAGAATTGAGGAACTATGCCATGGCCTGAGGCTTTTCCTACAGTGTTTTAGTTAATCCTCTCAAGGACACTATGACAAGATATTATTAACCCCATTTAACTCTAACTCATCCGTCAGCTCTGAGTTCAATTATCTGGAAAATTGATCTGATCCCCGACATTAGATCATCTTCCATTATTAATAACTCACTGTGGCATGTGTCTCTTCTTCCTAGGACCTTACTGTAATTATATTTGTAGAATTATTCACCTTTCTTTTATCTTCCTCACTATATTGCAAGTTCCATGAGGACATGGACTGTGACTGCTTTTGCCCCTTTATAATCCATCCTATAGAGAACACCACTGATTTACAGTCAATATTTGTTGAATAGATGAATAAATATGTAATTGAGTTTTCAAATAGTATGGGAAAAGGAACATTTGGTCCCATGGAGTAACTAGTGCTTGATGGCACTTCCTTCTTCTGCAGACACTGTCTACCCACTCACACCATGGCCTGGACCACCCAGATATCAGGAGGTTCAGTAGAGAAACCCACGCAGGGCCGATCACACTTCCCCTCACCTGCTCATTCTTTAGTCACCACGTGTCTCTTGTAGACAAGTCAGGTTTTAGAGAAGGTCTGGAGTCAAAGGGTGCCTTCCTGACAGTAGCAATTGAGATCTGAAAAGTCACTCCATCATCATTTTTAATTTTTCAGAGGCTGTTTTTTCCCTTAAATGCTAACCTTTTAAAAAGTCTCCCCACCTCTTCCCTGCACATTCCCTCCCTTATTTCTTTCACGTATCAATGTACCTGTTACCTTTTATTCTTTTTCTTTTCTTTTTTTTTTTTTTTTTTTTGAGACAGACTTTCACTCTTGTTGCCTAGGCTGGAGTACAATGGCTCGATCTGGGTTCACTGCAGCCTCCGCCTCCGTTTCCGCCTCCCGAGTTCAAGCTATTCTCCTGCCTTAGCCTTCTGAGTAGCTGGAATTACAGGCAACTGCCACCATGCCTGGCTAATTTTGCATTTTTAGTAGAGATGGGGTTTTGCCATGTTGGCCAGGCTGGTCTCGAACTCCTGGCAACGTACCTGTTTCTCTACTTCCTCATTACTTTCCATTCCCAGTCCCCAAGCCCTCTGGGAATTGCCTTCTACTTCCCAGAGAAGTACTTTGCTAAGTCAAGGCAATTCCCTACCCAGAAGGCTCTGGGGCTGTTAACATTTTTACTTCTTCCTTACACACAGGCACTGTCTTTTGGCACTCCCCTGAGAGCAGTTGGAGGGCTCACTAGTGACACCTGCAATGTGTTAGTGTCCTCCTCTGACAGTTTGGAGCCATCTATGTCAGAATCACTTGACGATCTTATTAATGCAGATTCTGGGTTCCATTGCATTTCTGTTGAATCCAAATCTCTGGGAATTATCCTGGACTCTTTTTTTTTTTTTTTATCAAGGCATTCAATGATTATTACACATACTGAAGTTTAATTAATACAAACAAAAACTGGCCTTGGAGAGTCCTTTCTCTTCCTCTCTTCCTCACTCTACTGAAATCTGACTGCAGTGAGCCCCTTCCTCAATTTACCCTCTTGGTTTTAATTCATTTTTCTTGACCTTTTAAGCTTTCCAAATATAACAACTTACTATCTTGCTCTCTCTGTATCTCTTCTAAAAATTTAACCCCATTTCAACTGTTCTCTTTCTATGAACAACTAAACATGAAACTTTGTCCTCTTAAGAACTGATCTTCTTGACCTCTGCCAACCACTTCTTTCTCTTTCCCCTCAAAGATGAGCTTCTCAAAAGAAGTGTCTATGTTCACTGTTTTCTTTATTGCACATCTTATTCCTTTCTCAACCCACTATAGTTTGGTTTTCTACTCTTAGCACTGCTCTGAAAGAACTCTCACCAACATCTCCAATAGAAATATATTTTTCAGTTCATACTTTAGTCTTTCAGCTTCTTGGCATATATGACATCTACTCTTGCCTACTTCTAGGTCTGTTAGTCCAGTCATATTTTCTCTGTTTTTTTTTATGATTCTTCTTCTCTTATCAGGGCCTAACATGTTGGACTTATTAAAGCTCAGTCAAGATCTCTTTGCACTTTCATTGACACTAAAGTTGGTTTCCCCAGAGTTGGCATGTGGTCTGTTTTTTAAAAAGCACTCTTGGGCTCTTACCTGTGGAAGGGAGGAAAGAAAGGCAAGATGGAGTAAAGGAGGAAGTTGTGCTGTGATAAGGGCCCAGCCACCACCTCCGCCAACCATGTGAGAAGCTCTGGAGCTAGAATGGTCGTGATGCCCTGGCCTTTATATGCCATCATTTATGAGTCATTGGCCAAAGGCCAACCTGGGAATAGGCATAACCATGGACAAGGCAATCTTTTTTTAAAAAAATTATTCCTGAAGTAGCTATAACTGAAGGCCCTCAGTCAATGGCACTTCCTGTAGAAGGGCAAAGAGTTACTCACTCATGGGGCGGGAGCATCTCTACAGACTGTATGTTACGTCCATTGGCAAAACTCATCCACAATTATCATGTTGACTTCTCTGAGCTCCATCTCTATATTCCCAACTGTCCACCAAGCACCTATAATTCAGTGAACCCACAGCATCCCCAACTCAGCACATACAAACTAGACTCAGTCTTCATTCATTCTTCTCCCCAGACATCACTAACCCTGATTTTCTTTCCCTTTCTTAGAAGATGACACTATTACCTGGTTAATCCCACAAGTTGTCATTTTCTCATCCTTCTTTTTTAAGTCCCCATATTTAAACTACACTTCCCCCTCTATTCTACCCTGCTCTGCTTTCCTCCCTTCCACAGGTGAGAGCCCAAGAGTGCTTCTTTAAAATAACTCACTCCCTGACAACTTTATCTCCCAAACCTTTCAATCCCATCCACTGCTAACTCTCAAGTTCAGGCTACCATTATTTCTCTGGGTTAATAGTTTAGCTATTTTTTTGTGTGGGGGTGGAGGGTCGGGGGAGACAGAGTCTTTCTCTGTGGCCCGGGCTGGAGTACAGTGGTGCGATCTTGGCTTATTGCAACCTCCACCTCCCAGGTTCAAGTAATTCTCCTGCCTCAGCCTCCCGAGTAGCTAAGATTACAGGCGTGTGCCACCACACCCAGCTAATTTTTGCTTTTTTTTTTTTTTTTTTTTTTTTTAAGTAGAGATGGGGTTTCACCATGTTGGCCAGGCTGGTCTTTAACTCCTGACCTCAAGTGATCCACCCGCCTTGGCATCCCAAAGTGCTGGAATTACAGTTATGAGTCACTGCGCCCAGCCAGTCTAATTATTCTGTTTCCATCATTCTTCTTTTCAATCTTTTCCTAATACCGAACTCATGATAATCTTTTTATAACTCAAATTGATCAATTCAATGCCTTGCTTAAAACCCTGAGATAATTTATTATTATTTTGTAGAGACGAGGTCTTGCCTTGTTGCCTAAGCTGGTCTTGAATTCCTGGCCTCAGGCAATCCTCCCACCTTGGCAATTTTCTTGTTCTTTTAAGGTAAAGGCCACTATCCTTAGCATAAACCACCATGTCCTTACCTGTCTCACCAGCATAACCTTACACTCTGGTTTCAGCCATGTCTACCTTGTTTGTGTTGTTTCAATGCACCATGCTTCTTCTAAACACAGGCCTTGGGTACGAGATGTTCCCTTTACCTGAACAACTCTCTCACCCCACCTTCCTACCATCACCTTTATCCAGATAATTCCTACTCGAGCTTTAGATTTCATATCAATAGTAATTTCACCAAGATTTCCCTGCATTTCTTAGAGAGAGCTGGGTTTCTCAGATAGAGCTGGGTTATATTCTTATAGCACAGCTTACCTTATCTTTATAACAATCCTTACTTCCAAATATCCACTGGTTCGTGTGATGATGAATGTCTGTCTTGCATTAGACTGTAATTTCCACAGAAGGAGGGACCCTGTTTGGGCTCACAATTTTATCTTCAATGCCTGGTATATTGAAGGGACACAGTTCAAACAACTCCCAACATCAAAAGGTAAACCAAACAGTTTCTGAGATAGGAATTCTGCATGGATGGTTTTTCTATAATCAGCTGGCAGGTGGGGGATGCTAACAGTTCTCAAGATATTCAAAAACCCATTGCTAGTTTGCATGGCTACATGGAGGTAGAGTGTAGGCGAGGAATGATCACAAAGAAGGTAGAAAATGTAAAGCTTCTTACAGAAGCTGGGCACTAAACGCAGTGTGTGGGTGTGGAAGAGAAGTAAATTACCCGTGATGCCTCAGAATCTAGTAATTTCATATAAGCATTAAAGCAGTGAAAAGTTTCAGGCTATAATAAAGTATAGTAAAAACAAGAGGTAGACTAACATGACTAAAATCAGTAAAAGTGACTTTCTGTTCCTAGCATAAAAGCAAACTGGTACAGAACTTATCTCTTGGTATAAACAACCTAAAAACTGGAGTAACTATTTTTTTAAAAAAAAGAAATGACAGGTTTTAGACATAGGACCACAGACAGCACATGATTGTGATTCCTGCAAAGAAGGAAGTCAAGAAAACAAGTGAGGTGAACTCATCACAAAGCCTTCTGCATGGAGATGATTCCTGACCATGGCTTAGAGCAACATGCCTCCAGCAGAGTCTGGCCAATCTCACCAAGTCAAAAAGACAAAGACCAAAGTTTAGGGAAGCCAAAGTGACTCTAATTTCTGGGAAAAGCACCCAAGATAAGAGAGAGATACATAGAAAGGACCCTAGGAATATGGATAAGGGTCCTCATGGTCTCTGGTTGAAAACTCTGCACATGGGTAGAGTGAAACCCCAAGAGGTCAGGCAAAAGTAATGTCTGAGGAAAAAGCAATTCCTGGGAAGCTGTAAAATGAACAACTTCCGGAGTTCACACCAGGGTGGGAAACACTCAAGTTCCTCTAGCCAAACTCAAAAGAGCTCATTAAATATGCAGGGTCTTGAGTAGAGAGCACAGAATAGTGAGAATCAAAATGGAAATAAATTAACCCTAGGAAAAAGAAAACACCCTTCTCCTGGCATTGCACATGAAGTTCTTTTGCCTTTGGACTCCAGGACTTACACCAGCAAAATAACTTGATGTGCAAGGCCAGGAGGAGAAGGGTGTTCTGGCTCAGAGAGAGAGAGAGAGAATGAGAGAGAGAGAATTTGCCTTGTTCTATTGGGGCCTTCAGCCAGTTGGATGGTAGCCACCCACATTGGGTAAGAGTGGATCTTCCTTATTCAGTTCACTGATTCAAATGCCAGTGTCTTCCAGAAACACTTTCATGGACATATCCAGAAATAATACTTTACCAGTGACCTGGGTATTCCTTAGACCAGTCAAGTTGATGCATAAAAATAATGATCACAGAATTAAAATTTAATTTATATTGAAATAACACTACCTACCTGTTTAATTTTTGATGAGAAGTCTATGGCCATTTGAATTCGTTTCCAGGTATATAATGTATCCTTTTTCTGTTTTTTTGTTTGTTTTTTTTTTTTTTTAGCATTTACTGTTTTTAGACATTCTTGACTAGGATGTGCTTACGCATATTTTCTTTGTATTTATTCAGTTTGGGTTGTGATGACCTCACATTTATAAATCTATGAAGTTGCAGCTTTTACCAAGTATATTACTGCCCCATTCTCTGTCTTCTCTTGGACATCAGAACTCTCCCCAGGTGGGCTAACCTGGAGAGCAGGACTTCCTTGTGGAGAACTCTCTTGGCATATTTTGAAATGATTACTTTTTCTCCTTCTCTTCCGGAACCAAGAAGGGATCTTTCAGCTCTTCACTGTGAAAGTCTGGTAGGGTTCCTGGAGGTGAAACCTATAAAAAATTGAAGGTCCTCTTAAGACTATAGCTCCACAGCTATGGTCTTACTCTCATAGTCTCATGTTTCTAACTCTCATAGTAGTTCACATTCAGCCTCTAGCAATTTGTAAAAATTAAGATTTAAGTGTTCCTACCAGTTTACCAGTGGCTTCTGCTCAGAGTAAGCTGATTTTTACAGTGATTCTCTCTTTTCACCCATAGCTACTGATTTCAGGGTAGCGGTTTTCTCTATGATCTCAAGTCTTTGATCCATCCAGCAACTTTCAGTTTGTTGAGCTTCTTTTCTTGTCAGGATGAGCGTGCTGACTTCCAAAACCTTTTGCATATCAGAAACGGACCCCATGTTTTTTTTTATTATTTTTCTGTTAAACAGATTCCATTTTGTGCTCTGAGTTTCTACTATTACTTCTTAACAAGAAAAAAAAAACACTTGATTTGGAGTGAATAAATGTGTGTAGTAGGAAGTTTAAATAAAAATTTAAATCCATTAATAGGACAGTTTTTAAATAAATTATAGATTATTAATACAGAGTGTATTAGGGTTCTTTAGAAGGCAGAGCTAATGGGAAAGATGTATGTATAAAGGCAGTTTATTAGGGAGTATTGACTCACAGGATCACAAGGTGAGGTTCCACAATAGGCTGTCTGCAAGTTGAGGAGCAAAGAAGCCAGTCTGTGTCCCAAAATCTAAAAAGTAGGGAAGCCAGCAGTGCAGCCTTCAGTCTGTGGTTGAAGGTCCGAGAGTCCCAAAGCTGCAGAACTTGGATTCTGGTGTTGGGGGACAGGAAGCATCCAGCATGGGAGAAAGATGTAGGTCAGGAGACTAAGCCAGTCTAATCCTTCGAAGTTCTTCTAACCTGCTTTTATCCTAGCTGCACTGGCAGCTGATTACATGGTGCCCACCCAGATTGAGGGTGTGTCTGCCTCTCCCAGTCCACTGACTCAAATGTTAATTTCCTTTGGCAACACCCTCACAGATACACCCAGGAACAATACTTCAGTCCAATCAAGTTGACACTCAGTATTAACCGTCACACGGTGTAAAACCATGCAACTGTGAAAAGATATGAGATAGCTTTATATATGCACATAAGGAAAGATCACAAGGTACCTAAGTATAAAGAATGAAGACTCAGTAGTATCATTGGCTTGTATTTGTGTATTATAAAGGGGAACGTGTGAACATGCAATTGTAACTGAATAAAACTTGAAAATATAAATAAGAAAACAGCAAGGGGGTTCTTTTAAGTGTACAACTGAAGAACTAAGAATTTAAAGTGGGAAGGGGGAATTTAAAGCTGATCTTCATGGTGTGCTCTTTGTGTCATTTTATTTTCACATATTCCTTGAAAATACACCATTAATAAAAAATTTTGTAAAACCCAACATGCCTAAATTAACTTTTTAATACAGTGTGCCCATTTGGTTTGTGAAACTTGAGCCATTGCCCATTTCTCTCAAGAGATAAAATAATGAAATGTTTCTTGAAATGAGAAAGCATCTGTAAAGTGATCAGAGAGAACATGAACAGTGTTTGCAAATAAGAGAACAGAGAAAAGATAGTGAGATATTCAAACATAGATATTGAGAGATTTTAAAGCTTTCTGTTTCCATTTTGCAGCTATAAAAGTATAATGCTTGCCAGCAACAAAGCGCTATTGATTATAGCAGCTGCAGATAAAAGCCTCCTTGTAGGGAGTAGGTGTGAAGTGACAATTATAATTCATCGGAAGGTCTTGTCTTCTAGTGGGTGTTTGCTTATTAGTCTGTGGTACATTGTAGTGATGAGCTCTCATTGCTTGATTGCAGCACTAGTCTATCCCTTCCATTTTGTAAAAAATGCCCTGGAACTTTGTTCTTCATCATCATATTTGATGATCAGAGGTAATATGGTATTCTGGTTTTCAAAATACACTTATAGTAACAAAGACCTAGGACAGTCCTAAGAAATACCCTAAATCATACATTAATAGTCATAAAATCTGCAATGTTGTGGCCAACTGAATCTAAATCTCTCCATATACCATCACTCCTGAACATAAAGTACAGATAAATTTTAAAAAGTACAACAAGGAGCAGAAAAAAACCCACACATGTCTTATGATTTCACCATTATGTTAGTAGGAGGCAGAAAATACCATGAACTTCAAATGACATCTGAGAAAAATAAACCCCAAATCTCATCAGAGCTCAGTGGCCCCTCAAGCCTGTGGGTGTAGAAAGAAGGAAATGGGAGGCTTAAGAGATTCTATCAAAGGAGAGAAGAAAGAACTCAGATGAAACACAAATTCATCTCCAGAAGGAGAAATTTCGACACTGAATGATAAAATACCTGTATTAGGTAAAACAATGGCCCCTAAAGATGTCCATGTCCTAATCACCAGGTATCCATTACCGTATATGATGAGAGGGACTTTGCAGATGTGACGAAGGGTGAGGGACTTGGGGTGGAGATATTATCCTGGAATATCTGGGTGGGCCTAGTGTAACCATGTGAGTCCTTTAAAAGTAAGGAAATTTTCTGCAGTGAGAGAGAGGTATGAGGGCAGAAGAAGGGAAAGAGAGATGTGACATTGCTGGCTTTAAAGATGGAGGGAGGGCCAGGCACGGTGGCTGACGCCTGTAATCCCAGTACTTTGGGAGGCCAAGGCAGGTGGATCACCCGAGGTCAGGAGTTCAAGACCAGCCTGGCCAGCATGGTAAAACCCCATCTCTACTAAAAATACAAAAATAGCCAGGTATGGTGGCACACGCCTGTAGTCCCAGCTACTTGGGAGGCTGAGGCAAGAGTATAGCTTGAAGCCGAGAGGTGGAGATTGCAGTGAGCTGAGATCTTGCCATTCCATTCCAGCCTGGGTGGCAAGAGTGAACCACTGTCTCAAAAAAAAAAAAAAAAAAAAAAAAAAAAAAAAAAAAAAAAAGATGGAGAGAAAGGAATGCAGGATTCAAGGGACACAGGGATCTGTAGTAGCTGGAAAATCCAATGACTCAATGACACAGATTGTCCCCTCAGCCTCCAGAGGAAACATAGCCCCATTGACATCTTAATTTTAGCTGAGGGAATCTCGATTCTTTACTTCTGACCTCCAGACATATAACAACTTAATCAAGACTGTTGCTGAGGGTGGGAGAATGTAGGCACAGACGTGCATTGACAATGGGAATATATATTTTTTTGTTGTTGTTGTTTTCTTTTTTTTTCTTTTTTTTTTTTTTATTATACTTTAAGTTTTAGGGTACATGTGCACATTGTGCAGGTTAGTTACATATGTATACATGTGCCATGCTGGTGTGCTGCACCCACTAACTCGTCATCTAGCATTAGGTATATCTCCCAATGCTATCCCTCCCCCCTCCCCCCACCCCCCACAGTCCCCGAGTGTGATATTCCCCTTCCTGTGTCCATGTGATCTCATTGTTCAATTCCCACCTATGAGTGAGAATATGCGGTGTTTGGTTTTTTGTTCTTGCGATAGTTTACTGAGAATGATGACAATGGGAATATTAACTGGTGCAATCATCATGGAAGGGAATATTTAAGAAAACTATATACTCATTTACGTTTTGACCAAGAAATCCTATTTCTAGGAGTTTATTCTAAAGGCATATCTCCCACAGTGTAAAAATACATTTACACAAAGATGTTTATTGTATTACTTTTTTTGTAATTTAGTATGCTGGAACATCCTGAATGGCCATATATGGAAGATTAATTGAACAGATTATGGTATGTGCACTTATCAGAATGCCCTGAAGCTTCTATGAAAGGATGATGAAGATCACCATGAGCATATATAGAGTGATTTGCAGGACACAAAGTGCAGAAGAGTATAGCACACTAACTTTGGCCAAAAAAAAAAAAAAAAAAAGGAAATATAAAATAATACATGTATGTGTTTATTTTTGCAAAATGAATTGTAGGAAAGGCAAACTAGAAAATAATGAGATTGACAACTTATAGGGGTTGTCAGATGGGAGTGAGGTGGA
Source organism: Homo sapiens (assembly GCF_000001405.40). NCBI lineage: Eukaryota > Metazoa > Chordata > Mammalia > Primates > Hominidae > Homo > Homo sapiens. Next base: position 24,684,505 of record NC_000008.11, on the reverse strand, counting down.
AAACATAGCATGGGGGTGACACTTTTCTAAGTATAGTTGTCCCTTGGAATCCATGGGGGATTGGTTCCAGAAGCCCCGTGAATACCAAAATCTGCAGATGCTCAAGTCTCTTATATAAAATGGCTAGTATTTGCATATAACCTATACACATCTTCCCATATACTTTAAATCATCTGTTACTTATATCTAATACAATGTAAATGCTATGTAAATAGTTATAATATATTTTTATAATTTATTTCAATTTTGTATTGTCATTTTTTATCATTCTTAAAAATATTTTCAATCTGTAGTTGGTTGAATTTGGGGATACAGAATCTGTGGATAGGGAAGGATAGATGTATACTTTTTAGATAGTTTTGACTCTTTGCAGTCAAGATATTTAGAGGCACAAAAGAACCATAAAATAAGATATGAACCAAGTAAGTTTAATGTAATTGTATTTCAAATGAGTAACATTATCAAACTGAATGAAGAGAAAATTTAACCCTACCAGCTTCTGACCATGGTATTTTCAGTCTCTGACCTTAGATTAAAGAGAAAAAGAAGCTATACGCAAATATTGAGATCTCATTGCTTCTCAGCCTTTTGACTAAGATCAAATGCAAATATTGAGATCTAGTTAGTTATGTTTTTTAAAGCATTGCTATGGGTTAACAATTCTAAAACTGTTTTCTGTGTATTTTATGACTGGGAAATCAAGTAAATATATTAAGTATAATGTGAGCTAGTTTTCTCATTTTTGATGAAGGTTGTTATAGAAAGGGGGACCACTAGAATGAACCCTCTGTTGCTGTTGATTTGTCATTGGAGGTTTCAGTATGAGCTCATGCATATGTGTATATAGGTGTATATATACACATATACATTCATAATAATTATATAATGTGTGTATGTACATATCCATCATACGTATTCATATTTATGTGTTATGTTTGTGTGTATATATGTGCATATATACAAGTCATATACATTGTACCTGTATATGTGTTTTTTATGTATATTTTAGTAACATTTTCTCATCAACTCTTGATTATCCATTCAGTTGGAAGAAAGTAGCAAAAGGTAATTGTATGTATATAACATACATATTATGCCCATTATCCTAATTTTATATTTTTAAGCTAATATCTATACTTATTTATATTTCCTGATTAGGATGTTATAATATCAAGTATTCTCAGAGACAGGAATAAATGTTTTTAGGATTTAAAAAATGCCATAGATGATATGAGTAATTGAGAATTGGTTTCATGCATTTGCAATAATTGATATTGCAGAGAATTAATTAATCTTAGTTATAGTTGTCTAAAGTTTATGATTTTAAAATGCCCAACAAACTTTACAAAGTCCAAGTTTTTATAATTTAGTGGGGATATTAATTATATGTGGCCAAATATAATTTCTCTAAGTTGTGTGACTAAGAACTAAAAACTGTCAAGAAAGATAATGTCCTGCAAGGAAAGTGCATTTATAATAAACATTTATGAGAACGTATTTCATGACGAGACAAAATTCAGTAATGGCTGTATGGATTCTGCTATGACTCAGCAAAATGGGGAAGAGCTTTGGGCGTGGAACCAGGAGTCTGCTTCTGATTTGATGTCTCTTATCAAGCTGTTTAATCTTTCTGTACCTTACATTCAAGACGAAAATACCCATCTCAGGTTTTTTTGTGATGATTGAATACAGTAATGCATGTGAAAGTGCCTGATAAATGGTAAGAGCTTCTGTAAATACTAATTGTCATGAGTGTTTGTCGATTACATTTTAAATGTGAGTTCGGCAGCTTAAATCTCCACATCTCTCTCAAACATTTTACCGCTTGCATAGTTAACTCGTAAAAAAGCAGAACAGTTTCTCACTGCTGTGCTTGCTGATTCATTTCCTGAGCATACAAGGAGATTAAAAAGATAATTGATTCTACTTTTATTGATTTCTGAATGTCTCAGAGCTTTTAATAAATAAAAATTTAGAAAAGATTAATACATGCTTTATTGCCTAGTGAATGACGCCCAACTGGCTTAAATTATAAGGAATTGTTTAATTCTCAGTATTGTAAGATTTAAAAACACGACCCAGTTTATGTCCTTTTCAGGGACATAGATGAAGCTGGAAACAATCATTCTCAGCAAACTAACACAGGAACAGAAAACCAAACACCGCATGTTCTCACTCATAAGTGGGAGTTGAACAGTGAGAACACATGGACACAGGGAGGGGAACATCACACACCAGGGCCTGTCGGGGGATGGGGGGGCTAGGGGAGGGATAGCATTAAGAGAAATACCTAATGTAGATGACAGGTTGATGGGTGCAGCAAACCACCATGGCACATGTATACCTATGTAACAAACCTGCACGTTCTCCACATGTACCCCAGAATTTAAAGTATAATAATTTTAAAAAAATAACAAAAACACGACTCAGGAGAAACAAGAGATGTTATGATATAATAAAGGTGATGAGTCCTTTCAGGCTTCCCAGTCAGTTGCAGTTTTATTCCAAGCTTTAGAAAAACAACCGTTGCCTGCTGGATACTATAACAAAGCATTAAAAACAACAATGTTGAGTCATTCTCCTGGGGGTCAATCAATATGTTAAATCCAATTTTGAATATTTGATCATGAAAAATGGGAATTAAGTTGTCAGATTTTCAAATTCTCAAATATTTGGATTTTCCTAGGAATGTCATAAGCATGAATGTGTTTATGTTGGTGGGAACTTTGAGTTTCCAGAGGCAATCTGGGCCATTCTCCAAAGTGACCAAGCTCTAAAAATGATATAGTGAGCCTCACTGGCCCCATGTTTTATTATTGGGCTTTTCAAAGAGTATTTAGGAATAGGATTTTAAAAAATATTACTTAGTTCAGAAAGGAGGACCTTGCATATTTTAGGAGATTATTTATATAGTTTTGAATAGTTCAGCATTTTTTAAAAAGTTAAGCTACCTCAGAGAGATGAGAAGATTAATTTGTTGACGCACAAGCATTTAGAGTACTCTCTAATAATCCTTTTTATTTCTTTCAAGTAGGTTTGAGTGCCTTCACTTTTATTCCTAATTTTAGTAATTTGTGTTTTCTTTCTTATTTTCTTGGTTAACCTAACTAAAAGTTTGGCACTTCCGTCATTCTTTTGAATGAACCAACTATTGGTTTCGTTTTCTCTATTGATTTTTAAATTCTCTGTTTTATCTCCTCTCTAGTCTTTATTAGTTATATCTTCTTATTTTGGGTGTAGTTTGTTCTTCTTTTTCTTAAAGGAGGAAGTTTAGGTTATTTATTTGAAACCAGCATTCCTTTTAAATGAAAGCATTTGCAATTGTAGATTTGCTGTAAGTATTACATTCACTGCCTCCCATGTTTTGGCATGCTTTTTTTATTTTAGTTCATCTCAAAGTATTTTCTGATTCTGCTGTGATGATGCCTTTGACTCATAGATCTTTTACGAGTGGGTTGCTTAGTTTCATTATATTCATGAATTTTCAAAAGTTCCTCAGTTGTTAATTTGTATTTCATTCCATCGTGGTGGGAAACATATTTTGTATGCTTTCAACATTTTTAAACTTTTGAGATGTGTTTTGTGAATTGACTCAGAGTGTATCTTGGAGAATCTTCCAGATGCACTTGAGAAGAATGTGTATTCTGCTATCACAGAGTGAAATGTTCTGTTGATTAGTTGGGTTATTGTGTTGTTCCATTCTTTTATTTTCTTGATCATCTGTCTCATCATTCTGTCCATTATTAAAAGCAGGGTGTTGAGGTCTTCAACCATGGTTATCAAACTGTTTATTCATTCATTTAGTCAGATTTGATTTATGTATTTTGGGGCTCTTTTTTAGGTGTATATATTTTAATTATTGTTAAAACTTTTTGATGGATTGATCCTTTTATCTTTATATAATGTCCTTCTTTGCCTCTCATAACAACTTTTGCCCTAAAGTCCATCTTGTCTGCTCTCTTTTGATTACTGCTTGCATGGGATATGTTTTTCCTTTTTTTTTTTAACTTGCATTTATTCGTGTCTTTGAATCTAAAGTGGGTTTCTTATAGACAACACATAGTCTGTAGGAATCATGTTTTGTTGTTATTCCTTTAACCCTTCTGCCAGTCTCTGCCTTTTAACTGGAGGGTTTAATCTATTTACATTGGATATACTTACTGATAAGAATACAGTTCTCCCCTTGGATATTTGTTTTCTATATGTGTTATTATTTTTTCTTCCACATTTCCTCCATTATTGTCTCCTTTTGAGTTAAATAGGTATTTCCTAGTGTACCATTTTAATTTTTTTTTTTAGTTAATACCAACTTAACTGCAATAGTGCACTAAAGCATTGCTGCTATAGCCTAGATCTTCTTCCCCTTTGTGCTGTTATTTTCACAAATTATTAATATATCTTTTTACACCATGTGTTCTCCAACGTAGACTTGTAATTATCATTTTGTACAGTTGTCTTTTAAATCAGATGTAAAGAAAGGAATTGCAAATTTAAAAATTACATTTGGCTTTGTTGCCGGAAGGGGCCCGGATCCAGACCCAAAGAGAGGGTTCTTGGATCTTGCGAGAGAAAGAATTTGAGGTGAATCCAAAGAATAAAGTGAGAGCAAGTTTATTAGGAAAGTAAAGGAATAAATAATGGCTGCCCCACTGGCAGAGCAGCGGTGTGGGCTGCTCCATTAAGGACACTTACAGTTATTTCTTGATTATACACTAAACAAGGGGTGGCTTATTGATTAGTTTTCTGGGAAAGGGGTGGGCAATTCCCTGAACTGAGGGTTCCTCCCTTTTTTAGACCATATAGGGTAACTTCCTGACTTTGTCATGGCATTTGTAAACTGTCATGGTGCTGGTGGGAGTGTCTCTTAGCATGCTAATGCATTATAATTGGGATATAATGAGCAGTGAGGACCGTCAGACATCATTCTTGTTGCTGTCTTGTTTTTGGTGGGTTTTGGCTGGCTTCTGGCTGGCTTCTTTTCTGCAACCTGTTTTATCAGCAAGGTCGGTATGACCTGTATCTTTTGCCAACCTCCTATCCTGTGACTTAGAATGCCTAATTTACTGTGCATGCAGCTCAGCAGGTCTCAGTCTTATTTTACTTAGCCCCTATTTAAGATGGAGTCATTCTGGTTCAAACGCCTCTTACAGCTGGGCACAGTGGCTCAGAGCCTGTAATTCCAGCTCTTTGAGCAGCCAAGGTGGGAGGATTGCTTGAGCCCAGGAATTTAAGGCCAGCCTGGGCAATATTGTGAGACCCTATCTCTAAAAGAAAAAAATTAAAATACATTAATACTATTTTTTTACATTTACCTATGTAGATAACTTACTGGTGTTCTTTACTTTGTATATATTTAAGTTATTATATAGTATATCTTCAATTCACACTGAAAGATTTTTAGCATTTCTCAGAGGGCAGGTTTGCTAATAACCCTCTGTATTTGTTTATCTGGTAATGTCTTCATTTCGCCTTCATTTTTGAAGGAAAGTTTTGCTGGATATAAAATTCTTGTTTGATGGTTTTTTCGTTTATTTTTAAGCTCTTTGAATATGTCATCCCACTGCTTCTGGCGTCTGCGGTATCTTATGAAAACAGACATTAATCTTTGGAGGGGCATTTCCATATAATGAGGTTCTTTTCTCTTGCTGCATTCAAGATTCCTTATCTTTATCTTCTGACACTTTATTATGTGTAAGCACATATCTCTTTGAGTTTTTTTGACTAGAAGTTCTTTGAGTTTCTTAGATATGTATTTTACTATTTTTAATTCAAATTTTGGAAGATTTGGACCCTTATTTCTTCAAATATTTTTTTCCCTTTTTGTTTCTCCTCTTCTTCTGGGAATCTCATTATTTGTGTGTTGGTATACTTGATGGTGTCCTACAAGTCTCTTAGGCTCTATTTATTTCCTTCATTTAAAAAATTATATTTCTCAGAATGGATAATCTCAATTAACCTATCTTCAATTTTACTGATTTTTCTTATGCTTACCAAGTGTGCTGCCCAAGTGTGTTCTTGATCCTCTCTAGTGAAATGTTATTTAAGTTGTTGTGCTTTCCTACTCCAGAATTTCTCTTTAACTTTATAAGTTCTGTTTCTTTATTGGATTTTTTATTTGGTGAGACATTATTCTCATGGTTTCTATAGTTATTCAGACATGATTTTCTTTAAATTGTTGAATATATTTAAATGATTTAAAATAGATAATTTAAGGCATTTGTATAATAAGTTATCTGAACTCCTTGAGTGACAGTTTCCATTGATTACTTTCTTCTCTATGTATTTATTTATTTACTTATTTATTTTTTTGAGACGGAGTCTTGCTCTTTCGCCCAGGCTGGAGTGCAGTGGCACTATCTCGGCTCACTGCAAGCTCTGCCTCCCGGGTTCATGCCAGCCTCCCGGGTTCATGCCATTCTCCCGCCTCAGCCTGCCGAGTAGCTGCGACTACAGGCACCTGCCACCATGCCTGGCTAATTTTTTGTATTTTTATTAGAGACGGGGTTTTACCATGTTAACCAGGGTGGTCTCGATTTCCTGACCTTGTGATCCACCCGCCTCAGCCTCTCAAAGTGTTGGGATTACAGGTGTGAGCCACCACACCCAGCCTCTTCTCTATTTATTGATCATACCATTTTGTTTCTTTGCATGCCTGATAATTTATTGCTTCAAATTTAACATTTTTAGTATAAGTTGGCAACTCTGATAACCAGATTCTCTTCTTCAGGATTTCTTGTTGCTGCTTGTTGTAGTAGTTGTTTATTTGGTGACATTTTGTTTTAGTGACTTTCAGAACCAATTCTGTAAAGTTTTCATTTTTGTTATGTGTGGCCCCTGAGGTCTCTGTTTCATTAGCTTAGTGGTCAAGTAATGATAGGGCAGGAATTTTCTTCAAATCCTGAAACCAGAACATCTTCCGGTCTTACACAGAGTCTGTGTATGTGTTTGTGTGTTGGTGTGTGTGTGGTGTGTTTTCAGCACTTAGCCAGGCAGTTTAAAACTCTGATATTGCCTTCTTGCTTTCACAGAGCAATCAAGGTCAGCCATCGGTGACTGATTCAGCCCTTGCTGGGTCTTCCTTGAGCACACACACAGCTCTGGGCATGCATTTAGCTTTCAAGGTTTCCAGAAATAGGTTGCAGCTTACTAAAGCCCTTATTTTCCAACACGTCTTATTTTCTAGTCTTTCCTTCAAACCTTTTGGTTAGTCTGTTTTAAGTATCATCCATTACCTGAGACAGCAGTCACTAAAATATTTATTTGCCTGTAAATGTTTCCTATAAACACACTCGAGGTAGTAGCTTTAGCACTAGGTGGGTTCTGAATCAGGCAAGATAAAGGCAAGTCTTTTGATCTGGTCTTCCAGGGAGCCACCAGACAAGTCAAAACATAAAAGTTCAACACTCTGAAAATAAATGGCTTCTGCTCCATCTGTTACAAGTACCAGAAATTACGAATTTTTTAATAATGCTCTGAGCTGGAAGTGAGAGCTAGAATTAGGGTAAATTAAAAAGCTACAAGATCTTACCAAGATTTAACTGCTGTTTTTAAGTAAGTGTTCTGTGCATTATTTCAAACTTTTGGTATGCTTGTATAAAAAGTTGATTCTGATTTTTTTTGTCAGATTTTTCATTGATTTTTCTGAAGGTGTGAACTTTTAGAGTCCTTATTCCATCTTTTTGCTAATATCAGCTCATTTTATTTTTTGTTAGTGTTTTAAAGAATCTGTTGAGAATGCCAAATAGGTTTTCTCCCCTCTCCCCTCTTTAATGACAAAAAGTAGATTATTTTAATCTTCACGTTTCTTTCTGATTCATTTTTTCTGCATATTTTGTAGTAAACTTGTGTCTAATTTGTTATGCTTTGATTTCCTCTTGTCCATCAATAAATAACGTAAAGTATGTTCAAATTTAATGTCAATCAACAGGCAGCACCTGGACATTTTTCTCCTCACTGACTTCTCTTGTGTGTACTTCCTGGCCATTTGTGGAATGTTAGATCTCATTTTCTATTACACAACTGGGTTTCAGATTGCTATGCATGGCTCCTTAGGTAATATATCACTAATATTTAGAGAGAGATCATGTAGTTTGGAAAATCCACATCAACCCTAGCTACATGCAACTTAGATTTGCTTTGGAGAATATGTGCTTGAAATATCATAGCCCAGACTTACTGAATAAAATAAGTCACAATATAAGACACATGTGCCATATATTGAAATGGCTCTTACTTAAAACTCCTATGTCTTTTGTTTCCTAAACCTGAGCATAAATTCCCAAATTTTCAGTCAATTTGAGTCTTCAGGGTACAGTCTTAATCATCATGCAGGGAGATTTTATGAGTGGATTTGAAGAATAGGGGAAACAGAATTTATCGGGATAGAGTAAGACAAACCACATAGACTTTCTTCCTGCTGTATGAGTTTGATAGACAACCTGATGCTCATTATTCTCATGGGTTCCCAAGGGACTAGATTCATCCCCGGGTGCCCTAGGACACGTGACATGTTATAAAAATTCTTTCTAAATCTATCAGGGAGTGAGATTTTCAAATCTATTTATGAAACAGTAGAGCTGGAATATTGGGGTAGGGGAATATAAGGGGAAATTATCAGGAAGTGACAGTATCCATGATCTAGCATTGTTAAATCTGGTTATCATGCATTTTTTGGCTCTATAATTCTTGTACTACTGTTGATTTTCCTTTGATAAGGAGAGAATATTAATTGTAACATAAATACTGTCTAATAACAGGAAGAAAAACCCACGACTGTTTCAGAAGCATGAACCCTGTTAAATGGAAGGTCCTTTGTGTTGTGAATCGTAATTTATTTTCAAGCAAATACAGGGCCAGAGCTGTGTTTGAAGTAGTTTCTGGGGAAAGCCACTTTTGGGATCCATTCAGCAAGAGGGGGATGAAAAGAGAGGAAGGCCTGAGGACCCTAGTTATTGTGGTGTGGCATGGAGTGGTGGTATCAGTACAACAGCTAAGTGTTTGCTACTTAGACTTCATTAAAAGTTCGGCTAGAGAAATGATTCTTAATATAATCCCCAGTGATGAAAGAGCCAAAAAATATTTAAAAGAAGGATGTATAGTTCCCAGCTGGGAATTCTTTGTTTAGAATGCTGCACTATGGAACAGGTATTATGTGAGTAGGTGGGAAGACAGTTTATAAACTATTTGACAGAAAGAAGAGCTTGGAGCTAGAGGTGACAATTAAAACACACCTCCCCTCTTTCCCCTTGGGAGTTTTAGTGTACCTCACGCTATATGTGTTCATCCCACTGTATCTCAGGTCATGATACTTTCCATATATAGAATACTCCTCCCATTTTTCTTGATCAAAATTTGTTCACCTGTACTAGAACTCATCACTGTGTCCTCCTATGAATTATTTTCTGATGCCCCCTGTAGTGTGCTGATGCAGTGATACTGCATATACTAACACCCCCCTGAATTCAAACCTTTGGAAAGTTCTTTGTGAGTATAAGCTAGCCCATGTGACATGCCTTGGCCAATGGGACAGCAGCACACTTAATGCAAACAGCAACTTGGCAGTTACTTGTACCTTAGGGTTTGTTTTTATGCTGTTCCTGAAACATTGTCACTGATATGTGAATAAGACTGGGCTTGCCTTCTAGCACATGAAAGACCATGGAGAGAAAAGTCCCAGTAAATCTGGGTGTCCCAGAAAAGACAGTGATAAACCAGGCAACCCACTAGCTGACTGTCAAACATTTAGCAAGCCCAGCTAAAATCTGTTGAGCCCAGCCCAGATGAGCTGCCTAGATGAGTGCAACTTAAACTGACAGATGTACAAATGTGTGCTAAAATATGGTTATTGCTTTAAGCCATGACATTTGGGGGATGGTTTGTTACACAGCAAAAGCTAGCAAATACAGCTTCATTAGGAGCTAATTACTCCATCGTTTATATTTTGCTTAAAATCATTCCTTGAGGATTAGAATGAAGTCTTGTGTTAATGTTACAGCTTATTCAGCTTTTACTTCAGTTCCTTGCATTTTGATACCTAACATTTACTGAACACTTAACTATGTCTCAGGCACTTACTAATTGCTTTAAGTGTAATAATTAAGTGGATATGCAGAACAACTCAATAATGTCATACTATTATAACCATTGTCTAGATGACGCAACTGAGGCCTAGAAATAACTGCCAATGTAACAAATCCAGACCCTGGCAGGATATGCATTTGAACCAAGGCTATCCGGCTCCAAAGTATGTACTTTTAATCCCTGCAATATACTTCTTTGCTACACTAAATTGGAAATATTGGTGTTATATAAGTACTTAATTTATGGTTGACTATTTTCTAATATTCTTCCTCTTTCAGAAAGAATTAACTTTGCGGAAGGACTCTTACATTCTCCAGTGAAACCTTTACTCTGGGAGCAATTTGACTGAGTCATAGCTGAGTTCATTAAGCCTTAGTGCCTCAGGGATGCAGCTGAGGACTCAATGGCAGGTTTTCAGGGATGTAAACCATTGTGTGGACAATAAAATAGAGAACACTAAGGCTGTGGAAATTTATCTCCCTGTGAAGCTTGCCTTTTGGCTTTTTCCGAAGGAGAATATCCCCAGTTCACTTGTAGCACTGCTCAGTATCCAGGAGGGCTTGTTATGTAATCCCATCCTGTTTGAAGCTTCTTGAGCTTCAGTAATCTCAGTTCCCTGTGAAGCACCAGACACAGGAGGACTATTTTATATCAGCTTTAAAAATACGGGAAAAATATTGGATGCATATTCCTTGAACTTAGAAACTATGAGTCTAAGGTCATAGCTGGGGAGAGATTGATCTGATTATAATAAGATCTGTGACTTAGTAGTGGAGGAGTTGGTTCTAACCTGGCAAGGCACAACCCACCCACATGATCTTCTGTAAATCTTCTAGGGTAGCGTCAACCAGCAACCTTTGCCAGTGTATGATAGCTAAGGGTTTGCTTTTTAGACTTTATTAAAAGTCCAGCTAGAGAAATAATTCTGAAAATAATTTGCAATACATTGTTCATTTACTTCTGGGATCTAAGTTTTATTGTGGGCTTAGGTCAGTCCACTAGGAGACAACATTTTTGCCAATTTGCCAGATTGCCTTTATGTGATTGTGTTTTACTTATCCTCAGAGTTTAAGATGTCAGACCTGGGATCCAGCCCCAACTCTGTCAATTATGGGCTGTGGGATGTTGGGAGAGCGGCTTAATCAATTTAAGCTTCCATTTCTGAATTTGGAAAATGTGATAGTAAATACTTCATAGAGCTTTTGTAAGATTTTAATGGTCTAGCTCATGCAAAAAAAAAAAAAAAAAAAAAAGGCCCTGTAGCTTAAAAATAGTTTGTGGCTTAAAATTTGTAGCTTTTAAAAAAAGCCATATGAAATTCATTTTGGTGTATTTGCTGTAAAATCTGTTGTAAAAATCTGTTGTTGAGGTAATTGCCAATTTTCAATGTATCCTATAAAGAATTCCATTTAGGTTTTACAACCAAGTTAAGAAGAACTCTGCTTCTCTGAGAAAATGGCATTTTCTCCCTCCAGTAATAAGAGTGTGCTAATTTCCCATGTTTCCCTTTTTGTTCTGGAGGCAGAGAAACTCAGGATAATATTTGTACTTCATGTATATCAGCTTGCCTGTTTGGATTATCCACTTTCTTCTCTTCTTTTTTGTGGTTGTGATTTTAAAATTTCTATTTGACTACCATCATTGTATAAATGTCTTATTTTAAGCCATCTTGAATGTTTTTGGACAGAGGAGCTGAACTAAGTAAAAAATGTCACTTAGACTCTCAAGGTCTCTGTTTCCTTCGCTGACAAATGCCTGCCTATCTCCAAGGCTCACAAAGATCAGGTAATGCAAATGAGAGAATTTTGGGAAACCAGACACGCTGTACAAAAGTCAGCTGAGTCCAGCCATAGCGACAAGCAGCCGTCAACATGACGTGAGTGCCTCTCAAATGTTCTCCAGCCTAGCCCTCATTTCTGAGCTCAGAACTCTTTCCATAATATACTTTGAATTTGCACTTGGAGTGACACATACCAACGCTTTGACTCAATATCTCTGAATGAAAGGGAAGATCATGTGGATTTGGAATTTGGATAATAGGGATCATTTGTATTCCACTGAATCCAGCAGTGAGAGCATCAGGAAGCTTAAGGAAGGCAACAGTGTTACTGGAAGGGAGTCTGGATCCGGACCCCAAGAGAGGGTTCTTGGATCTGGAGCAAGAAAGAATTCAGGGCGAATCCACAGAGTAAAAGTGAAAGCAAGTTTATGAAGCAAGTAAAGGGGGCCAGGCACCGTGGCTCACGCCTGTAATCCCAGCATTTTGGGAGGCGAGGCGGGCGGATCACGAGGTCAGGAGATCGAGACCATCCTGGCTAACACGGTGAAATCCTGTCTCTGCTAAAAATACAAAAAATTAGCTGGGCGTGGTGGGGGGCGCCGGTAGACCCAGCTACCCGGGAAGCTGAGGCAGGAGAATGGCATGAACCTGGGAGGCGGAGCTTGCAGTGAGCCTAGATCACACCACTGCACTCCAGCCTGGGTGACAGAGCGAGACTGTCTCAAAAAAAAACAAACAAAAAAACCCAAAAAAACAACAACACAAAGGAATAAAAGAATTGCCACTCCATAAGCAGAGCAGCCCCAAGGGCTGCTGGTTGACCATTTTTATGGTTATTTCTTGGTTATATGCTAAACAAGGGGTAGATTATTCATGCTTCCTTGTTTCATACCATACAGGGTAACTTGTTGACATTGCCTTGGCACTTGTAAACTGTCATGGTGCTGGTGGAAGTGTAGCAGTAAGGATGACCAGAGGTCATTCTCATCACCATCTTGGTTTTGGTGAGCTTTGGCTGGTTTCTTTACTGCAACCTGTTTTATCAGCAAGGTCTTTGTGACCTGTCTCTTGTGCCGACCTCCTATCTCATTCTGTGACTTAGAATGCCTTAACTGTCTGGGAATGTAGCCCAGTAGGTCTCAGCCTCATTTACCCAGCCCCTATTCAGGATGGAGTTGCTCTGGTTTGAACACTTCCGACAACAGGAGAAAAGCTCCTTCTCACATCTGCTTTCTCAGGTAAGGCCCAGTGCTCAACATGGTGCAGTCTCAGGGCAGGGCAGGTCCACAGGGGGTGTTTTCCTATGGCCCTGCTCCTCACAAACTACTTCCCTATCAGAGGCACTGTGGAATAGAGAGCAGGGCTTTCCATTAGAAAAAGGAAAATCCTGGCTCAGAAGCTTACTAACAGTGCACTCATGAACAACCACAGCCTCTGAGTTTTGTTTTTGTTTTTTTATTCTCTTTAAAATACATATCACTTGCCATTTTTGAAATAATACATAATCACTAAGTGGGAGCAAAAATATATAAAGAATAAACTCACTAGGATTCACAATTTTATCATGCAGAAATAATTGCAATTATCCTGTTTCCTTATCATTGTACATATTTGTCATTTTCCCATGTATATAATTTTCTTTGCTCTTTAAAGATAAGTAGATGTGTAATATTATATTGATCCTCAGTATTTTCATTTGTTAATTGGATATGCTAATACCTACCTCAGAATCTGTCTGAGGATTCAATGAAACATGGGGATAGAAACTGCCTGAAGCATAGTAGGTGCTGCGTAAGTGTTAATTAATTTTGAATTACATCAGTGTTTGGCCTTGAAATTAAATCTTTGGGCCTTGCCCCCTTAATAATTGCTCTGTTTCTACAAAAGAATTGGTCCAGGAGAGCAAAAACAAAAACGTACCCTGAGACACATCTTGTGCTAAAGACAACTAGAATCTGATTCCTGGTTAAAGAAATGTGAGAGGAAAATTAAGGGTGGAAACTGCCCTAGGTAATCAGATTTTGTTAAGATTTAAACTCTGCTGTTTTGCCAACCCAAGTAATAAAGTAAACTCTTCAAATAAAGTGGCCCCATGATAAAACTAGGCATGGTTCTTTACTCTGCAAAATGAACTACTGATAGGAAATAAGGAGAGGCCAGTGTTTGGCATGAGATATTACTGTGTTCCTTTCCTGGGAAATGCTACAGATATTTACCTAGGAAAATGCTGGATGAGAGCAGGTCTCGATGTTCAATTCACCACCTTCCCCAGGGAACTGGTTTTCACAGTCTCTGTGCAATGACAGTGGAGATCAGAACATTGCCTCCAGATTTAGTCTCGATGTGGCAATGCCTCGAAGTGATTTTGCCAGTGACAGCCAAAATATGCTGCAAATGAACATGGAGAAAATATAAAACAGCAAACAAAATAAAACAACTGAAAAAGCCTTCTCCCTGAGGTTGGAGTTACCACAATTGACTGCAGTAGAAGAGTGGGTAGGTATCGGCAAAGAATCTCAGTAGAATTCAATAGGGAACATGTCTAGGGTCTGTGCAAGAAGCCAAGGGCAGAGCAAAATTCATTCACTTAAGGATAAGGAAAAGGACAGAGAATCTGTGGGTTGATGAAACGGTGTGATGTGGTCAGAACAGCAGTCAGAGAGCAGGGCCTATCTTCCTCAAACTCATTTACTCATTCAAATCCTCTCTGTTCCCACTCATCTACTTGTAAGATAACACTTAACCCTTACAAGTAACTATTGCTTTTAGAAAGGAATGAGAAAACAATTTGATTAGTCCCATTCATTCACTCCCTCATTTATTCGTCATTCACTCATTCACAAATTTTTACTGAGGTTCAATGGCTGTTATAGTCCCTTTGGATATTCCAAGATGAATCAAAGATGTGCCTAGGAGTTCACATCCAGTGAATGAGTTAATGATTTAAATATCAATAATCATCATAGGAAGAAAACTATTAATGAGTCTACTGAGGAGGAAGAGACAGGGTGCCTGAGTTCAGTGAGAATAGCTGGTTCATAGGACTTCGGGGCTTCAGGAAGTCCTCTCTCAGCATTGTAGGAGGTAGGGGTCTCTCTTCCCTAACCATCCACAGGATACTCCAGGATGCATCTTCCCTAGAAGAGGACTCCTCAATCCCAAACCTTCCTGGGCCATCAGGTTTTCCTAACCTGCCCATTCCCTGTTCCTTCTATATAAAGTCCAAGTGAAAAGGTGGTGTCCAAGGGGCTAGAAGACCCCGCATTGGTAGGAAATGCCCTACCTGTTCTTAGGGTTTATTTATGTCTTTTATTCTATGAATTGATGGTGAGCCTGGTGGAACAAATGCAACGGCAGATAGAACTATAGGGCATAGGGAAGTAAAGATTTTCTCTATTTCTCTCCTCTTTCTCCTCTTCTTCTCTGCTACATGGCCTCTAAATGACCTGCAGGTGGTAACTAGATAGGATCTGCACATCTTAGAAGCCCAGATGAGAGCTGCCTCAGCAGAGCCCGTGAATGGAATAAACCAAGCAGGAGGTTTCTGTGGCTGGGTCAGGGTGACTGGCAACCCGACTCTAGGGTTGTTTATAGGGAATGATGACTCAGAGGAGAACGCTGCCTCCTGACTCTGGAGTTGAGATCAGAAAGGCAGCAGGAGACCAGGGCAGCCTCCCAGAGCCATCCATCCTCTGCAGGATGATGGGAGATTGCAGCTGACTCACTGTCTCCAGTAGGAGGTCAGGGATGAGGAAGGCAAAAAGCAAAACAGAACAAACCCACACAACCTACCAAACACTGCTATTTACAAGCATTTGGATTTGGAGATCCTCGGCTGACCACTGGACACAATATATAAGCCTTAAAAAGTACTAATTGTCAGCCCCCACCCCAGACAGTTTACATCAGAATTTTTGGAGGGCAGATTAGGACATCGGTGACTTCTGAAAACTCGCCAAGGAATTCTAATGAGGGGAAAAGACTAAGAAAACCTGAGCTATTGCAAAGTAATTCAAGCCTAGAATAACTAGTGGGTGACAACCTGGAAACTTCTAAAGTTGGAGCTGTTCATTCACAAAGCACAACATCTCACACCTGTGTGATGCTTCACCTTTTACAAAACGTCTCACATGAATAGTGAATTTGATCCTCACAACACCCAAAAGGGAAACAGAAGGATAATTAGCCTTGTCTTATCTTTGAAGACATGATTACCCAGAGTCAGCAGGTGATTTCCATGATCCCAAGTAACTGATGACACTAGCAATGAAACCTAGATTTCCTGGCTTCTAAACCAGTGCTCCTCCTGGTTTACCACCCAGAACTCCAAGTGCCATGACCTTTCATGAATGACTTCTGCTCCAGTCTCTTCTTACCCCACCCCTGCTCCATGAAAAATTGGAATATTTTGGGGGAAAGGGAATACAGATGTATGTAGTTTAATATGGACAAGCCTCAGATATCTTCTGGAGGTAATCAAGCATTTGAAACAATGCCACTGCTGAAGTTTATAGAACAGTGATGTTCTATAAACATCATGTTAGAACCAACCACCTTGGGAGCCCCAACCACCTCTCAATGCTCAAGTTGTATCCAAAACCAATTACATTGAAATCCCTAGAGATAGCCCAGGCTTTGCTATTTTCAAAGCTTTCCTGACATCTCAGGAAAAGTGAAGCAATGTAATTGAGCCTTGTGAGACTTTGAGACTTAAGGAGAGAGATGAACTGTTAACATTTGTAGGATATTTTGCTCTAGGATGTTGTTGAGATGCTGTTCTAGTATTGTGTGTGTTTATACACTTGCTTCCACATGTGGCTTCTTTATTTCCATACCATTTTAGTTATTCATAAACTGGCAGTGTTCTCTGCTTCTATATTGGATTGGCACTGCATCTGTTATATCTCCCACAATGAGGCTTCTATCTGTTAGGATGCTTCCATTTGCAAGTAACAGATAACTCAGCTCTTAATGTCTTAGGGCATTTGTTATGCTACATGGTGAGAGAGCCAGGGTAGAGCAGCTTCATGGCTGGTCAATTTAGTAGCTCAATGACAGGTTTTTTTTTCACCTTACAATTTTTTGTCTTTGGTGTGTTCACTTTGTTCTTAGGCTTCAGCCATCATGGTCAAAATATAGTCGCCACTGTTGCAGGCATTACAACCATATCTGATCAAATAACAATATTATCTTTGCTCACTTTTTAAGGGCAAGTAACTTTTTCTCAGAACTCTCCTGGAAGACTTTTCAAATATCTCAATGGTTTGAGTTGGGTCATATACATATCCTGAAAACTAACATTGGCAAGGGAACTGGGACTTGCCTGATTGGTTTAAACTTATCCAAAATAATGCCTGAGCTGGGATAGAATAACTTTTCCCAAGGAGTGGTTTTCTGAATAAAACTAGGGTTCTGTTGGCCAGGAAGGTGAAGTGGGCAGCTATTTGTTTACAAGACAATCACATCTGATGAAATAGAAGAAGTTGGATTTGGATTTAGAAGTAAAATATCAGCACTTGTATTCAGTACTTTTGTGACTTTGGATAAGCCACAGTCTCTCTGAGTCTCAGTTTTCTCAGCTGCAAAATGGAAACTACAGTACCCGTAAGACAGGATGGCTGTGAGCATAGGATGTGCTAATGTGCCTAGAAACCACTAGCCAATGCCTGAAACACATTAGGCACATGAAATATATTGATCCCTGAAATGGTTTGGCTGTGTCCCCACCCAAATCTCAAACTGTAGCTCCCATAATTCCCATGTACTGGGGGGACCCGGTGGCACTTAATTGAATCATGGGGGTGGGTCTTTCTCCTGCTGTTCTTGTGATAGCGAATAAGTCTTATGAGACCTGATGGTGTTATAAAGAGGAGTTCCCCTGCACACGCTCTCTCTCTCGCCTGCTGCCATGTAAGAAGTCCCTTTGCTCTTCCTTCATCTTCCACCATGATTGTGAGGCCTCCTTAGCCATGTGGAACTATGAATCACTTAAACCACTTTAATTTATAAACTACCCAGTCTCAGGTATGTCTTTATTAGCAGTGTGAGAACAGACTAATACAATGCCCATTTTCTCTTTTTTTTTTTCCTCTACTTCCTTCCTGCTTCTTTTCCCTTCAGTGCAAATTCTAAGTTAAATACCAAATTAAATAGTATGTTAATAAATACCAAGTCTATAAGTAGTAGGAAATACTGGTTGGAAGAGGAATAGAGGGAAATGGGACAGAAAGTAGAAAAGAAAATTAGAAAGATATACTAAAAAAATAGCTTTGACTCCTCTGACAAAAATCTCTTCTCAAAACCTTTTCTCCTTTTCCTTGGAAGGTTTCACCAATCAGATAGTTTTATTTTTAACTTTTTCAAGGTTAGGTGGGACTTTGCCCTTTATTTTCCTTTCAGGGTTTGTTATATTTTACATGCTAGCTTAAGAAAATGGGCCATTATATTTGAGACAGGTTTTTAGAAATAAATGCTTCAAAGACAAGTATTTTCTAAGACATGGTAAGTGTAGAATGAAACTGAACAGTCACCTATATCCTACCCAACCTCTGCAAAGGAGATGATAGCCTGTTTTCTTACATAAATGCAGACATAAATACTCAAGTGATTTATCTTGTTTTCTGTTGCTTACAATTATCATTTCTGGAATTCTGTGAAGTGTATTTCCAAGACACTGGAGTATTACCACTTCTCGTCCCCCTGTTCTTCTTACAGAAGGTGAATATTACAGAGATACATTCACTGAGATACATGATATAGATATCTCATGTCCTACCTCTGTTGATCTCATTGGACTATTTCCTTCAGATATTTAGTAAACATAAGTCCCTAAACTCCAATAGATCTCTAAGGGCATGGGATTGGTCTGTAATGCAAGATTGGAGGAGAAATATTTGTTTTTAAACATTTCATCTTCCTCATTATAAGCCTTTCCTATTTCTTCTTTCTTCTCATTCTATTTTCCTTTTCTTGCTAATCTGCAGAACCTGACTTGGGAAAATGATGTCATATCAACCACTGACAATTAAGTAGAGATGTAAGTTCATGCTATGTTAGTTCCCATAGAAATTCCCCTGTTAACATTTACGTTGTCATTTTGTGTCTAGTGGAATCCCACACAACATCTTTTGAGAGGACGAGATTGAAAGCCCACAACACATGGACACTGTTTTAAACCTCAATCCATTCCTAGTATCTGTTACTGTGATATTGTCCTCAAGAGAAAGTTGTTTTAGGATGAAAGCCTGGAATTGAAAAGCTGGAGCCATGGATAGTGGTGGAAGGGCAGCATGCTGGAGGGAATTCTTGGTCAAGGGTGAGGCAAAGTGTAATCAATGCATTACTTCCAAATCCCAAATTGAAGCCAGCTGGAAAAAAAAAAATCTGGGTGATGGGTGCCACATCACATACAGTCAAACATAGCCAGGGGTAGATGAGGCAGAAGTAGATACAACTATGCAGATCACAGTCTAGAGACAAAGAGAGGCTAATTCTATTTTACGACATAGGAATCTCTTTGGGGGCCATCTCTTGTCCACCTTTTAGTAGCTGTGCTCAGCAAATATAGCCTGACATGTGGGTTCTTACCTCAGTAATTCTTATTTACCACTCAGTGGAAGTTTTCAACATTGTTCTTTTTAAAGCAGGCTAGTACTCTGTCTAAATAATGAGGATCTGTTGTGCCCTGAGCCTTAAAACTAGAGGTACTACCAAGGAAAATAGCAGGTATGGACTAGATGCTAATATTTATTGAATGCAGGTCACGCCATGCATATGACTACAGACTACTTGTAGGATCCAACTGAATGTTCCATCCTGTGATTATTATCTCTGTTTTATAAATGAGGCAACTGAGTTTCAAAATTTCAAAATCCCTGCCCAAGGTACATGATGAGTAGGCCTCATCTCTGCCACAGCAAAGCCGGCATTCTTTACTGCTCCCATATATCCCCAGCCTTTTTGATCACTAGAATCACAAAGTGTTTGTGAAAAATACAGATGCCTCATAGCCTTTCCAACTTACTAAATCAAAATCTCCAAGGGACAAGCCTGAAACTCTGTATTTTAAATAGATACTTCAGTATTTGGAGGACAAGGTGAGTTTGGGAAACTTCCTCTAAGCCCTGCTGTGGCTTAAAGAGTTTGCTTCTCAGGTGGGGTGCATCCTGGAACCCTAGCCAATAAGGGACTTCTCTGTTTTGCTGGTTGTACTGAGAGAAAATCTGTCACCAGGACTACCTGGACAGAGCATTCAGAAATGGACGCAAGAAACAGGGACAGAGGTAACAAATGTTGGCCTCCTTCATCCCTTTGCCTAATCTCTGCTCTATGTCCATTCCCACTCCCATTGCCTGCTTCCGCTGATCCTCTGGAATCTTCGGCACTGGAGCTTGACACACTCTTCCTTGGCCTCTCTCTCCCTCAATTTCCCTGTCTGGTCTCCTGAGTCCTCTGGTTACTGTGTCATGCCAAGAGGCATCAGAAGCAAGTCATCCCTGGTTCTTTTCCGCAGCAAAGAGATATGTTTTCCCTCTCATTTTCTGGTGAGAGATGAGAATTAGTGGAATGCTGTGACTTCCTCCAACTTGTTTTTTTCTCTCTCAGATTCTTCATCATAAAAATAAGGTGGAAGGTGGGAGAGAATTTGGAAAATGTGGTAAATTAGATGAGCTCCTATGGAGTCTTCTTAGTGCAACTTTCTGTAAATCTACAAATGTTAATTAGCAAGAACAGGTGCCATCTCTCATGAGAAGAGAATGCAATTACTATCTTAAACCTTAAAAAAATGAGAGCTTGGGCCTGGCACACTGGCTCACACCTGTAATGCCAGCACTTTGGGAGGCCGAGAAGGGTGAATCATGAGGTCAGGAGTTTGAGACCAGCCTGGCCAATATGGTAAAACCCCATCTCTACTAAAAATACAAAAATTAGCTGGGCATGGTGGCACATGCCTATAGTCCCAGCTACTCAGGAGGCTGAGGCAGAAGAATCACTTGAACCCAGGAGGTGGAAGTTGCAGTGAGCCAAGATTGCGTTACTGCACTCCAGCCTGGGCAACAGAGCGAGACTCCATCTCAAAAAAAGAAAAAAAAAAAAGAAATGAGTTTGTTTTAAACATCTTGGTGTCAGTGAAAGTACCTCTAAACAAAAATTCACTTGGCATTAGGTACACAATGGTATCTTCAAAAACTTATAGGTTGCTGATGGCTGATGATGTCATGCACTGCAGCACTCAGGGAAAAGAGGTGATATGAAAGCAAGAATGTTAACAACATTTGTGGTTTCCTTGGTTCTTATGGCTATAGCTAATGGGCTTGGCCTATACATTAATGGGACAGGGACTCCCATGGGGTGGTCTGAAGGAGACTGCAGCTTCCTTCCACTCCTTCCTTCTCAGTCTTCTACTTTTAGCTTGCCATAACGTCTGAAGTCTCACTATTCAATATTCATGCCTTTGAGGGAATTTAGGAATCCCATGTTAAATTGCAAGTACAGCAGCAGATGAATATTCTTTCACAATTTTTAGTCATATCAGGAGTTGGTTAAATCATTGGAATGAATTAGACTCACTGAGAATACTAGCGGAAGTGGAAAGGATGCTTCCAGAATTGAGAGAATGCTGTGTTGCTAAACCAGGAATGTAGAAAGATACAGTGACAGGGATGTGGACATAACATCTTAACACTGCCTGTGAAAATATTAATCATTTACCAAATATCTCAGTTTCTCTCTCAGGGGAATCTCTGGGAATTAGAGCAATAATACCTATTAAGATCTGAAAATTGAGCAAGATCATAGAAGCGATTTTGATTCTCATTCATTCTTCTCCTTTTGAATATTTTTTGTGTGTTGCAGACTTTTCTCAGGCTAATAATAATCCGGTCACCTTGCCTTTCATTAGTAGATTAATATAAAAGAAATTTTTAAAAATATCTTCAATGACTACATCAATACTAAAATTTATATTATGTCACTAGAATATATTACTTTGGTTATGGCCCAGATCCTAAATGTTAATGGAGATAGCAAGAAACATTTTGGCAGGATTTTAAGACATTAGCATAAATTAATTTCTTCTTGCAACTTGCTTACTTTTGGTCCTGAGGAAAGTGGGTAAGTGACTCCCTCTAGAGTGATTTCTCTGCTATTATATTATACCACATTTGCAAAGGAGATACTTTGGAATGGTGAAAAGAGAGAAAAGGTTAAAAAAAGGAAATTTAAAATAAATTTCTTTGAGTTTTAAGCCACAGTCTCTTCCTTTGACTAGGTATTTACAATAATATTTTATTACAAGAAATCACTGGTGTTTGTTTTGTTTTGTTTTCCCTTCTCTTCATTGCTATTTGGTTACCCTCAAATACAGTTCCTGTTGGGAAAGACAAGATAGGTGCACAATTATTTCTCTTTAGTTACTAATTTTCAGAGTAAAGAGTCAGTGCAAAAGCTGTCTCCAAAAGGACAATTTAGTTTTAGCTTAGTTTTGCTCTGATTTTTTGGATTTTATTAAGACACACTGAGTTTTTATTGTCTTGAAACACCAAAAAATATATATGTTTTAGAAATAATATAAACCAAAAAGAAAACAGATATAGAGTGAGACTGCCTGGATTCACATCTCAGACCTGTCCTTGGTTAAATCTGTGATTAGGCCACAATGCTTCATCTTTTTATGATTCATTTTCCTCATCTGCAAAGTTGAGATGATAATGGTATTTTAGCTGGAACTACTGCCCTTAGACCTGGGCGAGACCTGCCTTTTTTCTCACACTTTAGAAGTTCCCATATTACAATTAACGCAAATAACCAAAGCACTCAAGAGACCCACCGTAGAAATTAAGAGAGAGCCAGAGAAATTGAGGAAGAGACAGGAAGGGTATGCCAAGCATACCGTTGGCTTGTTTGTCACTCAGAATCCAGTGTCAGAACTGGCATAGTGCAACCTGTGCCTCTAAATATCTATCCGTTCTCATGACTAACGCCATTCAGGCCCCAGGATACTGCTGCTCCACGTTTGCCATATGTCCTCAGTACAAAAGTTGCTGTGTCCTAATGCTGTTAAGGCTCAAAGGGTCATGGTGCTGCTATCAGAGTTGGACACTTTGAGAATGCAGGGAGGAACTGGGAGGTAGAAGGACTTAGGTGAGAGAGAAAACAAATCAACTTGTCAAACCTTTTCAGATCACATGAATGGAATAGAAGGTTGAATAATAACATTTCATTTCCCAGTCGTGCTGATCATTCATTTTCTTCCTCCTCTTGGGTCAGTTTTCACAATTCTAGAGGTGTAAGTTAGTGCAGCATTCAATAGTTATACATATTACTTAGAGGCTAAGTGATATGTTGCAATATTAAACAATTCATATTGCTCTGAATTTTGTATATGTGTAGGAGCAGATATGAAATGTTTGAAGCATGATAATTTTTCTTTAAAATGGCAACTAGATGTACACTGAATTCCATTTTTGCAAACGATTTTGAAATACGTATAAGATTTAACTAAAATTAAACTATAAGAATATTTTATGTAAAAATGTTATTTAATTCTTAGACCATTTAGGATGATTAACTATCAGAATCATAATAGAAACAGAAACTTTGAAAGTACAGCTCAACAAAACCCAAAAACATAAATATAAATATAGAAATAGAATATTTTCAAAGAAGCGACATGCTTAAATATTAGGGCACATGTACCCTAGAACTTAAAGTATAATAAAAAAAGTATATATTTAAAAAAGTGAAAACAGTGAAAGAAAGGAGATCTTGCAACAATGGTTGAATTCAGACTTTGATAATATCTGGCTTTCAGTGATAAAAAAAAAACATGGTTGCATTACATGTTTTAAAAGACAAATGATAGTGCCAAAGAGTTAGATAATTACTAACAAATTAGGCACAAAAATGAACTGTGCTGAGTCCACTGAATTTATCAGTGACTAGTTTGCTGGCAACCTGGTCATGAGCAGTTTCCAGTGCATTGTGGTGGGAGAGGCCAGTGTGCGATGGGTGGAAGAATGAATGGAATCTGAGGACATGGAATTGGGTCCTTTTAAAAAAAGTATGGCTGGGAAGGAGAAGAGAAAACTAATTGTTGATGGGAAAGAAACAAGAGAGAGGGAAATTTGAAGATGGAATTGGAAGAGAGAGAGAGAGGGGGAGGAGGGAATGAGAGAGAGAGAAAGACAGAGAGAGGAGGTATGGGGTAGAGCAGCTATAAAAAGGTGGAAGGGAAGTTGTGTGAATCTTTATATTTCTTGGGAGAATGCAAGGCTATGGAAAGGGAGCCAGCCTAATAATGAATGCAGAAGTTTACATCCTAGGAGGCTTGTGTAGTGTAGAACAATCCATGGGTGTGGGTGGGGGTGTGTGAATAGGAACAATCACAGTTGCATTATCATCATGATTAGTAGGTGGAGACAAGGTGGAGAAAGTCTGAACAGGTAAATTGAGACCGGAGAAGGTTTAAGAAAAAACTAGGTTTTCAAGAAATCAAGTCCTAAATGCAGATATTACCTGATGTCAAAGACATTTTCATAGAGTGGATACAATCACTATAAAACTTGAGGTTGGTCACTGAAATTCATAGGTGGGGGGACAAGTGCTCAAATCAGATGACGCTGAACCCCATACAGAATAGTTAGGATGCCTGTTTCCCCACTAAAGCTCTGATTTTTCTCTCTCTCTCTCTCTCATTCTCTCTCTCCCTCTCCCTCTCCCTCTGTGTGTGTGTCTCTCTCTCCATATATATATATATATATGTATGTGTATATATATATACACACACACACATAAACATAGAAATATATATATATACATATACACACATAGAAAACCAATTGCACAAGCACTTTCTTATTTCCAATGTAGCTAATGCATGTGTTAAGCAATACTTTTTACATTTTATTGATTTTTTTAAGAAGCCTGCCAATGGTTGAATAAAAAATGGCCAGATAGTGATTTCTTTTTAAGATTTGCTGCAAAATCTTTGAAATGCAGCGGTGGGGAATGATAATGGGGACTGAAAAAGAAGGAATAATTGTCATCCTATAGTCTTATATTCATATGTGACTTGGCTTTCTACCAACAAAAAGGTTAGAAGAATGGCCAGCGAAACATAGATGTACAAGTCCAATACTATAGATTTAAGGAAAATCAGAGGATAGAAGAAACATCCCAGCAGTTTCTTCTTGAATATTAGTGTATCTGGCAGGCTGGGATAAGGTAGGTGTTTATTTTAAATTTTAAGATATTTTCTGTTCCCTTCTTTACTCATAGGGTTGATTTAGTGATCACTCTCTTGTAGCCTTGAGCATGCCAGTTACCATTTTCAAGCTTCTTGTTCTCAATCTGCAAAACAGGTACAAATATATGCCTCCCAGGCATGCTGGGATGGCACATCTCATATTACACATAACACGTGAATACATATTATAATCCTTTTTTTTAATGCTTTATCTTTTTTTTCCAACTTGAAAGCAGGGATAATGCAATTTGCCTCTGTGTATTCCTCATGTTGCATAGAGGTGTAAATACTTTTGCAAGCATACAATACATATGTTCATTAAGTATTTTGAAGCATCCCTGTTTGAAAAAGAAGGACTACAGTTAATTCTCTTTTACACATTTTTTAAAAAATGGAGTCTAACCATATTCATATTTATATCTTGAATCAAAAATTAGTCTGATGTGCAATGTGGAAATGAGTCATAATACTTAATAACACTTTAAGAATTCTCAGATATATGTGTACTCTCTTCTGAGAGGTGAAATGAATTGCTTAAATGTGAAAATTCAGTTCTGGTGGGGCTAAAACCAGAACCTACTGCTAGGGATTCCTTGAAAATCATCCTGACTAAATCAAGATACAGGATTGAAGGAAGGGCACTGGAAGTGATATTGAAATGAATACAAAAATCTTAAGGATCTTGGGAGAAAATGCAAGAGATGGCAATCTAGAAGAAGCAATATTTATATATAAAGATCCTTATATAAAACTTGCAGTTTTCTCTTCATTCCAGCATCCACAAATAAATACCCTAAGTGAGAATAGCACAGAATCTGCACATTTTTCAAAATGTGAAGACTGTATTCTGTTTTCATAATTTTAGAAGAAAATTTTTGTGTGATTTACATGTATCCTTAAGAAATATCCCTTGAATTTGTGGGGAATATGTGTGCATTTATTTAATGAACTGAGGCATCATTCTACAGAGGAGGGAGAGACATTGCTGAAAGAAAATAATCATCCACCAATAAGAATTAATTTTAATTTCTCATCTCCTTTTTGATTAGTTCTTCTTTTATTCACATTTGTTTGTTGAGGAAAACATTTTAATCGTAGTATTAATTGACTCAGAAAAATTATGTAAAAAGACTTATAAATTTAGTTGTGAACTGTACATGGAAGCTTATTTCAAAGTACATGTTTGAATTCAAATGCTAATGTTTAGAAATCTATTTAATAACTGGTAATTTGACTGAATCGAACCATGTCATTATTATTTCTTGAGTGCCATTCAAAATAACCTTTTTTATTTTTACACATTTACTAGAGAAAAATAGGAAACTTACATAAACATTCTTTCAGCTTGAGATAATCACGAGATAGTCACTAGTAACATTTTTATATCTAGCCTTCCAAATAGATATGTAGTCAGATATATGCATTTCCTCTAAAATATAAGTTCCATGAGGCCATAAATGGGCAATTGAATGGATGAATGCATATTTAACAGACTTAAATTAAAATCTACTCACAATTTTAAACATACTGTTTTCTTATAAAATGTTTTTTATTAAGTATATGTCTATCACATACTTTTTAATGACTACATACAGCCTTTCAAAAAACTTATCAGTCCGCAAAGCTGAATATTTAGATTATGTTTAATTCTATTGCAATTTAAAACAGTACTGTAATTGATATTTTCTAAGTGACATCTTTGGCTATATTTACAATTATTGTATCAAAATTATTTTCTAGATGTGGGATACTGTATAAATGAGAAGCTTTTTAAAGATTTTTGATACACACTTTTGTGTAATGGTGAAAAAGTTTGTAACAACTGAAATTATCACAGGCTGTGAATGGCAGGGCTTATTTTCTGACTCTTGCCAATGAATTATAATTTTAATATAATCTATTTGATATTTTTAAAAATGAGATTTAATATTAGCCTGTAGTATGTGTAAACATTTTATTAATATATTTTAGGGTTACTAGTGTTTTCTTTTGAAGGTGTCAAAACTTTATTTTTCTCGTATTAATTCACTAGCATTTTTTATATGTCAGAGATTGGTCATTTAGATTTTACTCTATCTCCCAATGGTTTAATATTTTAATTTTATTTTACATTTAAAATTTTGTATACCTACTTGTAACAATTTTATGTATTTAATATTTTAATATTTACATACATATATCTGTAACTCTTTGCAAATCATTGCCCTTTTAAGAAACTGCCTTTGGAAGAAATATTTTGGAAGAAATGATGTTATATGAATGATATTATATTAACACTTCTATTTTCCTCTAAAATTTTGTTTATAGATGATATTATTTTATATATTTAACAAACTATGTTTTACTTTAAGGCTTCATTTTTTTTACCTTTACATCTTGAACTTGCTGGAATTTACATTGTTGTTATAAATGAGGCCTTTTTTTTTTCATTGTATATTCTATGTAGTTATTGCTGGCATGTAAGGAAGTGATGGATTTGATCTTTATTGTTTTTTCACCTGCAACTTGACTGAATGTTCTCATTGGTCAACTCTCTCATTGGTTCCCACGTTCTTGCTTGGCCCAAAGCCAGTGTTTAAAGAAAGGTGCGAAGGGAAGTGCAGCCCATTGCTCTGGGCATCAGTACTGATGTGTTTTCCAGAGACAGTCATTGTATTTGATTTAATCTGCACTGATTGCCCATGGTCCAACCTTAATAGTTCGTGGGGTCCACTCAGGCTCTGTGTATGCCTCACAAGAGGGACTCTTCCTTTCATGCAGGGATCTGGGTGATGATCAGGTGACCCTTCACCTTGGTCTTGCCAGCACTGTTTCTTGCAGAAATCTCTTAAAATTTTGTGCATGTAAATGGCATTTTTATTTTTCTGCTTTCAGGCACAGGTATAGATTTTGGTATCTTTTTACATTCTTTTTATTATATTAATGGGATTTGAGAAGTAGGGAGAATGTGGACTCTTTTTTTCCTTGAACCAGAAATCTTTAAAGTCAATTCCATTTGTTGGTTTTCCTGTGCTTCTTATAATTTAGAGTCGAAGAAGGTGAAACCAAAACTTTAAAATAGCAGTGGTTGTTTCTAGAAGCCACATTTGCCTATGCTCGTGTCCATTTTCTGTTGCAGCACTCAGTAATGTTGTGGTATAGTTAATGAGCACTCTCTTTTACATAGACAAGGAATCGATGCATGTCGTCTTTCACGGTGACTTCTCAATGTGCAAGACACACAGTCAAGGTAGGGGGAGCCTTGTGATCTTTTTTCTGGTGTAAATAGAGGTCACTGGGTCACCTAGCCCAGGTGCATTTGCAGCTGATCTTTATTTTTAATTAAAGAATGCAACTTTCAGGGCTACAGCTTTCATTGGTAACTTTCAGGTGTTTCAGGCAGAAAGGAGTTGCAGTGTCAAAGATAGGAAGGCTTTCCAGTCCTGCAGAAATGACAACTCACAGGGGCTTAATGAACTATGTTGGCTGACTTTATGCAGTGCGATTGCCAACACCTTTACCACTCACTCATATAAGACCTTTAAAATGGTTCTTAGTGTTTGGAAGAGCCAGTCTCTTAGTAGTCAATACTGCATTCCTGAAGAGAATGGACTTAAAGGAGGAGGGCCTGCTGGTGAATCCTCTGGTGCATAAAGCCCGTGATCTATATGGTGTGGCCATTTGACATGCAGACCAATAGAATGACTGGTTGTCATGAGTGGCTATCAGAGATTGCAGGTGGGGCAGGGTAACTGACTTCCTTGCCTTTGACAACAGAGATACAGGGATGCAGCCTGTTTTGTATTCTCTTGCCGCATTATGGAGCAAGAGACTCACATCCACTCACTGGACTTCTCATAGTTCCTAGATTTCAGGTCACGCTCTAAGAACAGCCAAGTTTCGTCTCCTTTTTAACCATAAATAGAAGTACTAGGCTTGCGTGATAAACTCTTCTGGGCTCTAAGTCATTGCACACTGTTCTATGCTGAGCTTCAGATCTGCTGGGATATTTTCTGCTACATGAGTGCCTTCCATTCTGAATATTTTATACATTCTGCACAGGCTTGGCAGAATAAGGGCTTTCACCAGTGATGAATTCATAGGACACACATTGGCAGCTTTCCTGAACTGTTTACTTTCATAACATCATCAGCAATTAGCCTGTAAAGTAGAAATTTAAATGAAATCCACAAACAAACACGCCTTTGAATCAGCTAGTAACTGGAGAAGGGCCTAAAGAGATTGTATGTAATTAGGCAGGACAAGAATTGAGAGGAAATTAATCAAGGGGAGGAGCATAAAGAGCACTGAGTTCTTTCACTATAGCTTTAAAAAATTCTATAATTCCAAAGGGAAGAGAAAAGAGTGGCATACAATATGATAGAGCGAATCAATACCTATTTATCCTATTTATTGACACATTTACTATTTACCTTAGAGCTGTGCTGATCGCTGGAGATACAAAAGAGAGGGAAGCAAGAGGTGTTATTTATTTAGTACCTTCTGTGTAGCAGATGCTGTCATATTTATTTTCAAAGCACTTTATTATCTTTAGTTTTGAGAGTATTCTGCAAAGTAAGGATTTTATTTACAGGTGATGATTTTACAGAAGAAGAGTCACTCAAGAACAATGGTGTACAAAAGAATGTGGTGTGGACGTTATTGAGGGGGAAGTCCCACTGTTGGTGGGGCTGTGGCCTGTGGACATTAACTGCTGCCAGGGTTCGAAGAAAGGACAGGTCAATATGGGTTGGAATAATCGGGAGAGGTTTCATGGAAGCTGGAGAAGTAAATATGACTCAACACACAGGTAGGAGATTAAGGAAGTGAGGGAGACTAATGGAATGGGCTTTTAGGAAGGTATTCTCTTTAGTTACTTTTTTGTCAGGTCATGTTTGCCTCTTAAAAGGATGACCTCTACAATGAGTGAAGAAGACTAGAGAGGGATTGTTTCACAGGAATTGTTCGTGTGTGTGCATGGCTTTGTGTATGTGTGTGTGTGTGTGTGTGTGTGCGTGTATGTGTGTGTGTGTGAGAGAGAGAGAGGGGGGTGATTAAGAGCTTGTGGGAGCCAGGGGTGGGATGGTGGTAGTTTAGATAGCACTGGAGAGACATCTGGGAACCATTCCTTCACACGCTACGTGCATTAAGAGTGTTAAGTGCTACTCGACAGGGTTTCCAGCACACTTGCAACTACAAGGAGCTGGCTTAGCTATAGCTGAAGTGTCTGATATGGGAATTTTCATTTAGGGGAAAATATAAGCATCTTCTAAGAGAATGTCAAAAGTGCAGAATTTGTTTCAGAGTCAAGCATTAGAAAAAATCACAATGTTGTTTAACTCTGTTCTGGCAGATAACTTTATAATTTACAAAGATCTTTCAACTCCCTATGTCTTCTTTAAATTTTAGCTTTGTAAAGATTCTGATGAGGAAGAGACAATATTTTTAAAATTTTTAAAATATTACATGTGATAAAACTAAGGTCCTGATATAATTTTATTTGGCTGAGAATACATATCCATATATCTTTTTTATTCAAAATGAGCACCAATATTTCTATAAAGATGTTTGTAACAATCTAGCCAAGACATTATGATATCATAGCATCCTAAGTAAATACCTATAATAGCATTTATTCATTGCACAATCATTACTGCTTTGAATATTTGTTTCCAAGGGCAAAGTCTATACCTTATTGCCATTGTGTTGCCATTACTCAGAACTGCCTGGCATATGACAGATGCTCAGTAAATAGCTATTGAATGAACTGAGGAATGGAGTCTTGAGGAAATCAAAAACACTGGTGCTATGAATTTGGTGAGTCACCAAGAAGTCTACCCAAAATAAGACTGTCCTGTCATTTTTATTTTTTATTTTAAGAGACAGAGTCTCACTCTGTCACTCAGGCTGGAGTGTAGTGGCACTACCATAGCTCACTGTAGCCTTGAACTCCTGGGCTCAAGTGATCCTCCCACCTCAGCTTCACAAGTGGCTGGACTACAAGTGTGTACCACTACACCTGGCTTATTCTATCATTTATACAAAGGAGGCATGCCATGCCAGAGCCTTCCCTGCTCTTTGTGGCTCCATTGTATCAGTCGTCTTTGGCACAGGGTATAGGGTTGAAAACAACTCAACTAGGTTTCATTTTCTAAGTAGACAAGGTATTTTCTATAGACTGTCTCTCTTTCACTTTGGTTTGGAAAGGCAGACCCAAACTCTAAAGAGTCATGGTTTTCAGGCAGAAAAGGAAGAGGAGTTGGTGAGAAGCAAGAACCCAGTGAAACGTAATGGCAGGTGGTGAGTGTTTATTGAGTGGATTTAATTGTCAGTTCTCAATCCCATTGATTAAGTTTGAAGCTCTAAGCTTTCATTAAGAGACAGGTATTTAACTTGCATGAATCAATGCTAATTCACTTTAGTTGAATATCTTACTTCATTAGTCTCTTAATATTTAAAACACTCCATGCGTATCAGAGCCCTCATGCCTTGATTAGGAAGCCAGTAACCAGGCGCGATCTGAGGACAGCTGCAAGAAAACCAACAGCACACTAAGACCTGCTCGTGGAAAGCCAGTCCTACAGTACAACTGCCACTGTCACTACAGCTATGAACATTATTTTGAATCTTCAACTTGGAAAACAAATTTCAGTGGTATCATATTTAACTTCCTCTTAAAGCTTAGATATTCACAATTTTCTTAGTGAATTTTTGAGAATTGAGTAAAATCCTCTAGCCAGCCTTCAGGGATACTGTGGATGACCTACTCACAGCCAGGAGGACTGAATGCAACCAGAAAGAAATAAGACATATTACATAAGCCCTACCATTTTCTCATCCCCGTTACTTTACAGCCACTATTGCCACAGACAAGTGTTTGCCAGGGATTATATAGTATAGTGTCTAATTCCAGGGTCGGGAAATCATTGATGATTAGAGAACTGGCTTGGTACATAGCCAAGTGCAAATGGCTGTGACTTCATGTTGGATTCTGCTGACATGCTCTTCTTCTTAGCTTCTGAACACCATCACCTCTGCCCCTCCTGGCTCCTGGCTCTCCTGCATGCTCTCATCTCCCAGCACATGATGTCAAAGAAGCCTCAGGAATCAGTCTTCCAGACATACATGAGCTAAAGATTCTGACATAACTGCTCAGGGGATTGGCTTCAAGGCATTAAATTTGCACAGGAAAAAAAAAGCAAGGAAAATCAGATTTTAGAAACTTCAGTACCAGAAGGGGTATGGGTTACTGGAGGATAGATGTTCTCAATCTTCTTTTTTAAAACGGTAATTATGCATTATCTCTAATGCTGAGCAGCAAAGGTGAAATCCATGCAATAACTCGAGGACTTGACAAGTGAATCATGCTTGCTGATCTTCTATTTTATACGGTGCATTATATAGGGTTTGCACTCAATAAATATTTTCCCTGAACAATGGCCCTCATGCCCTCCTTTTTTTCTCTGACTTTGAGTCATCAGCCATGATACCCAAGGAGTCCTCAGCTGGTTAGCAAGATGCATGATCTTGTTGGCCATCAAAAGATTGAAGCAGAGAATGTGGGAAGCAGCCAGGCTGGGTGGGGGAAGAAAAGCTACTAATTATTTCTCAGCCACTGTGCTCCTCTCACTCCTCTTCTGGGACTGCTTCTTGTTTTTTTTTTTTTTGTTTTTTTTTTTTTTGTAAGTAGTGGGATCAAAGTGACCGAGTGCCTCTTCCTGAATATTGTGGCAAAACCAGCCTTGTAAACCAGGGTGGCGGAATAGTCCTTACTTTGCTGCCAAAGTGAAATAAAGTGCTAAAGCCCCAAACCTGAAACATGAAGCAGGAATAGATCTTAAATGTAGCCACACATCTCCTCACATCTTTCTCTTTATTTTTTTGAGTGATCTAAATGAAGATCCAATGCAACAATTACCTCTATGCAGTATTTTTCTAAGGACATGGGGTTTATTTAAATAAAGGCAACTTAAAAATCTGGACTCCAAGTTTTCACTGTGTTTTCACTGTGTCTTCAGAGGATCGAAGACATTTTAAAGACAGTTACTAAGTTTGAATGGAAACACAATTTAGTTCTTATATTCATTGTGGTTCCTATCGTCTTCTTCTTCCCATACTTTAAATGGAAATGAATCAAAACAAGGGGATCAGACATAAATATCACAACAAAATCAATGTGCTGATTTGATCAGATAAGCATAAAATATACCTAGTATTGAAAATATTTTTAAAAATGTACAGACTGTGATGAGGCAATATCAGTGTAATGAATATGGGTTGGATTTCAACTTTGTGCAAGCACTTGCATGCATTATTTCATTTAGTACCCAAAACAACTCTGGGAAATAAAAATGGTAAAATAGAACATGTGGGTACTTATTTCACTAAGATTTTGAAATGCTTAAATAAGATAGTTAACTACATGGATGGCAAAATTTCCTGTGCATGATATAATTGATGCTTAATAACAATAATGTATTCCCTTTTGAACTTTACATGAAAGGAAACAGAAGCTTAATGACATCAGGTCACTTTCCCAAAGTCTTATTGCTGGTGAGTGGTGGCACAATAGTTCCAGAACCCACTTGTGAGGAAATAAGGCTTTTAGGACCCCAGATTTCTCTGACCCTGTCATAAAAACATTTTTCCAGCTCACAGAAAGCAGATGGGGTAAATAGAATAGTTAGGCAACAAAGACCTGCATATTTCTCTTCAGGATCACTGATACATCTGAAACAAGAGAAAAAAGTGTATCTAAAAAATTCCCTTTTAAATGTCACTTTTAGCTTTGGATTCAGGCTTACTCATTTTTTGTGTGCCCCTTAATGATGTAAAGAGTGACCTGAGGCATGTATAAAAATATTCTCAGCAGCATTATTCATAATGACCCAACTTAGAAAAAAGCAACAACAAATATTCATCAGTATGAAGGGGTATGCTTTAATATTTCATATAAGGAAATGTTTGCTCTATGCTGATGAAAATGAATGAATATCTGATAACCATTCATTACACGAGTATGTGAAGGAATCTCAAAAATATGATAATAAGCAAAAAAACCCACAAACCAAAGATGCAGACTTTTGTATAATATTTCTGTATAATTATACAGAATTATGTATAATTCCATTTGCTTAAGAGTCAAAAATAGACAACACCATACTATATTATTAGAGATTCATACATAAATATTAAAACTATCATGGAAAACAAGATGATTGCCCTCAAAGTCATGTCAGGGTTACTCCAGGATAAAGATGAGAGTTTAGATAAAGAACGGTGTGTTGAGTACTTATAGGGTGCAAGCAGTGTTCTATTTTTCATCCTTGGAGGTGGTTTTAGAGATGTTTACAGTAATTTATTAAACCATGCATTTATATTTTATGTACTTTTTTATATGCAGATCATATTTTATATTTCACAATAAAAAAAGGTTTAAACAGAAATAGGAACTTGTACTGAGTAGTCATAATTCTTGCATGAAAGAACTAATGGAAGGAGTTGGAATATATGGCTCCCACTCAATCTTCTGCCCTCTCACCCCATTGGAATGGATGCCAGGTCAGGCCGGGACAGCTGTGCAGCAGTGGTGACCCCATGCTGTCTGCCTTATCGCATAGCAGGCTGAGCTGGTCATGGGGCTTGGGCCTCTGGGGAAATGCCTGGTCATTTCCTTTATGCAGAAGCCAGGAAAAGAGCTGGAAATGATTTGGATAATGTTTGACACTATATTTACGAGGTAATAAAGGGACAGTGAAACATTATAGCTGGCCTGTCTCTCAGGATTCTGCAATTCCTCTCTCACTTCAATAGAAAGAACCAAGCTACACCCAGATATAAAGAGAAAGCACTTTTATTTTCAGCCTATCCCAAAACATCAAGTGAGTCTCACTCTTAAACCCAGGCTATTTCCATTTCATCATCACTAATAGTCACTTTGCAGTAGTTGCTGAGATTACTGTGAAGTCCTGCTCACCTGGAAAATTAAGTGTGTCTGCTCCTGATTTGCCTAGCATAAGGGTTTGAGGGTAGATGTGAGTCTGGAGTAAATCAGCTTGAGGATAGCTGTCTAGGACAAAAGAAAGCTCTGCACTCAGAATGGAGAGTCAGGTGGAAGCTGCAAAGGAGGCCAGGGAGTAGAGGTCAGAGACCCACAAGCATGGGTTAGGAAGCTGCTCACCCTGGGAATGTAAGATTGTCTCAAAAGTTAGGGCCTTAGGCTCCTTGTCTCAGGAAATACACAACACTGAGGTCCAGAATGAAGATTTGAGTGTGTGCAGAATATAAATGATTCTGGTGATACTTCTTCTAAAAAGAGAAAAGTCCAGCAGTCAGCTTGAGTGTGTACACAATCTCCTGGGCTGCTCTGGTCAGTCAATTCTCACAACCAGGGCTGATCCTTAATCATGTTGTATTATTTAGAGTCAGGCATGTATGCCAAAAAAGACAGGAAAGAAACAAGGTGGGCTCTGGTGGGAGGTTTAATACTGAGTCAGAGAGGGCTGTGTTCACCCTGCCAGGAGGCAACTGCAGCAGAATTCTGAGAAGGAAAATAAGATTGAAGAATTCAATTTTTCCTCATTTGCTTTTTATGTTTAGAGTTGCTTCTGACTTTTTATTAAAGAAGATATTTCCACTGACTAGTAAACTGGCTTCGACATTTTGATGATCGATAGCTTATTTTGTTTGTTAAAGAGAAAATTGCAGAGCCACTTGCTCATTTTACTTTACTGAGTTCCTCACATCAATGTAGAAAGATTGGGTCCTCTGCCTTTTACAATTAGGTGTCTGCAGATGCTACAAAAATCTGACTAGTTGAAATACAAATAATTACAACCTGAATATAGTTTAACAGGAGGTCATGAAAGGTAGTGTGATGTTAAACAATTTCGGTAACTTTTTCAAGCCAGCGTTTCCTCATCCGTAAACTGGAGGTAACCACTTTTCTAAAATGGTTACGAGAATAAAACGAGATCTTTAATGTGTGTGTGCGCGCGCAAGCATGTTTAATGTATATGTATATATACAGTCATGTGCCCCATGATATTTTGGTCACTGATGGACCACATATGACAGTGGTCCCACGAGATTGTAATACCACATTTTTACTCTACCTTTTCTATGTTTACATACTTAAAAACCTACTACTTTGTTACAATTGCCTATAGTATTCAATACAGTAACATGCTGTACAGTTTTGTAGTACTGGAGTAATGGGCTATGCCATATACAGTATGTACATAGTTATTAGCTTAGGTGTATAGTAGGCTATAACATCTAGATTTCTGTAAGTTCACTATATGATGTTAGCACAATGACAGAATCACCTAATGATGTATTTCCCAGAACACAGCTCTATCATTAAGTGATGCATGGCATATGTATGTATGTATACATATAATATGATGTATTATACTATGCTTATTAATTAAAGCTATGCTTTCCCCCCACACTTCCCCAAAGGTTGGCATTCAGTTAAAAACCTCACCTATAGGATTAAAAATAATACCAATTTTTATCTGAATATTTTGGAACATGAGATCTGTGGTTTATGATGTAGGAATGATTTTTAAATGAATATGCATGAAGATAAATATTCTTAATTCTTAATTTAATATTCTTACATGTCTTTAAACAAGGTCTTTTAAGTAGATCAGATGTTCTTTTTATAATTTGAAAAGGGAAAACACCCTTAATTTCCGTGGGCTGGGGAACATCAGGTCAGCTGGACTGAGCAGGTCATAGCTCCTTTTGTAATTTACTTTTTCTTTTGATCAATTGAAACAAATACATAGTTCAGAGCACAACTGTCCTGTGGACTTGTACATAAAGCTTACAGCAGCAGCCTGTTCTGTCCCACCTATCCCAGCACCCTGAAGGCTACTGTGATGAACTCTTTGCTAATTCTCCTGGATGTGACTCTGCATATTTAAATATCGTGCTTAGATGGTATTTCTTGATTTTACTAATTATTCATTTTGTTTAAGCATCAGTTACTAAATTTTTCCTCTGTTCATCCCAGTCACACACAGGCAAACAGCTTGTCACCCTCTCTAATATAGATTTTATAATTTTGATTATATCAGTGATTCTCAAATTTACATGTATCAGAATCATCTTGAGAGCTTGTTTAAATACAAATTTCTGGCTACTCCCTCTTTTGACTAAAAAAGGTAAATCTAGAAAATCAGCATTTCAACCATGCTTTCAGGAGATGTTGATGATGCTGCTTGGATGGTCTAGAGACAATACTTTGTGAATGAATGAGCGAGATAAACATTTTATCTTCACGTTGTAAATGTACTTGATAGCCGAGACGTGTAGTATGTCATAGTTGCTTTCTGTTTCTTATCACCCTCCTCAAAGTAATAATTGTCCTTTCCCATTTGATTGGTTTTATATTCCTGTTATTAATTTATACATGAAATCTCTTTTAATGGTGTAACTCTTCTCTCAATATGTTCAAAGTCATCAGGTATTTTTCAATATCTTTTTTTTTTTTTTTTTTTTTTTTTTTTTTGGAGACAGAATCTCACTCTGTTGCCCAGGGTGGAGTGCAATGTCATGATCTTGGCTCACTGCAACCTCCATCTCCTGGGTTCAAGTGATTCTCCTGCCTCAGCCTCCCAAGCAGCTGGGATTACAGGTGCGCAGCACCACGCCTGGCTAATTTTTGTATTTTCAGTAGTGACAGGGTTTCACCATGTTGGCCAGGCTGGTCTGGAATTCCTGACCTCAGGCAATCCACCTGTCTCAGCCTCCCAAAGTGCTGGGATTACAGGCATGACCT
Source organism: Homo sapiens (assembly GCF_000001405.40). Lineage (NCBI taxonomy): Eukaryota > Metazoa > Chordata > Mammalia > Primates > Hominidae > Homo > Homo sapiens. Next base: position 24,646,630 of record NC_000008.11, on the reverse strand, counting down.
GCCGCGCCCCACCCATCAGCTATTTTACGACATCATCTTATTAACAAATAAAGATCCCCAGAGTTTTTTAACCTGTTCTTTCTATCGCACACTGCTGCCATGTTGGTATCTCTGTCTACCCTAATCCTGGTGATTCTCTGGGCTTCTCCTTTGTGTCGTACACCCTACTCTCTAGTTCTTGTTTCTTTTAAATTTTTGTCTGATAACGTGAGTGTCTGAGAATGTCTTTTTTTCCCCCTTACTCTCATACCTCATCGAATGTTTGGCTGAATACAATTCTGTATTGGAAGAAATCTCTTTTTGAAAGCATTGGCACATGTATACATATGTAACAAACCTGCATGTTGTGCACATGTACCCTAGAACTTAAAGTATAATAAAAAAAAAAAAAAAGAAAAAGCATTGGCCCACGATCTTCTGACTCCCAATGTTGCTACTGGGTAATGTGACACCATGACACCATCTGCTTCTTGATTCTTTGTATGAAACCAGTTTTCTCTGTGAAGATTTTAGAATCTTTTCTTAGTCTGTAATGCTCTGAAACTTTACAATGATGCCACTGCTTATCTGCTGTGCTGTGCATGAAATGGGCCCTTCCAATCTAGGAACTTGAAAGATTCCCTCAAGTATAACCCATGGGTGATTTCCTACCCACCACTTTCTGTGTCCTCTCTTTCTGTGGCTCTTCTATTTGTATCTTGGACATACTGCAAAGGTTGCTGAATTTTCTGATCTTTTCTCTCCATTTTTCCAATTCTTTATATTTTAGCTCTATTTTCTGGGAGATTTCTTCAAGTTTACATTTTTAAATTTCAATTCTTAACATCTCTTGTTGGTTATTCTTTTAGTAGTCTTTTTCGATGCTGCCTGTTTTTACATTATGAATGTAACACATTTTATTTTTGGGGGGCTATTAATACAGATTTTAAATTTATTTTCCCTATACTGTCTCTGTGTCCATCCTATTGCTTTTTGTCTGTTTTGGTTTGTGTCTTTTATAGTAATTTTTTTCTCAAATATGTGGTAATTGTTGACTGTAAATTCCTATTTAGGAGTGGGTCACTAACAAGCCAACTGGATGCCAAGTGCCCATAGGTGGAGTTATTTGTCTGTCACTGCCAAGAACCCTAGAGCTCTGTCTTCCTCTCTCTCTGGAGTGATAAGCAATGTGGTAGAAAGACCATAGACTTCATATCCAAAGATTTCTATATGATTTCCTGAATCTCCCGCTAAGAAGCTATATGAAGTTAAGCAGACATCTTATTCTCTCAGTGTCAATTTGAATACCTAGAAGAGTGCTTGTCGCTTATTAGTCATGTGATAGATGATTGTTGAATAAGAAAATATCCTCAGCCAGGCACAGTGGCTCATGTCTGTAATCTCAGCACTTTGGAAAGCTAAGGCAGGAGGATCACTTGAGGTCAAGAGTTGGAGACCAGCTTGGGCAATAGAGTTAGCCTCCATCTCTAGGAAAAAAAAAAAAAAATTAGCTGGGCATGGTGCCGTATGTCAGTAGTCCCAGCTACTCAGGAGACTGAAGTGGGAGGATTGCTTAAACCCAGGAGTTTGAGTTTGTAGTAAGCTATGATCATGCCACTGCACTCCAGCCTGGGCGACAGAGCAAGACCTTGTCTCTAAAAATATATACATATATGTATCCTCATCCAAGAAAAGTAGATCATAATACCTACCTCCTCATTTTCATTTTGTGGAGCCGTTTACATAAAATATAATTTAAAAGTCCCTCTAAATTGTAAAATCCTACTTGAATTTCAGAGATTGTTATTAAATAAGCACTAGCATGTATTGAATCGGTGCAGCATTGTAGGACAGGCACTGTACTAGTCAATTTTACAGTATGGCATATTCTTCCCATTACATGTACAACTATGGATGCCACGTGTCTGTGATAGCAAAAGTGTCCTTGAAATACATGAAAAACTCTCATGTAGAAGAGCAGGTGTGATTTAATGGAGTGTAGCCAGGTAGAGGGTATGTGGTGGTGATGCACATAGGATGAGATAGGCGATACATATTTCAGTCTTCTATCAGGAGAGACTTTCGGTCAACTAGAGCTTTCAAAGAGATGATCTGCTTTAATAGCTGGTAGGATTCCTGTCCTTGAACATTTTAAAGCAGAACTTTCCAGACATGTTGCAAAGAAAATTGCCTGCTAGGGATATATTATGACATTAGACTAGATAATCTCTAAAATCCTTTCTGTCTTGAATATCATAGTTAATATAGAATTATAGATCTTAAAGCTACAATCATCATTCCAAAGGTTAGAAAATGGACATAGATGTTCTCAAATTTACCTGGGATGTTTTATAAATATCTTCGGAAGTGAATTAAGAAAGGAAAAATAATTCCCATTACACCTAAATCCATGGAGCTGATTCTGTCTCTAGAAAAAGGAGGTTGGTGACTGCTTTGAAAGGTCAAAGTCCTCCCTCCGCGACAGTACTCCTTCACTGAGACCAGTTCTTCATTTAATATTTTCTTGAAGAAATGACAGGCACTTGGGGAGTGTGGACAAGAAGGATGGTGTGCTTTCAGTAAAGAGCGAGGTTTCTTCCTTGAACGGGCTCACTGCCCAGAAGACAGGTTGATTTGCATTTTATCTGCAGTGCATCACTCGTTTATGTGCAATGCTGTAGTACTGCCAGCCTCTGCCTGGATACAGGCTTGTCCTTTAGGAGGGCTGCATTCATTTGTAACCATCCAGTGCTATTTAGTTGACAAGGCAGCATTTTCTTCCTCTTTTGCTAACACCCCATGTAAAGAAAGTTTACGATGAGGTCTTCTTTTGCCTTTCGAGGTTACATAAGGTGGGAGCTAAAATGAGGAAATAACACTATATTTTTGTTTGAGCAAGAATTTGAAGGATTAAATATGCAAGAAATAAAAAGCAGAACCTTTAAAGATGGAGTTATAGTTGCAGGAGGTGCAATTCCAGTAAAATAAGAGCAACTTTTCTCTTCAATTCTGGTTGAAATCCAGGTAGAATAGGTGGATTTTAAAAAAAAGGTAAAAAGTTCTGAAGGCTTGGCAGTGTTATTTTCTGATTAATCCATTCTAATACCTGGTAGATTAGGTATTGCAATAAAGAGTTATCTAATGTTTTAAAATTAAGCTTCCATTGATAACTTTGTCTCAGGTCTGAGGAAAAGCGGGAGAGTGCAGGTGGCTGCAGGTGACTGAAGAGTAGTGAATAGCAGCAGAATTTCCTAAGAGCAATGAAGTATGCCCATCACTGGAGATTCCCTAGAGCAAAGTCCTTAGTCCTCATTTAGCATCTACCTCAATGTTCTCATTCAGTCCTATATTTTAAGTTATTACCTAATGACTTTCAAACCTCTATCCCATGCCCAATATTTGCTTTGAATTTCAGAAGCAAACTCCAACTGTATAATGGACGTTTATGTATGAATAAATCATATGATCTAAAAATTAGCATCTGTTTCTGGGAATAGGCACGAGATTTGAAATTCTTACTCTTTACTTCACCTCCATTGGGGTTCCTTATACATGAGCTGAAGATATTTATGCATGCCAAGTGAGAAGCCAAATAGCAAGGATAATACTGCTTTGTTATAGATTGGCAATTACCTGACATAGCCTTAACATAACCCTTAACAGAGCCCTGTCTGTAAGACTAATTTGGAGAGTGCCACTTCATCCAGAGATACCCAGTGGAATGTTCTACATCCTCTTTGTTCCGCACCTAAGATGGCTAAATCTTCAGATTAGATCCTATGCCAATTACCCAGGTTGCTACCCTGAAGAAGAGTGGGTGCCTGCCCCTAGAGATTAAATCCTGCCCATATTTGTGTTTCAGATACCATGAGCACAAAAGTGGAGGAAAAGAAGATGGCATGGGGTTATGAACTTGAGTTTGCATGTGCTTCTCCCAACCTTTGGATGCCTTTCCTCCATTGCCTAATGAATTTCTTCTCATTTGTCTAGATTAAGCTTAAATGTTATCTTCTCTGTGAAGATTTCCTGATATACCAAGCTTTGCTTACCCAGTGTGTTCCATAATATGCTGCCTCTGAGCCTGTGGCCCTCGGACAACTTCTTCATTCTCCCTGACTCTTCTCTGCATGGTGGGAACTGACTTCTCTAGGCTCCTGTGTCAGCTGACCTAGGGCTGATACCAACCAGTGAGCAGCTCTGGCAGAAAATGGGGGTGGGAAAGCAGAAACCAGGGTCTTGTCCTCCCTCCCTGCATTGAATGGTTTTGAAGAAGTGGCTCTGACCCCTCTGAAATTCTAGCTCCCAGTAGACATGCTTGCTCTGGTTCCAGCTCCAGCTCCATGTGCTTGCTCTGGTTCCAACTCAAGCTCCAGTAACACTGCTGAATTAGTTTCCTAGGGCTGCAGTAACAGATTACTGAAAACTTACTGACTTAACTTAAATGTGTTCTCCCCTAGCTCTGGAGGCCAGATGTCTGAAGTCAAGGTGTCAGCAGGGCGCTCCCTCCGACTGTTCCAGGGGAGACTCCAGTCTCACCTCTTCCAGCTTCCGATGGACCCAGACCTTGTTTGGCTCATGGCAACACCACTTCAATCTCTACCTCTGTCTTCACATGGCCTTCTCCTCTTCTCTATGTCTTCTCTTTTGTCTCCTATAAAGATGATTATCTTTGGATTTAGGGTCCACCTGAGTAATCTAGAATGATCTCATCTCAAAATCAATCTTTGTTTCTTTCTCTATCTCTCTTTCTTGCTTGCTTGCTTGCTTTCTTGCTTGCTTTCTTCTTTTTTTGTGACAGGGTCTCTCTGTTGCCTTGGCTGGTGTGCAGTAGCATAATCACAGCACATTGGGGTCTGGACCTCCTGGACTCAGGTGATCCTCCTGAGTAGCTGGGACTACAGGCATGCACTACCACACCTGGTGAATTTTTTGTATTTTGAGTAGAGATGGGGTTTTGCTGTGTTGCCCATGCTGGTTTTGAACTCCTGGGCTCAGGTGATCCAGCCCCCATGACCTCCGAAAGCACTGGGATTACAGGCATGAGCCACTGTGCCCAGCCTCAAAATCTTTAATTTAATGACAATTTATGCCTACAAAGACCCTTTTTCAAAATAAGGTAATATTCACTGGATCTAGGTATTAAGATACGAATATATATATATATGTATGTGTGTGTGTGTGTGTGTGTGTGTGTGTGTGTGTCTGTGTGTATTTTTTTTTTTTTTTGAGATGGAATTTAGCTCTTATTGCCCAGGCTGTAGTGCAATGGCGTGATCTCGGCTCACTGCAACCCCTGCCTCCCGGCTTCAAGTGATTTTCCTGCCTCAGCCTCCCCAGTAGCTGGGATGACAGGCATGTGCCACCATGCCCGGCTAATTTTGTGCTTTTAGTAGAGATGGGGTTTCTCCATGCTGGTCAGGTTGGTCTGGAACGCCTGCCTCGGCCTCCCAAAGATGAATATATATTTTTAGGGGCAGCCATTTAACACACCACAACCACCTCTCTCTTTTTTTCTCCAGTCTTGAAGTGGTAAAGGCTGTCTGCAGTGAGTATTTCCTGGCCACCTCACTGTCCACCATTTAACTTCACAGATCTGCATCTTCTGAGTAATCAACTACTTGCATTACATTTTCTCTGTTATAAATACGTGAGATGGTTCTACTGACATCCTGAAATATACGTAGAGTAATTTTCATATGCTTCTATTAGACAATCTTCATACAACGTATTGTCATGATTTGTTGACATGTGTACATCCCGCAGCATGCTATATAACCTTTTTACCTTTTTTTTTCTTTTTATCCCCAGTACTTAGTACAGTGCTTAGCTTGGAAAGTGTGTAATGAATAATGAATTATGAGTGCTGATCTGAAAATAAATGAGGGCAAGATGCTTAATAGATTTGAAATTTGCGATGAATGTATAAAGTATCCATGGAACTATTGAAAGAAAAGTATTTGTGCCCTTCTACAAAACAGCAACTCTTGAAGAGAAAAATATTTGTGTGGGCTGGGGAATATTGGATTTTATGAGCCCAATATGGATAAACAGCTCAAGACAGAGTGAGTGCAGCAGAATTTTAAAGATATTTTTAATACTATCTTATTTCTCAGCGTTTCACTCAAAACAATACTTAACATTCTTTTAGTGGTCACCCTGAGTAATTATTTTATATGAAATATCTTCCAAACTTTCTCTCTTGTTACCCATAGTCAACCTTTCAAATAACCTGCTAATTAGCACTAAGGATTTTTATTTGATAATGAGTGTTCTTTATGTGTTTGTACCATTATTGTTCAATACGCAACCTCTTGTACACAGTGTTATCTGGGCATTCGTCTTGAATTAAGGTTCTTCATGCTCTGCTCTTTTTGTGAAAAGCTGCCAGTGGCTTTCAATTTTTTTTTTTAACCAAAAAGACACACATTTCTTGACTGGTTCTTGAATTTCTCCTTTCTAGTTGTGCACTGTCTTAGTCAGCCTGGGCTGCTATGACAAAATAACATAAACTGGGGGGTTTTAACAACAAACATCTATTTCTCACAGTTTTAGAGTTTGTTGGAAGTTTGAGATCAGGTTGTCAGCAAGGTTGGGTTTTGGTGAGGGTGGTGTTTCTGGTTTATAGACAGCTGTCTTCTTGCTGTGTCGTTACATGGAGGAAAGAGAGCTAGCTCTCTAGCCTCTTCTTATAAGGGCACTAATCCTATTCATGAAGTCTCCACCCTCATGACCTAATCATCTCCAAAGTCTTCGTCTCCAATAATATCACTTGGGGATTAGAGTTTCAACACATGAATTTTAGGGGAACACAAACATTCAGTCCAGTGCATGTACCCTTATTTTCTTCCCCACTGTGCTTGCATGCAGTTTATTTTTGACAATCCATCAACATCCCCATAGTCTTTTGTATAGATATCTTTTCACCTTAACCCTCTACTTATGAGAAATTGTGACACCAATTCTGCTTGTACAAGTTTTCTGTGTTTTAAAAGCCATTATAATGACCTGGTTTATACTTTTGGAGCTAGACAGATTTGGGTTTGAATCCAGGTTCTATTTATTTATTGAGTGGGCATGAACGTGATAAATTCATTATTCTCTTGTGATTTGTTTTTCTCCTCTATAAAAACTGGAAATATTCCTACCTATATTAATGTTATTTCTGTGACTAAATGAGAATATAGATGTGATATGCTTGTCACATAAACATTAAAAATGATATTATTCTATCATTATATCAAAGATGTATTTCTAATTGGAAGTTTTTCTAATCTTCCAAGTAGATTCTGATACAGTTTGACTGTGTCCCCACCCAAATCTCATCTTGAATTGTAGTTCTCATAATCCCCATGTGTCATGGGAAGGACCTGATTGGAGGTAATTGAATCATGGGGGTGGTTACCCCCATGCTGCTATTTTTGTGATAGTGAATGAGTTATGAGGTCTGATGCTTTTTTTCTCTTTTCTTTTCTTTTTTTTTTTTTTTTTGAGATGGAGTCTCACTCTGTCACCCAGGCTGGAGTGCAGAGGCGCAATCTCAGCTCACTGCAACCTCCGCCTCCTGGGTTCAAGTGATTCTCCTGCCTCAGCCTCCTGAGTAGCTGGGATTACACACGCCTGCCATTACGCCCAGCTAATTTTTTTGTATTTTTGGTAGAGACGTAGTTTCACCGTGTTGGCCAGGCTGCTCTCGAACTCCTGACCTGGTGATTCACCTGCCCAGGCCTCCCAAAGTGCTGGGATTACAGGCGTGAGCCACCGCACCCGGCTGAGATCTGATAAGGAGCTTTTCCCCTTTGGCTTAGCACTTCTTCTTCCTGCCACCATGTGAAGAAGGATGTGTTTGCTGTCCCTTCCACCATGATTGTAAGTTTTCTGAGGCCTCCCCAGCCATGCTGAACTGTGAATCAATTGAACCTCTTTCTTTTATAAATTACCCAGTCTCAGGAATTTTTATCTTTATTAACAGTGTAAGAATGGACTAATACAAGTAATTATTTTAAACTTTATTACATTTTCTTTTAATGCCCTATTAGTATTTAGATTACCTAATACTAAATTTATTAATTTTTAAAATGTAACCCACTCTACTATATTAATGCCTTCTTGAATAGAGTAACTATGTTTAGAACAGTGTCATTTAGAACAATGAGCCCTCTGTCTGGCACATAGTAGGCACTCAATAAAAATTTGTTGAATGAAATGAATTTTCAATCCACTGAAGTGATGAATTGCAGTGTGCTCCTGCTCGGTGCATTTTGTTCTGAGGGGCTCTCTTTGGCACATCAATCTCAGAATCTTAGGTAATGTAAGCTCTGAAGCAGTAGTGGCTCAATCTTATTACATTAATGAGATGCCTCAGAGGATTGGAAATAAATGGTATTTAACCACTCACTGGCCATCAAAAATCCTTTCTATTTTCCTTAAGTAACTGACAAAATGCTAGCGTGAGAAGGTAAAAGGAGATTGGACCTAGAGGGAAGTTTTCTGAGGTGTTGAATACATGTCCTATAATGTCAGAAGCATCAATTTCTCTCATAAAAGCTGCTGAGGGTGGAGTTTTCTCCAACCATTAATTATTTGGGGTTACTAATCAGTTGTGAAGCAAATAATAACCTGAACCATTTTTTTTTTTGCAAGTCAAAATGGTTTGGGTTTATTTTAACAATAAAATATTTTATTTATTTATAAATAAAAATACTTATCGTTTATTCCCTTTTATTTACTCATTCATATTGGAAGAACCAAAAACATGATATTTGAAAGATAAATCGTTTTTTCATTAGAGCCTATACTAATGCTTTGAGATAGTTTTGCTATTTTTTAGGATTTCTGTTGCTCAAAGTATGTATGTTTATTTCAATGTCACAAATATATTTAATCTTAATATTCATTCCTTAAAATTTTGGGCCATATACACAAATTATTCAATTACTATTGCTATTGCTTTTGCATTAAGACGTATTAATTCTTCTTTTCTGATGACTCTTGATGTCATTTTAGTGCCTAGAGCACCCAGATTCAACCAAATGCCCCAGGATGCTGATCAGTTGTGCCACACCTGACAGCAACCCACATAACACACAGGGGTGATATACCCTCCAGTGGGTTCCCTGGGTGTTACCACCACAGTAAGACCACGAGGCGAGTCAAGGCAGCTATCGTGTAGACTACCAGGCTCTTCTCTCAATGGCTTCACTGTATGATAGACAAGCAAATCTGTGATGAAGGCCCTACTGGGTCATTCTGAGTGTTGCAACTGCATATGATGATGAGATGCAAGATGTTCATAGTAAATAATGAAAGTGTTTGACTCATGACTAAACCTTAGACGTCTCTAAACAAATCAATGAGTTGTTATGCAGAAGGAGTTTAAGTCAGCGGAAATTAAGTTTAGCATTTGGAGCCACACAACCACCTTTCTTTCATCTTCTCCTTGAGGTAAAACATGAATGGATTGCCAGAATTTCATTTGCAGAGACATGATGCAGCATCTTAGGTGGTGTCCTATTTAAGGTTTTGTTTGATTTACCTCATGACTGTAACTTACTGAACATTTTCTTTTTTTTTTATTATTATACTTTAAGTTTTAGGGTACATGTGCACAATGTGCCAGTTAGTTACATATGTATACATGTGCCATGCTGGTGTGCTGCACCCATTTTCTTAAATGTGGTTCATATTGGAAGCTTTTATTCCTTTGAATCCTACCATTTCACAGAAATAGCTCTTTCAAACATTACCAGTGGACTCTATGCCCCCTTCCCCCACACATTCACAGCCTCCCCCGCTATAAACATCCCACACCAGAGCGGTTCATTTGTTTCAACCGATGGGCCTACACTGATGCATCATCATCACCCAGCATCCATAGTTTACACTAAGGTTTGCTCTTGGTGTTGTACATTCTATGGCTTTGGACAATGTAAAATGATACCATTATATCCACCATTATTGCATCTTCCAGGGTATTTTTCACTGCCATAAAAATTCTCTGTGCTACCATCTTTTCAACCACTAACCATTTTACTTTTTCCATTGTTTTGTCTTTCTTCTTTTTTTTTTTTTTTTTTTTTTGAGACGGAGTCTCCCTCAGTCGCCCAGGTTGGAGTACAGTGGCGCGGTCTCGGCTCACTGCAAGCTCAGCCTCCCGGGTTCACGCCATTCTCCTGCCTCAGCCTCCCGAGCAGCTGGGGCTACAGGCGCCTGCCACCGCGCCTGGCTAATTTTTTTGTATTTTCAGTAGAGACAGGGTTTCACCGTGTCAGCCAGGATGGTCTCCATCTCCCGACCCTGTGATCTGCCTGTCTCGGCCTCCCAAAGTGCTGGGATTACAGGTGTGAACCACCGCGCCCGGCTGTCTTTCTTCTTTTTTAATGGATTTATTGAGATTTGATTTGTACACTATAGAATTCAGCAAATTTAAGTATACAATTCAATAGCTTTAGTATATCTACATAGTTATACAGTCATCACCACTATCTAATTTTAGAATATTTTCATCACTCCAAATAAAAAGAAAAAGCCCAATGCCAATTAACAGTCACTACTCATTCTTCTCAATTTCCTCTGTACTTAGGCAAACACTAATTTACTGTCTCAATAGAACTGCCTATTCTGGACATTTCATATAAATGGAATCATACAATCTGTAGTCTTTTCTGACTGCCTTCTTTCATTTAACATAGTGTTTTCAAAGTTTATCCATGTTGTAGCAAATATCAGTGCTTTGTTCCTTTTTACTGCTGGATAATATTTTATTGTTGGATATACTACATTTTGTTTATCCATTTCAATTGTTGGGTATTTGAGTTATTTCCATTTTGGGTCTATCATGAATAATGCCACTATGAACATTTATGTAGAGTTTGTGTGGACAATATGTTTCTTCTCTCTGAGTAGATATCTATGAATATAATGCTGATTCATATGGTATCTATATGTTTAAAATTATGAGAAGCTACCAAAAGTATTTTCCAAATTGGCTCCACCAATGAGTTCTTATTTTCCAGTGTTAATATTGATCTTTTGTTAGTTTGTAGCATTGGCTTCACTGCACAATTTTGCTCTAATGACCATCTATTTTATTTACTACTTACTTACTGGTTTTGAGAATACTTTAACATTGTTCTTGTTATTCTTTGTATTTTCTGTGACTCTATCCCCTCTCTGCATGCAGTGCTCCTGGCTCTCCTCTCTTTCTCTCAGCAATTGCACTTGTTATAGGGTACTTAACTTCTCATCATGTGGAGATTCATCTCAAATCAGTTACCACTATGATTTTAAATCTCTTCTTGAGTTGCAGTCTCACAATTCTGATCACCTTCTGTGAAGTTTAGTCTAAAGCTGCCTCCTTCCATATTTTAAGTTCAACCTAAAGATTTCTCCATACATAGTTAATGGAAACCTACCTAACTGGGTGTGTAAAGAGACTAAACTATTTTTGTGCCAACCACCAAGTTTTGGCCAATTAAAAGTTGCCAGTTGTTTAAACCATGTTCAAATAAGGCAAACGCTGAGCTGTAACCAAAACAACTGTTTCTGCACCTCATTTCTGTTTTCTGTACCTCACTTTTCTTTATCCATTAATCTTCTTCCACCACATGGCTGCGCTGGAGCCTCTCTGAGCCTACGCTGGCTCTGGAAGCTACCTGATTTGTGAATCGTACTTTGCTCAGTTAAACTCTGTTAAATTGAATTTATCAAAGGTTTATCTTTCAACACCTCTCAGCATCTCCATATAGCTGTCTGGTTGCAAAAGCAGTATGTGTGCAAGAGAGCTCATCACCTGCTCTGCAAAGCTGGTCTGCTTTCTGATCTCTCTCTCTTTCACTGCCTCTACTGTCCTTTCATGTCGGACTTGAACTTTCAGAGTCATTTTTTAAATTATTTCCTCTCCCTTGTCTCTTGTGCCCAGTTTGACAACTACCGTCCATTTTATGTGTTTATCCCCCTCAGAGATAGTTTGTTTCTCTGCAATAACTCCCCACTGCTCTATTTCGCTTAAGTCTCATTATTGTTCATTTTGACTTCCATATAGTCTCCTTAATTGGCTGATCTGATTATTTTATTTAACATTCTCAGTTATTACTACACTTTACATCTGCATCTTAAGAGGTCAGGCATATTTCTCTAACTCCTGTTAAAAGTCTTCTATATTATCACCTAATAAAGACCAGATTTCTTAGCATTGCATTGCAGCCTCTGATATATTTTCCTAGTTTTGTCTCCCACTGAGCTCCTACATAGAGCCCATGCTCGAGTCAGTCTCAGTTCTCTTTTGTTTATCAGCCAAGGCTTGTATTTTCTTGCCTCCAATTTTGTTCATGCCTCTCCATGGGATGCCCTTCTGCTGAGTCTGCATAAGCCAATTCCTCAAGGCCCTGATAAAATGTATCCTCCCCAACAATGATGCCTATGATCTCACTAGATCAGACTTACCACTTGTGCTTTCACCTCTCACAATGTCATTTTAAATTATGTATTGCAGTCACTTGGCGCATATCAAATCTTCCCTTCTTAAGTCAATAGTTCTTGAGGGCAGAGGCCCTGATATATTTATCACAATTAGAGCAACTATCATTTACTGAACGTTTACTGTGATTTAGGCACTGAGCTAAGTATTTAGTATGCAATATCTTCTTTAATTATCTAACAAATTCTCTGAAATAGACACCATTTTAAAAACCATATTTTATAGATGAGGCAATTAATGTTTAGAGAAGATAAGTAACTTCCCCAAGGCTAACAAGCTTACAAATGAGAAAGCTAGAATTTTAGCCCAGACTGTCTGACTCTGGAGCCCATGCAATTAACTATGACCATATAATTTTCCCTACAACACCTAATTTAATAAATGCCAGTTAAATGAATAAAAAAAAGTCAGTATGTGATTTTGGCAAGAAGCATAAGTCTTAGTAGATAAACTTTAGTTCAAATTGAAAGTCTAACATTTTCTCAGAGTGAATTATTTATCATGTCTGAACTCTTTACTCATTCATAAGATGGAGGAAGGAGATAATTCCCACCTCACAAGGGTACTATGAGGATAAAATGAAACAATGCACGTGATGGCCTCTACCCGCAAGCTCTCAGTGTGTATTAGTTGATAACAACAGAAATAAAATTTCATTTTTCTTATTCTTCCTTGGACATGGCAAGATGAAAGGAGAGACATGCCACCGGGAGTCGCCATAAAAATTTACCAAATTCAAATTCATCCCACCAGGAAATAAAGTTTTTTTTATCCACTATGAAAAGTTATGCATAGCCTTTGACCTAAAATGGAAATACCAAACTATATGGTACTTCACAATAGAGTGCAGTTTTTACTGCATTATGTATCAGTATTTCGATATCTATTATCTGTCTAAATATCTATGTATTTAATTATAACTAAATTGACAAGATAATCCTGTCATGGGTTACTAGGAGGACATGTGCATAATGCAATCTTTATTAAGATATTGACTTTCTTATCTAAGCTTCAACTCTGTTCTTATATCCCTCAGGTGGCCTCAAATACGCAAGTGAAATTTGGTTCTCTTCTCTCTCATCTTGTTTCTTTTTTTTTTTTTTATGGAGTTTTGCTCTTGTTGCCCAGGCTGGAGTGCCTCCCAGGTTCAAGTGATTCTCCTGCCTCAGCCTCCCCAGTAGCTGGGATTACAGGCATCATGTGTCACCATACCTGGCAAATTTTTTGTTTTCGTTTTTTTGTTGTTTTTTGTTGTTGTTGTTGTTGTTGTTTTAGTAGAGATGGGGTTTCTCCTTGTTGGTCAGGCTGGTCTCAAACTCCCGACCTCAGGAGATCCGCCAGCCTCAGCCTCCCAGAGTGCTGGGATTACAGGCTTGAGCCACTGCGCCTGGCTGGTTCATCTTGTTTCTTTACGCAAGTTGCTCCTCTTTGTCTCGCCAACCACAGTAATTCATCATAGCATTTCAAATTCTTCTAATTATTGGTGTCCACAAGAATATTGTCCCCTCTAGCAGGGCCTTTTATCAATGAAACTTAAATATTATAATAGTGTCTGAGTATACACATGTTGACTAAATTGTACTACTCTTTATTGTTATTCTTACTTTCACAAAATAAATGCTCTTTGACATTTCATAAGGTCCCATCACTAATCAGTGGTTGAAGGAATACTGAATTTCCAAAACTTGCTTGAGACACCTGGATAAAAACAGAAGTTCTCAAGCAGGGAGTGAGGAGGAGAAGAGGCGCTGAGTGTGACATAAAGACACAACCAGATTTTTCTGGTTGCTCCTGGCCATCCAAATATGAAAAAGGTTCATTAAGATGTCATTAGAAAGATTAGCTTTTTCACTATGTTCCCAAGTCCATGGTTCGGGAATTGTAGATGGAGAATTTTCAATGCAATTCCCATTCTGTTGACATTCAGGAAAAAAGTGCAGTATCTATCTTTGTAAATTACACTGACATAAGAAATTCTTATGAGCTGTCTTGATTTATTTGTTTTGGGTTTTAAGTATTCTCTAAAACTCAATCTTCATATCCTGGAAGGATTTCTTAATGGCGGGGTGCAATTTGGAAAATTGAATAATTTTTTTAAAAGCTCTGTGCCTTAGAAAAAAATCTGCACTAAACATCTCAATCATCTCTTCATCTCTATTTCAGTATTAGCAGCTAAAACATGTGAAAATTAAATCTTATTTAGAGTAATTTCAAGGAAGTCTCTGATACCACAAGGTGACATTTTCTGTGCTTGTGATTGCCTATAGAAAGAGTACTTCATTGATCTGGGGACATTATCTTTTTACAAGGTACCACAATGCAGAGTTAATTGCTCTACTTTTTTTTTTTTTTTTTTTGAAATGGAGTCTTGCTCTGTCACCCAGGCTGGAGTGCAGTGGCGTGATCTCGGCTCACTGCAAGCTCCACCTCCCGGGTTCACGCCATTCTCCTACCTCAGCCTCCCAAGTAGCTGGGACTACAGGCGCCTGCCACCACATCCGGCTAATTTTTTTTGTATTTTTAGTAGAGACGGGGTTTCACTGTGTTAGCCAGGATGGTCTCGATTTCCTGACCGCATGATCCACCCGTCTCGGCCTCCCAAAGTGCTGGGATTACAGGCGTGAGCCACCGCACCCGGCCTATTGCTCTATTCTTACTAGTCTTGGTGAGAAGCCAGTTGAAGAATCTTTATGCCAATTGTGCTATAGGTGAAAAAGGGATGGATGGGGGAATACTAATAGTGCTGCTAGTCAAGAAAGAGTTTCCTATTCATGCTTATTAACTGTCTCCAAACCAATCACCTCCAACACCCTCATCAGGAATCAGTAAACTTTAATAGCACTCACCAAATTAACATAACACAGACACAGACCTAGGACTGTGGAGGAGGACCCCACCAACTTAAACTACTAATTTTTATTTAAGTCAACCATTGCAAAGTTTATTATGTCATCCACCACCTGCTCATGAAGAGTAATTTCTCTCCATATCATCATTTGGACAGTACGTAATAAGGTAAATAATATGAGGAGTTCCCCTAAGTTTGAGACAAAATAAGATTTCTGCTACATATATGTTTTTATTCTCTCTAGGAGTAGCAGAAAAGACTGATGCTGATATTAGAATGGTAGATCCTATCCATCCAAGCAAAATTCTGGACAAATAATAACTAGGACTAATGTAGTACTTAGCTGACTAAGCACATTTACAAACATCACTCAGTTCATATTCACTCCCTTGTCAGATATTAGATGGAGCAGATATCCCCATTTTGGTGAACTAAAAATATTGGAGAGATTTACACACATTCATTATAAATTAAACGGAAGATTTGGAACTTGAAACCAAGTTTTCTGACCATAGATCTTATTCTTTTTCCAGTATTTCACATTGTATCAGGAAGGAATAGAAACCTACATAGACAGACAATGCAGAAGGAGAATCTCTGTCCCCTGGGTAGGCTGAGCTGTTTTTGCTCAGAACAATTCCAGTGGTGGGTGCCCTACTAGGGATAGTGAGGAAAGCTGAAGAAAGGGTGTCTCCTCCGAAGAAATGTAGAGTACTAAAGCTCCTATAAAAATTAATTTAAGGAAGAACTTGTGTCTCTTTGAAAATAATTTTATATTTTGGTTGTTAATTAAACATTGAGTTATCTATTTAACAAATGATTGAATTAAAAATTGCATTAAAACAGTAAACAAAATGTTTTCTTTAAAGTTCTATTTGTGTTCTCTTTATATAAAACTTAAAAGGCCATATTAATCATAGTTTGCTCAAGGAAATGGGAATACAAAAAAATTCATTGCCAGAAATATTTAGTATTTGCTGTAGACACTGGGGCTACTGTAAAGAATGACATGATTCCCTTCAAGAGGCTCAGTCTTCAAGGAGATAAGGACATGTGATTTATAAATTATGGTATGATTTAGATGGCATGAGAAGACAACAATAGATGTATGGAGGATGGAGAGAGTAACAGTAGCTGGAAGTATCAAGGATGGCTTTGCAAAGGAGATACCATCTCCTTGGATTTTGGAGAAAGAATAGAAGAATAGGATATTTACCAGAAGGCCATGGTCATTCCAGCCAAGAAACAATGGGGCATGGGACAGGTTGTTTATTTCTCCTGGAGCTTTATATTATAGTAATAAATCTTTGCATGGCGTAGTAGTAAGATGGTTAGGCTAAGCACTAGTACATCTGATTTCTAGTCCAAACTGCTTGTGACTTTGAGTCATTGGAAAAATAACTCCATCTCTCTGGGCCTCATTGTGAAGTAGATTCATTCTTAGGTTTCTTTCATGTCTGATGCATCCACTTCAATGAATAAACCTGGCATTTAAGAACACAGACTCTAGAGTTAAGACAATATCTGTGTGTGAATTCCTCTGAGCACTTTATTATCACTTTAATTTAGGGAAGTTCCTTAATCTATCTGAGCCTTTTTGTCCTCATTGGTAACAAGAACATAATATAAATCTGAGGGAGGAATTGTGAGGATTATGTAAGATAATGTGGCTGGCACGGTAGCTCACACCTGTAATTCCAGCACTTTGGGAGGCCGAGGCAGGCGGATCACCTGAGGTCAGGAGTTCGAGACCAGCTGGCCAACATATAGTGAAACCCCATCTCTACCGAAAAATATAAAAATTAGCTGGGTGTGGTGGTGCACGCCTGTAGTCCCAGCTACTTAGGAAGCTGAGGCAGGAGGATAGCTTGAACCCAGGAGGTGGAGGTTGCAGTGAGCTGAGACTGTGCCATCGTACTCCAGCCTGGGTGACAGAGCAAGACTCTGTCTCTCAAAAAAAAAAAAAAAAAAAAAAAAGATAATGTGTAAAGTGAAAGATCCTGACTCATATTTGCTGGAGTCATTACACTTTAAACTAACATTTAGGGAAGAATTGGAATACTTCGGGGGCAGTTAATGAACAGTTAAATCAAGACTACTAGAATAAATTTTTGGGCTTAATAAAATACTCATTGGTTCTACCCGAGTCACAGATAAAATAGCCTTAAGATACTAATAAAGACACAATGGAGCCAGTCTCCTGGCCATCCCTGGCAGGTGAGTTCTGTTAAACTACAGAACATGTAAGACCAAGGTTGTGGATTTGATCTCCGTTAGGACACTTAAGTTTACAATGTTTCAGGTTTTCAACTATTGGCTGCTGCATGCTGTTGATCCATTGAATGATGAAATAAACTGTACCAATTCAAACCTATCTCAAATCCCAAATCTCTCTGTTCTTCCAGGTCCCAAATCACTTGATTCAGGTCTCCCCTGGCTGTACTATCTAAATTTTCACCCCCTTTGGACATCCTTTTCTTGCTTTTTTTTTTTTTTTTTTTTTTTTTTGCTTCTTCATACTTATCATTTTCTTTTCTACTATCGAATTTACTGAGTTATCACTTTTATTGTCTGTTTCCCCCACTAGAAATGTAAGCTCCCTGAAGGCAAGCAGTCATTTATGTTGCTGCTAATATATCCCTAGTGCTTTGATTAGTCACTGACACATCACAGACATGTTGAATAAAGATAAGTCACATGAAAATGGATGTGAGTCAGGAACCTGCCAAAACCTTCATCAAGAGGCAGGAAAGAGGTTACTTTATAAGAAGAAACAAAAGCCTACAAAAAGTAAATGTCGTCTAACAGAAGCAAACCTTTCAGCTGTGAGATGTTATTTTTCAAAGTTGAAGAGGTCTGCAAAATCCTGTTTCATACCAGTCAGAGAAGCTGTTTTTGTAAAGGCACATGTGCAGAGAATATCAGCAAGCTTTAAAAATGAGAGGATCGGCCAGGCACGGTAGCTCACGCCTGTAATCCCAGCACTATGGGAGGCCGAGACGGGCGGATCACGAGGTCAGGAGATCGAGACCATCCTGGCTAACATGGTGAAACCCCGTCTCTACTAAAAATACAAAAAAATTAGCCGGGCGTGATGGCGGGCGCCTATAGTCCCAGCTACTTGGGAGGCTGAGGCAGGAGAATGGCGTGAACCCGGAAGGCGGAGCTTGCAGTGAGCTGAGATCGCGCCACTGCACTCCAGCCTGTGCCACAGAGCGAGACTCCGTCTCAAAAAAAAAAAAAAAAAAAAAAAAAAAAAAGATCACCGGAGAAAAAAAGCAATGTCAAGACTCATTATTCTTGAAATCCATCAATTT
The DNA here is from genome assembly GCF_000001405.40 of Homo sapiens. Lineage (NCBI taxonomy): Eukaryota > Metazoa > Chordata > Mammalia > Primates > Hominidae > Homo > Homo sapiens. The sequence goes on along the minus strand of NC_000008.11, from coordinate 24,628,011 downwards.
GCCTGAACTAGTGGAAATTGCTGAAGATAAAAAATAAAACAACCTAAGTAGAATTGATATGGTAGATCATTGTATAATAAAGCAAGTAATTAGAAAACTTACAGATAGAAAACTGATGTTTTCTAGACTCTGACGCAGAGCACCAGGCAGCATGGAGGCGCTAAACATCTATATATTTTTTAACTGGCTGGGAAATTATGGGTTTCTGACATTAATAGCATCAGACCACCTTAGGAAGAATGGTTCTAGCTCTGTCATTCAATAGCTGGATGACCCTGTGCAAATTATCAAGGTTCTCCGAGTCTGTTTCTTTCCCTGTAAAACAAAAAAGTAAAGTTCCTACTTTACAGAGAGATTTTATGGAAAAAAATGAGACCGTATCTGTGTGGATTTTCAGCCCACAGTACTAACGTTTATTAAGTACTCAACAAATATGCTACAAATAATTGTATACACAGAATAACATTAAAAGTTTTCCTCTGTTTCAGAGAAACACACATGAAAGAAAAATTCATTAGATTGGTAATGATTTCAATGATATCACTTACAAAATTTATTTGTTATTTAAGTGACCAAAAGTGGTTTTAGGCTGGGCATGGTGGCTGAATCCTGTAATCCCAGCCCTTTGAGAGGCTTTGAGAGGTCAGAGGATCGCTTGAGTCCAGTAGTTTGAGGCTGCAGGGAGCTATGATTGTGCCACTGCACTCCAGCTTAGGCAACAGAGCAAGATCCTAATTATTTAAAAGGATAAGAAAGGAGGAAAGAAAGGAAGAAAAAGAAAAGAAAGAGAAAGAACCAAGTAAAAATCTGCAATTTTTTGAGAAAGGGCGATATGCTCAAAAGGAATGCCTCTATTTTTGTTATGTACTTTCCTTCCTTCTATCAGACCAAGGCCCCTCGCACTACCCTTCCAAAGGCCTATTAAAATGAGTGGGTGTATCTTTTTAAAAATTTTGAGAAAATTCAGTGGGTGAATAAAAAAGAAAAAAGATGACTATCACCTATTCCCTCAACTATAAAATGGAATTTTACCCATTCCAGCACACATGAGAACAGAAAATGTCATGTCTCTAGTAATGTATTCTGTGTTAGAGAGATGGCTTATGACTCACATTTTATGACACGGAGGAAGTGAATTTAAATAATTCTATACATTGATAGAGTCATAAGATAGAATCTGTTAATACAGAGGGTGTAAAAATTTTCTGTTTTAATTAAATTTGTGTAAATTTTAGTAAATAGATTCAATGTATATATGAGTCTTGTGTTTTCACATGATTAAAATGGGACCTATTAAATATTGATAGGGCTTAGGTTGGTGAAGGAAAATTCTCAGAAGAAACGAACAATTAAAAAAGAAGAAATAGGCTGGATGCTGTGACTCACACCTGTAGTCCCAGTACTTTGGGAGGCCAAGATGGGAGGATTGCCTGAAGCCAGGAGTTCAAGACCAGCCTGGGCAACATGTGACCTTGTCTCTACCAAAAACTAAAAAATTAGTCAGGCATGGTGGTCTGTGCTTGTAATCCCAGCTACTCAGGAGGCTGTGATGAGGAGATCCCTTCAGTCCAGGAGTTCAAAGTTATAGTGAGCTATAATTATGCCACTGCACTCTGGCCTGGGTGACAGAGTGACACCCTGTCTCAAAACCAAAGAAAGAAAAAATAGAACTAACTTTAACTCTGTTTTCTATGTGGGAACAAGAGTAAAACTACTGTGAATTATATTTTTCAGAGCCTTTGATTAAATCAAGTTTTAAAATTATTTTTGCAATTAGTCAAATGTATTGCGAAATATAAGATATTTTCTCTTGGTGTGGAGCGGGGAGAGCCAAAATTGTTTGTAAACCATTGTCTTGGTGAATTGTAGTTAAGTGGTGTCAGTCTTAATTCTGGAAACTAGAGTGATCTTTCAGCATATCTGATGGCCTGTGACACTACAATAGAGGTACAGAGTAAAGCAGAAATACTATATTTAAAGAAACGGCATTTTAATGAGTTCTAATCAGCTTTAGTGCACATTGCTCATGACCGTTGATTAAAAATCATTGATTCAGGCACCTCCACTTTATAATGGAATCCAGCTATGAACCTCTGGTTAATCTTCCCCAATTTCTCAGTAAAATACCCATGGAGGCAAAAATACATGAAACCACAGAAGAACCTATACTTAAGCCTTGCAGATAGCCTACCAGCATCTATAAGGAATTAAGGGGAAGCAAACTGAACCAGGTCAATGAAAACATCTATGCCAAGTAAGAGTATTAAAACTATTTAGAAAAGAGTTGCAGTGTAATACCCATAATCATAATGGTTATAATAGTTGCAATCAATTCCCCTCTGCCATACACACTTAAACATCCCAAATCTGTTACTGCCAGAAAATGGTCCCTCTGTGGTATGGGTGCTGCTTTTCAAAATCCAGGTTATTTTTGTCCTTTCTTTCATAAAGGAAGATATGTATTTGGGGCACCTAGAAAACTTGCATTTAAGGAGGGAATAAAGACTGATAGCATCTTAGGAGATTTAGTTTCTTCAATTAAATCTCTAATGTACTCTATGAATGATATTTGGGAATTCAGCCTTACATATGCAGACTATTCTAGCTTGAAATAATGAGAATCAAGAAGCAAGACTCAGAAGAGGAAATTAGCTGAGAGCTGTGCCTGTCATCCTGTCCCCAGCTGTTAAACTGAAAAGAGAATTTGCCCATTATGCATGGTGGGAGGAGAACAGTGATAAAGGCAATCAATACATCTGCTTCTCTTTATTGGTAAATAAGCAAGCTGAAAAAAAAATCCACTGCTTTTTAGGGTGGGGCAAGATTGGCATGACCATATGTCCTGGTTGATCTTTGAAAGTCTTAATTCACAATTGTTCTAATGTCTCATCTGTTTTCCAATTTATCCTGAATCTTTTTCATGTTTATTGAAGTATTCGTATAAATAGTAATAGAGTAGGTCCACAGTTTGTGCTTTTATCTTTTGCTATGGTCTTGTCTTCTAAAGTGGAAGATTATGCTGTGAAGAAAGTTTTCACTTTAACACATGAGTGTATACATTTTCCAAATTCAATGTAACTAACGTCTTCCTCTTAAACAGCATGTTGAGTATTCCCTGATAAAATACGTGAGGCTGGATTAGAGGAGATAAGGACAACTAATTCCTCTGGTGTGAGTGGTGGTGGGAGAAGAATTAAAGACCTTGACCTTGCTGGCTGCTTGGTGCATCAGCCAGATGGGACATGATGACTACTCTATATTTTGTATTTTTTTATGTGATCATTTGCTAACCTTTCAATTCTCCCATGGCCCAGAATTTATTAAATTTTAGTAAGCATTCTGTCTGAACTTTAAAACAATCTAAATTCTGTCATTATGGGATACGGTAATATGTCCATGATATCAAATTTTAAATTTTGTTGTTTAGATCTTCTATGCTTACTCCCTACTAGGTTTTTGTCTTTTTGTTAGATCAACTATTAAGAGAGTATGTGAATTTGTCTCTTTTATCATTATTTCAGTAATTTTTTTGTGTCATGTATTTTGTTTATTTTTAAATGTTTTATTTCCTTAGGTTTTTGGGGAACAGGTGGTATTTGGTTACATGACTGAGTTCTTTAGTGGTGATTTATGAGATTTTAGTGCACCCATCACCAAAGCAGTATACACTGAACCCAATTTGTAGTCTTTTATCCCTCAACCCCTTCCCACCCTTTCTCCTGAGTCCCCAAAGTCCATTTTATCAATCTTATGCCTTTGCATCCTCATAGCTTAGCTCCCACTTATGAGTGAGAACATACGATGTTTGTTTTCCATTCCTGAGATACTTCACTTAGAATAATAGTCTCTAATTTCATTCGGGCTGTGAACACCATTAATTCATTTCCTTTTATGGCTGAGTAGTATTCCATTGTATATATGTATACACCACAGATTTCTTATCCACTCATTGATTGATGGGCATTTGGGCCGGCTCTATATTTTTGCAGTTGCAAATTGTACTGCTATAAACATGCGTGTGCAAGTATCTTTTTTGTATAATGACTTTTTTTTCCTCTGGGTAGATACTTTTTTTTCCCTCTGGGTAGTGGGATTACTGGATCAAATGGTAATTCTACTTTTAGTTCTTTAAGGAATCTCCACACTGTTTTCCATGTGGTTGTACTAATTTGCATTCCCACCAGCAGTGTAGAAGTGTTCCCTTCTACATATAGATGCCAGCATCTATTATTTTTTGGGTTTTTTTTATAGTCATTCTTGAGGGAGTAAAGCGGTATCACATTGTAGTTTTGATTTGCATTTCCCTGATCATTAGTGATGTTGAGCATTTTTAAATATGTTTGTTGGCCTTTCGTATATCTTCTTTTGAGAATTGCCTATTTACGTCTTTAGCCCACTTTTTGATGGGATTGCTTTTTCTTGCTAATTTGTTTGAGTTCCTTGCAGATTCTAAATATTAGTCCATTGTTGGATGTATAGATTATGAAGATTTTCTTGCATTCTGTGGGTCTGTTTACTCTGCTGACTTTTCCTTATGCTGTGCAGAAGCTCTTTAGTTTAATTAAGTCCTACCTATTTTTGTTTTTGTTGCATCTGCTTTTGGATTCTTGGTCATGAAGTCTTTGCCTAAGCCAATGTCTAGAAGGGTTTTTCTGATGTTATCTTCTAGAATTTTTATAGTTTCAGGTCTTAGATCTAAGTCCTTGATCCATCTTGAGTTGATTTTTGTATAAGGTGAGAGATGAGGATCCAGTTTCATTCTCTCACATGTGGCTTACCAGTTATCCCAACACCATGTGTTGAATAGGGTGTCCTTTCTCCATTTTATGCTTTTGTTTGCTTTGTCAAAAATCAGTTGGCTGTAAGTATTTGGGTTTATTTATGGGTGCTCTATTCTGTCCCATTGGTCTATGTGCCTATTTTTGTACCAGTAGCATGCAGTTTTGGTGACTATGGCCTTATAGTATAGTTTGAAATCATGTAATGCCTCCAGATTTGCTCTTTTAACCAAAAAGACTTTTAACCAAAAAGTCTTGCTTTGGCTATGCAGGCTCTTTTATGGTTCCATGTGAATTTTAGGATTGTTTTTTCTAGTTCTGTGATACATGATGGTGGTTTTTTGATGGGAATTGCACTGAATTTGTAGATTGCTTTTGGCAGTGTGGTCATTTTCACAATATCGATTCTACCTATCCATGAGCATAGAATGTGTTTCCATTTGTTTGTGTCATCTATGATTTCTTTCAGCAGTGTTTTGTAGTTTTTCTTGTAGAGGTCTTTCACCTCCTTGATTAGGTATATTCCTAAGTATTTCTTTTTTTTTTTGCAGCTATTGTAAAAAGGTTGAATTCTTGATTTGATTCTCAGCGTGGTTGCTGTTAGTGTGTAGCAGAGCTACTGGTTTATGTACATTAATTTCATATCCTGAAGCTTTGCTGAATTCATTTATCAGTTCTAGGAACTTTCTGGAGGAGACTTTAGGGCTTTCTAGGTAAACAATCATATTGTCAGCAAACAGTGACACTTTGACTTCCTTTTTACTGATTTGGATGCCCTTTATTTCTTTCTCTTGGCTGATTGCTCTGGCTAGGACTTCCAGTACTATGTTGAATAGAAGTGGTGAGAGTGGGCATCCTTGTCTTGTTCCAGTCCTCAGAGGGAATGCTTTCAACTTTTCCCCATTCGGTATTATGTTGGTTGTGAGTTTGTCATAGATGGCTTTTACTACATTGAGGTATGTCCCTTGTATGCCAATTTTGGTGAGGTTTTTAATCATGAAGCGATGCTAGATTTTGTCAAATGCTTTTTCTGCATCTATTGAGATTATCATGTGATTTTTGTTTTTAATTCTGTTTTTGTGGTGTATCACATTTATTGGCTTGCATATGTTGAACCATCCCTGCATCCTGGTATGAAACTCGCTTGATCATGGTGGATTATATTTTGGTATGTTGTTGGATTTTGTTAGGTAGTATTTTGTTAAGGATTTTTGCATCTATGTTAATCAGGGATATTGGTCTGTAGTTTCCTTTTTTTGTTATGTCCTTCTTGGTTTTCGTATTAGGGTGATACTGGCTTCATAGAATGATTTAGGGAGAATTCCCTCTTTCTCTATCTTGTGGAATAGTGTCAATAGGATTGGTACCAATTCTTCTTTGAATGTCTGATAGAATTCAGCTACCGAATCCATCTGGTCCTGGACTTTTTTTGTTGGTAATTTTTTTATTACAATTCCAATCTCACCGCTTCTTATTGGTCTGTTCAGGGTTTCCAATTCTTCCTCATTTAAGCTAGGGAGGGATGTATCTTTCCAGGAATTTATCCATCTCCTCTAGGTTTTCTAGTTTATGCATGTAAAGGTGTTCACAGTAGCTTTGAATGATCTTTGTATTTCTGTGGTGTCAGTTGTAATATCTCCCATTTCATTCCAATTCAGTTTATTCGGATCTTCTCTCTTCTTTGCTTGGGTAATGTTGCTAATGGTCTATCAATTGTATTTATCTTTTCAAATAACCATTTTTAAAGGGCTGGTTCCTTATGGAAATTCAGAGGAAACAATCCATTTCTTTACCATTTCTAGAGACCATCTTGTGTTCCTTGCCTAGTGACCACTTCCAACTTCTTGATTCTGTTGTCACATCTCTTGCTGGTAATGCTAATCCTCCTGCCTTTCTTGTATAAGGATTCCTCCTGATTCCATTGGGTCTGCCTTAATAATCCATGATAACCTTCCTATCTCAGGATCCTGAACTTAATCATATCCATTGTTATCTTTTACCATATAAGGCAACAACATATTTAACAATTCTGAGATTAGGATGTATGCATCTTTGGATGGACATTATTCAGCTTATTGCAGGCTTTGTATTGGTTTTGTATTTGTGTTCTTTGATATTTAGATAGGATGAGGATAATTCTATTTTGGTATTGTGTTCTAAGAGACAGCCCCTTCTTACGCACTTTTCAAATACTTTCTCAGATCTCAAATTGAAGGACTTGTTGATTTGTATTTATGTCACTGTTTCTTTGATCCCAAAATTCTGAGACTAGTGATGAGGCACTTAATTTCAGTTAAAGCATGAGGGACTTTTAGTTTCCATACCACGTTGTTGCAGAAATCTATCACTAGGGGCAAGCTTTCTGAAGCTAATTTTCTGTTCGGTGCTATCTCTGCATAGGAAAGCTCCTCCAGCTTTTTTCCTTTTACTACTGTCAAAATGCAAAGTCCATGCCTCTGAAGGTGATAAACACTGTGAAGATGACGATGATGATGACGATGACGACAACGACAATTATTATAGTGGCTACCACATACTGTGTGTTGATTTAAAACTATGCACCTTGATTAACACTTTGCCTATATGGTTTCATTTCTTCCTTTCCACAAACCTGTGAAATCAGTATCTTTATTATCATTTCTATCTTTGAGAAAATGAAAGGCACAAAAATAATACTTACCTAGCTTCAGGTCACATAGCAAAAACGCATTTTTGTGTGTTACCATGGTACAACTATCTTCTTGTAGAAATAAGGGTCCGTTTTCATATTTTGCTGTAGCAAACCTCTCCCTGGGGTCTCCTAGCACAGTTGGGTCAGAATATTCTGCTATATATTAGTATCTTACCTTTGCCCTTGCAATTTGGGATTTGTTTTCTGTGTTCTGCTAGTATGTCTTTTGTGAATGTATTTGGAATTATAATACTTTTCTGAGGGGAGCAGTTGTGAGTTGGCCCTTGGTGTGTCTCTACTTAGCATATTCCTATTTATACTGAATTTAGGAGAAAACACCTTTATGTCTTAGAGTATGTGGACAGCATGTTTTAGTTTCCAGTGCTGATACATATTTTCTCCTAATATTTTTTATCCTCTGATCATTTCAATATATCTTTAAAAGAGAGACTGAGATGTTTTTATTCTAGATGCCATCATTTTAGGAAGTCCCTTTTTTTGAGATGGACTTTCACTCTTGTTGCTCAGGCTGGAATGCAATGGTGTAATCTCAGCACACTGCAAACTCCGCCTCCCGAGTTCAAGCGATTCTCCTACCTCAGCCTGCTGAGTAGCTGGGATTACAGGCATGCACCACCATGCCCAGCTAATTTTTTGTATTTTTAGTAGAGACAGGGTTTCTCCATGGTGTTCAGGCTGGTCTCAAGCTCCTGACCTCAGGTGATCCGCCCGCTTCCGCCTCCCAAAGTGTTGGGATTACAGGTGTGAGCCACCAGGGCCGGCCAGGAAGTCCCCTTAAGTTTCTGTTATAAAAGTTTTTTTAGGTATCTTAGTGAACTGCTGACCATCTCTGTCATTATTTCAAACTCTCAAACCCATGATGGTGTATTGTTTAGAATCAGCTTAAATCTTTCTTTTTATTTGGATTTACAGGTATCTAATTTTAATTTGATTTGACATATTAGTTTGTAAGATATTTTTAAAAGATGTTTTAAAGAGTAGTTTTAGGTTAGCAGAAAAATTGAGCAGAAGGTACAGAGAGTTTTCATCTACTCCTGCCCCTACACAGGCACAGCCTCCCCACCATGAACATTCCCCACCAGAGTGGTGCATTTGTGACAATTGATGACCTATACTGACACATCGTCACATAAAGACCATTGCTTATATTTGGGTTTACTCTGGGTATTGTACATTCTATGGATTTGGACAAATGGATAAGACATATACTCACCATTACAGTATCACGCAGAATAGATTCAGTACCCTAAAAATCTTCTGTGCTATGTCTATTCATCCGTCTCTCTCTACCAACCCCTGGCAACCACTGATCTTTTTATTAGCTCTATGGTTTTTACCTTTTCCAGAGTATCACCCAGTTAGAAGTAAAAGATTTTCAACCAAATAAGCAAAACACTTTCTTTGCTGGGCTACTAATTGTGATCTTCTCAGTCTGCTTTTCAAAAAAAATTAAAAAAAAAAACAAGATAATTTAAATAGGCAAATGGATTTTCTATTTATACTTTAGTATTTAAGAAAGATCAAGGATATCCTGTGCATTATTAAGGAAGATACTTAAAATCCCTAGACTTTAGCCTCAGCTCTGTTATGATCGGGTTGTGTGGCATTAACTTCCCTTTTTTTTAATACAATGACATTGAATCAGATAATCTCTTCCTCCTTTAAATTGGCCTAATTTTTAGTAGCAAGAGATTTATATTTAATCTCTTGCTACTAAAAAGAGATTTTGCATCGAGCACATGGAAATAAATTAAACAGTGTTTCTGCTTGGGACAATAGAAAGCAAAAGATAATAGTGTGAGGACTAATATTAGTGTTTAAACAGGTATTTTATAACCCAACATTTCATGTAAATGTCATAGAATTTGGTCATGGAGGAAACCTCCACTCTGAAAGCTCATGACCTTTCAAGGATAAGACAGAAAAAAAAAAGTGGCATTGAGACAAACACGATTCGTTAGCACTTCTCAAGTTCTTATTAACACAGGTTTTCATTTTCACTAAAAGCCCTTGAAATCTTTGCAGCAGAAGATATTTGATTCGTCATAAAAGCATTTCACAACACACACAGCTGATATAAGGGGACAGAGCGTCTAGGTGGAATTAAACCCAGGTCGGAAAGCTGAAATTTGTCGTCAGCTGTTCTCGAAGCTTAACACATTATAAATTTATGCATTGCATATGGCAAGTGAGGGTGAAATGCAGACTTGAGCAAGCCAGACTTTCTGCACATAAGCATATTTTTTCTTGCAGAAAAGAGAAAAATATCAAGGAATAGCATAAAAAAAGGTTTTATTGGTGAGCAAAAACATTTTTGTGGTCATTTAAAAATTAATTTCTGTGATGGAAAGGACAATTAAACATACTATACATTTTGTATTTTTATTATTTATTTATTTATTTATTAGTAATTACAGTTTTCTTTGTATTCAATCCATAAAATCTTCTGAGGGCCAATCTGGTGATTTCATGAGTCAGGTAAAAAGAAAGATGTGCTTGAATATATTTAAATCTCTACCAAAATCAAAGCATGTAAGGCCTGAATCTGGAAATGATTTTTAAAAAAATCTGTGCTAGTTTAGACAAAGATATGCAAAGGAGAAAAATAGATCTTTGGACTGAAAATAACGTGTGGGTCAAGAAAAAGATATTTGTCATCAGTGCCTTGTGTTAATGAAAATGAGTAGTGGAGAGCTCCGGAGGGCATTCGATACCTTGAGGTCTTGCTGAGAATGCAGCTGCTGGCTCTATATATAGACTTAATTCTGTTGCTGAGGGAATAAAAGCATACATACCCTAGTAATGAGATTACTGGGACAGCTCCCAAATTGAGACAGCTGAGCCAAATCAATAGATGCATTTTTCTTCCCCCTAAATTTGCCGAGCCCATTAGAAAGGCCAATATACTTCATGGTTAGACCTCTGCAGTTTAGAGACTGCGTGTCAAGCTCCCCCTAGCATTTTGAAAATTAAACATTTAAGTGCAACTATCATTCTGAGATATAAACACATCATCAAAATGACAATTTCCCTGAGATAAGTACTCCTACTTCTCCTTTAAAAATCCCCTTGTACAATTTGGGCGTGTAAATTGTACATAGTTTTTTGACCAGTATTCTGGGAAGTGTACCATATGGTATATTGGGAAGTGTAGGGACTTTAAGGCACACAGATTGGAAGTTAAAATCCAAGCCACTACATGTCTTAGCTGTGTGTACTCAACTGTGTATACTCAACTACAGATTAAAACAAATGTATAACCTTTCCCTCTGTGTAAAACTAGAAAATTGGATGAGACAAAATCTAGAAGTCATTTTAAGGAAATCATTAATGATGTGGATAAATATTCAGCTACAATGATATTCCTTGCAGCATTGTGTTTATAATTAAAAATAAATTTAATAGAGGATGTCTTAAATAAACTACATATTTAAACAAAGCATTATTATTTAACTACTTACATGATAATTTTAAATCATATTTTATGTAATGGAAAGAGGCCCAAAATGTATTATTTAGTCAAAAAAAGAATTACCTAACATGTATGTTTTTTAGATATGACACCATTGTGTGTATGGTTTGTATATACACAAAACTTACACATTTATATACATTGACACATCATATTATACATAGAAAAGGACATCTACTAATTTGTAGACAGCAGTCAGTAGTGTGGTTATGGATGAGTATTGATTCTCCTTGTTGCTTTTCTGTCTTAATAAGCTCTCTAAAATAAACATAATATTCATTTTATAAAGAATATAATTAATACTTCATGAAATAAGAAAGACTGAGACTCTCTTCAATGATACAAAGGAATATCATAGCACATAAACTGATGAGTATCACCACCTACTTATACAGAAATTCAATCTGCTTGCAGCGAGAAATCCCAAAGCACATATTGTGAAGCCCAGTAAGTGAGAGCAGCAGAATGAGAAGACAGCAGTCCCAAACTGGGTCCCATGGAGGAGACACACCGTTAGTAAAACCTCCCCACAATTCATAGACTCTTTGGAAAGTCTGCCAAGCCACAGAGAGGGATGGGCAATTTTGTCGTAACAGACGAAGGTGGTACCTCTGTCCTGGAGCAATATTCCACTCATAACCTCATCTCCTGTGGGCAGGCAGTAGGGTCAAATGGCTAAATACAAGGTCTGACACCACATAGGTCTGCTTTTAAGTCCTCACTTTGCTTCACTATTAACTGTGAACCTGTGACCTTGGCCAGCTTTGCCTCCCTGAAACTAGTTTCTTCATCTCTTAAAGGGGCGTAATAAGAATGATCATTATCTTAATTACAGTTAATATTTATTTCACGCTTACTAGATCCTAAGTTTTGCTAGTAACATCTCCCTGGAGGTTCAGGGAGACTTGTCTGTAAAGTAATTAGCACAGTGACAAAGCACTTAACACATGCCCAGCAAATGCTAGTTCTCAATACAGCTACAAGCAGAGAAATGGTAATTATGCATTCACTTCGCAAGCTACTATTTGTATCTACAATTTGCAAAGTTCTATATTATAAAACAGGGAGGGGTCGAAAGATGAATAAGATACTTTCTCTTCTCCCAAGGAATCTACAGTTCTGTGGGGGAGCAGGTTTAGGAGGAAATGCAGAGGAAGGTCTTGATATGTAAATAGCCAACCTCATAAGACTAAAATGAACCAAGTCTGCTGGTTTTGAATTCCATGCTAAGGACTTTTCAGTGGTATCATTCTTCCTGGGGTCTGGGGACAGATGGCTATCTAGACTTACCAGCCCTATGTACATATTAACAAAAAAGCAAATATTCAACTTCTATTTTGAAGTTTATCATGGAGTTGAAATATTTCGTTTGACACAGCTGTCTGACAGTAAACAAAAACAAAACCCAAAAAAGTTGTCCAATGTAAAAAAGTTATTCTATTGTTTTGTTCTCTTTAAGAGATGTTGTGGATTTTTAAAAATCACGTTTTTTAAAAAAAGCACTTTCTTATTTCAAACATGAAAAGAGTCTATAAGTAATTTGATATTTGAAGATTAAAAAGTCACATGACCTTATTTTAATTGTTCTCTTATCCTTTTCAAGCTATATTTCCAGTCATTTGAGACTTTCAGCAGCCTTGTGAGGTAGCAAAAAGCAGTGTTATTAGCCTAATTTTATTGATGATGCAAATGAGATATTCGAAGGTCAAATAACTTTATTCAAGGTCATGTAATGTGGCAAACTTGAGCTCAGGATCCAAGCCGCTTGATTGTCAGCCTTAAAGTGTTTTATCTCCACTGTATTCAAACATATTGTAAGACAATTTTTTTTCTTTTTTTTGACACGGAGTTTCGCTCTTGTTGCCCAGGTTGGAGTGCAATGGCACGATCTCAGCTCACTGCAGCCTCTGCCTCCCAGGTTCAAGCGATTCTCCTGCCTCAGCCTCCTGAGTAGCTGGGATTACAGGCACCCGCCCCCATGCCCGGCTAATTTTTTTTTGTAGGGGTTTCGCCATGTTGGCCAGGCTGGTCTTGAACTCCTGGCCTGAGAGAGTGATTCACCCACCTCGGCCTCCCAAAGTGCTGGGATTACAGGCGTGAGCCACTATGCCCGGCCTGTAAGACGCTTTATATTTATGATTTACATAATTTTTATATTTGAAGAGACAGCATTGAAAGAGTACCTTCAATTTTTAGGCTGGCTCAGAGAAGTTTTGTGAAAAAGACTTTTTGATACTTCACAAGCCTGCACTGCAGTTCACGCGTTACAGTGATTGCCTGCTGGACTCCACACATTGCCAGATCATTCGTCTCCAGAGGTATCCTGCAATGCACAGAGAGGAATTTAAATCCTCCACAGTCTTGTTGGACCACAGATGCAGAACCGGAGGCTCAAAAGAGCCCTACTTTCTATAATGTACTAAAGCACTCTGATAGCACGTTTTAGACTGATGCTATAGTTACTTGGTATTTACTGAAATGTTCTTTCTTTTTTAACACTGATGAGTATGGCCTGCAAATAAAACTAAAGCTGCTTTTCAAAAGGAGGGTGCAAATCACATGTTAAAGTACTTTCATAGTTAATAATGAATAAATCTGTGGGACTTTTAATATCTCCATTTGAATCTAGGGAAACTGAGGTATTATTTCTTAAATATTTTCCATGTGGGGAGAAGATGTAGTTTTCAGCTGTAGGATTTAATATATCCACACAACTAAGAAAAAGAAATTATAAGTTTTTCCATTCTTTAAACTTCTACCAATTCTAGAAAGTTAAATAATTTATCCCAGAGGAAGACTGTTAATAAACCCAAGAAATCTCATATAATCTAATGCTAATTTTTTTTATGATTTAACATAACCAAAATTACTACTTTATTAAATTTGAAATTAGTCTTTCTATGGTGATTAATAATAGAGTGGGTTTGTATATATTTTCTTCATTCAAAAATAATAAACATGTTAAGATTTAATTTAAAAATGCCATCTACATATACTTAAGAAAAATTATATGTGCAAAAAAGACATCAAGAATAAAACAAACACTTTTAATCATACAACAAAAAAAGACAACTACTGTAAACATTTTTGGTGTATTTCAACTTGCAACTGAGTCTCTTTTTTGCTATCAGATCTTTTTATATATTTAAATCCTATATCTGTCTACATGTGTTATGTAAAATTCATATTATAATCAAGTCAGAGATTATATTGTATATGCTGTATTATATGCTGTCTTTTTTTTTTTTTTTTTTTTGAGACAGAGTCTTGCTCTGTCACCTAGGCTGGAGTGTAGTGGTGTGATCTCGGCTCATTGCAACCTCAGCCTCCCAGGTTCAAATGATTCTCCTGCCTCAGCCTCCTGAACAGCACATACCATCACTCCTGGCTAATTTTTGTATTTTTAGTAGAGACGGGTTTCATCCTGTTGGCCCGACTGGTCTTGATCTCCAGATCTCAGGTGATCCTTCCGCCTCAGCCTCCCAAAGTGCTGGGATTACAAGTGTGAGCCACCGCGACTGGCCTATATGCTGGTTTTATTCTTGGCATAGAGTTTCTCCAATTTTTCTTCTCAAATTTGTGTTGCTAATGACAATCAAAGGGAGATAAATAATCTTGGAGGTCTTGGTATAAAAGACTAACCAGGGCTGCCAAAAACAGACAGTTGTTTCAAATTGTCTTTTTTTTCTCTTTCATGTGAATTTTGCATTGCAATCCATATTATATTCGGGTTAGTTGTTTTATTTCCCCATAGATATATTTTAATAAAATTGACAGTCTATGGAGATGAGCTATATTTATCCCATGGCCCATGCACCATCTCATACAGTGTCACATGTAAACACAGGCATCCCCTTTAAAGAAGTGTAGACACCCACATACAGAGTGCCGTTTTAAGTGTGATGCATGAATGAATCAACAAATGCAGTATAACTAAATAATGAATGATATAATTATTTTCAATTATTTTAATTAACAAAATTGTATATATTTATGAAGTAAAACATGATGTTTTAAAATACGCATATATTGTGGAATCACTAAATCGAGCTAATTAATATATGTATTGCTCCACATACCTGTCATTTTTTGTGACAAGAACACTCAAAATCTATTCTCTTGGCATTTTTCAATATATAATACATTGTTATTAACTATAGTCATCATGTTGTACAATAGATCTCTTCAACTTATTTCTCTAAGTGAAATTTTGAATCCTTTGACCAACATCTTCCCAACACAACACTCACCACTGCCCCTGCCCTACCAACCCAAATCCATGGTAACCACCATTCTATAAGTCTCAGTATTGTGATCCCTTAAAGATGTGCTGTCCTGGGTAAGTACTCCTCCCCCTTTTTTGGTGCCTCAGTTTTCTTCTTTTTAAACTTAGGGAGAAGAATTATAAAATCCATTAATTTTAATTTTAATTATAATGCCACTCCTCAGTTTTTAATATTTCTTACATTCCTCTTAGAGAAACACTAGAAATATTTCCTTCATGCAATTATTTTTTTAAAAAAGAGTAAGCAGACATCCCAAATCCCAGAATACCACAGGCATTGAAAAATGTTGGCTGTCCTTTGCAGATAAAAGACTGATTGCATTTTGACCTGAATTGTGTTAGAACAGCATCTTATCATTGATATCTTGTTTTGATTGATATCAGGCCGCTGTTGTCATTGGCACATGGTATTGTCCCTTGACTGAAAGAAAATCTCATGGCTGTCTAATTTAAAACATTCAAACAGGAAGGAATTGTGGTTTCCACCATGGATGGTCAATAGGTCAGGATGGGTTTGGGGCTGTGTCTTCTGATGATTATTACCATGGTTACTAGAGGTTTGCAGGACACATGTAATGGAAAGCCAAGTGCTGCCTGCTGTGGAGCAGCCGGGATGCTCTGACAAGGGCATGACCTAAGGATGGAAATGGAGCCTACAGTGATTAGCCACTATTGAAACAAGGAATTGCCTATCAGGCTGCAGAAACAAATGCCTTCCCCTAGAGTTCCCCAAGGATCGATTCATCAAAGGAAGCAAGACAGGTCACCCAGAGTGAGATCAGCAACTAGAGAGTCTGCTGCAGTTAATTGATACTAAAAGCAATTAAAAAAAACTGCTTTGTAATTTTTAAAAATCTATCATAGAAATTATATTTGCTTCTAACCATTGAATCGTGAATTCTCATCAAGCTCAGTGTGTTAATCTTCTCTATGATACCCCTGATAGAATGCCCAGTGAGAAATTTCAGAGTTATCCTTGAGATTTTATCCATTCTATTTCTAAATACATGGACTTATAATTCTGTACTTCCCACAGTACTATGTGCTTTGCATGTGTTATATTATTTTGTCTTTATAACTGCCTTATGCAGTAGGTGTTACTAGTTTCAGATGAGTCACACAGGTAGTAGATAGAGAAACCAGTATTTCAATCTTGATCTCTGACTTTATACTGATGTAATAGAGTACCACAGTATATATCCTTTTCTCATTGCAATCAATGAATGAATCCCATTACTTCTACCTCCTTAATATTTCTTGGTCCATTCACTTCTCTTCTTTCCTATAGCCATTGTTTAAGTACAGTCCTTCATTGGTCCTACTGGAGTACAGCAAAAGTCTCCTAAAGGCATGCATATCCACAGATTACCCTCTCATTGGGGTGATCTTTACAAATACAAAAATTATAAATCTGGTCAAGTTATTCTTTGCTTAAAATTCTTCAACCCAAGCCCATTACATATATTATGAAATAATACAGTCCAAAGATCTTAGCCTAGAGCAACCATATTATTATTATTTTTTGAGGCGAAGTCTCACCCAAGCCTGAGTGTGTAGTGGTGCAATCTCTGCCCACTGCAATCTCCGCCTACCGGGTTCAAGCAATTCTCCTGCCTCAGCTTCCTGAGTAGATGGGACTACAGGCATGTACCACCACAACCAGCTAATTTTTGTATTTTTAGTACAGATGAGGGTTTTACCATGTTGGCCAGGCTGGTCTCGAACTCCTGACCTCAAGCGATCTGCCTGCCTCGGCTTCCCAAAGTGCTGGGATTAAACAATATTGGTTAGGGTCTAACTGCAACTTTTCTTTGTTGCCTCATATCACCTGAGTATAGCACACTCTTAGATATTTTGAAGTCTATGCTTAAGTGATTATGAAACAGTAAATAACACTAAGATGTTATTGCTTATTAGGGTGGGGTGAAGAGAGCATAGTTTATAGTGTAACATAGGAAGAAAACACTGAGGGATTTTTGTGTCTTTGTTGTTGCTCTTGTTTGTTCACTTGTTTAAAATTAAACGGAATTTTTGAATCATCACAGCACACTCTGCTGAATTCCTGCCAGATGCCAAGAGTGGCTATAAAGCCCACCCACTGCAGCACCAGCAGTCAGAAGCTGCCTGCACATTAGAAGGCAGCTGAGGCAAGCACTTTTGCAGAGCACATATTGGAAAGATGCACAGTGGTGAATCTTCTTAAGTTCAGGAATAGCAGGACTGAGCTGAAGCATCCAAGAACAAACAGATAAATGCACAGAAATCAAGTTAATTATGTCTGTAGTTTAGATCTTGATACTTAAGCATTTGTAGATAATGGAAATGTTTTATTATTGTTAAATAAGGATTTATATGAGACAGTGTGGGCTTTCACTACAGCTGATCAAGAATAAGTTTATTTAAAGTCATTCTTTTGTTTCTGAGAATCGGAATTTTTTTTAAAGAGCGTTTAGAGGACCAATTGGCCATGAACATCAAGAGTGGCCTATCAGGAAATGTTAATTATAGCATTGCACATTCAATGCAGATGAATATACAATTGTGGTCTGTTGTGCACACATATTTTGGTAAATGTTTATATACTACTAGTTTCTGTAAGTTATAATGTGGGTCTAATAGTTAGCATGAAATTATTTTTATTGTATTTATTCCAAATTAAAGTAACTCATAGGATCTTTCAGTATTGCTAAGGAAATGTAACAATATAGTGCTAATTTACAGACCACACAATATTCTGGAAATTGTGGTTGACAGACTAAGTAAGTAGAAGCCCCCTATCCACTCCATGGCATGTATCATTTTATTTTACTTTTTAACAGAATTGTGTATTAGCTTGCTAGGGCTGCCATAACAAAGTGTCACCAACTGGGCAGCTTAAACCATAGGAAATTATTTTCTCACAGTTCTGGAGGCTGGGAGTCTGAGATCAAGATATTGGAAACATTGGTACCTTCCAAGGTCTGTGAGGAAAAATCTGTTACAAGCTTCTCTCTTGGGCCTGAAAATGACCATCTTCTCCCTGTATCTTCACATAGTGCATGTCTGTCTTTGTGTCTAAATTTCCCCTTTTTATAAGGACACCAGTCATATTATTATAGATGAGGGTCCATGCTAATGAGCTTATTTTAACCTGATTGCCTCTGTAAAGACATTATCTCCAAATAAGGTCACATTTTGAAGTGCAAGTGGTAGTAACTCTAACATAAATAACAAATATTTATGTATATATATATATATATATATATATATTTTTTTTTTTTTTTGTAAGGGCACCATTCAACTCATAACAGAATACAACCTGAGCAAAGAGACTGAACAATTATTCCTACTCTCATTGCATCTGTACACCGATTCTTTCTACCTGCAATCCTCTCCCTCTCATCCTTGCCTAGCAGATTCCTACTGAATTTTACAAAACTCAGATTAAATGTCTTTCTTAGGAGAAACTTCCTCTTGGCTCCCAAGACAGAGTTGGTTGATCTTTCTTCTGTGCTCTTATAAGATTTTTTTAAAACAAATATCATGATCTTAGCACACTTTTTTTATTCTTCTATTACTTGTCTGCTCCATGAGGGTGTTGGCCCTCTCAGAACAAGGATAAAAACCTAAGCGCAGAGCCTGGGACACAGCACAAGTGCTCCAAGTGTCTGAAGAGTTAATGCCCTAAAGTCAGCAACAGGGAAGTCACATCTGCTTGGATCAGCCCAGTCCCTTAGTTAGAAATCTTTTATTCCTATCAGAGCAAACAAAACAAAAATTCCACCTGTATTACACATTTTCTCCCCACATTTCTGCTCATGCCTAAGCATAAGAATAACCTGAGGCATTGACTGGGTGCGGTGGCTCACGCCTGTAATCCCAACATTTTGGGAGCCCGAGGTGGGTGGATCACGAGGTCCAGAGATCCAGACCATCCTGGCCAACATGGTGAAACCCCATCTCTACTACTAAAAATACAAAAATTAGCTGAGCATGGTAGTGGGCACCTGTAATCCCAACTACTCAGAGGCTGAGTCAGGAGAATCGCTTGAACCCAGGAGGTGGAGGTTGCAGTGAGCCATCTCAAATAAATGAATGAATGAATGGACGAAGGAATGAAGGAATGAATGAATGAATGAATGAAAAGTAACCTGAGGCATTCACTAAGAATATATCTTCCTACATTCTTCCCCTGGAATTCTGTCATAATAGGTCTAGGTGAGTCCAAGAATATTATTTTTCCCAAACCACCATTGTTTTTGTTTTAATTCAACTGTCTAGAATTGCACAGAATTTGTCTAGTCATTTTCTACATGGAACCCTATGCTTATATTTCCACTGCTCCCACAGAGAATGGGTTGATGGACAGGTTGATTCCCCTTGCTCCAATCCACCATCAGGTAAACAACAGCTATATGGATGACCTAGCCCACATACTAGCCTTTAACTTCCATGACTTCCTCAGTTCTAATAACTTCATCTAACTTGAGCTACCCATACACAGAGCCACGGATCAACTGAAATTAATTGCTCCATTTCTGATCTTTTAAACATCACATTCTATGGAGGATGGCAATCTCTCATTCCATCACTAGTCATTTCATTGCTCTGTTTTTGTTTGTTTGTTTTTGTATTTGTTGTTGTTTTCTCATAATACCTCCAGTGTCTGGTGTATATACTTTTCATTTTTCCTTTGTCTCCTGGATCTTCTGGCCCTTCCCTTCTCTTCTCTCCCCTCCCCTTCCATTCCATTTTTTCTTCTTTCTTCCCCATTTCTTCCCTTTCCTCTTTGTTTTTTCTCTTCCTCCTCCCCCTCCCCTTCTCCTTTTCCTCCTCCTCCTTGTCCTCCTACTTTTCGTACTTACATGACAATATCTCAACCCTGGATCAATCCAAAAGTATGACTTCACATTTTCACCTAGGTTGCCAAATGCTATGAGGAAAATAGAACAAAATCCCACCAGATGCAAACTGATTTTACTACAGGTTTAAATTTCTACCCTGTGCTGAAACTCTAATACTTTGGAAAATTATCAAATATTTTCCAGAAACATTTGCTTTCCTCCTCAGTGGCAGTCATTTCAAACCTTTTCCCCTTTCTCTAAAACTACTCTTGTATTTAAAAAGTGGGGAAATAAGCAATTTACAGAGCTAATCTTGTAATTTCTATGTATTTCTTTTCTAGTGCTTCTCTCAGATTTTGGTTTCGAAACTATGATGGAATCCTGAAATAAGTGAGGAAACAAACTTTCTTTTTTGTCTAGTCTCTAGAAGCATTTTTAAAGATTGACATTATAGTCTTTTTTTAACACTTTTTCTTTAAATGTGGGCTTGGAGATTTTTGTGTGGGGAAGTTTTTAATTACAATGTCTTTGCTAGATATAGGATTACTCAGATCTTTTTTAGTCTTGTTTTAGTTTTGATAACTTGTGTTTTTACAGGAATTTGTGTCTTTCAACAGTTTTTTAAAATTACTGTCTTAAAGTTGTTTAATTAAAGTTTTAATTTCTTTAGGATCTATTTGTGTAGCAACTTTCTCTGTCAAATCTGATACTGGTAACTTGTATCTTCTCTCTTTCTTTGTGATCAGTCTTGCTAAAGATCTTTCAATTTTTTTAGACTTTTTAATGAACTATCTTTTGGCTTTTGATTCTTTTTTTTGCACTTTGGAAAATTATAGGGCTGATCACTCTCATAAAAGCAAGATTAATTCTAGCAATATATAAAAAGATTAATATATAATGAAAGTCAGTGTACTTTTCTACATTAATACAAAGCAGAGAACAATATCAGAGTTATATCAGTAGATGTCAAGACATTTTGTGATAATTTTGGCAAACTAGACATGAAAATAAACCTGCTTAAAGTAATAGAGAATCTGTAAAGCCAAAGTAAACAACCAAACAAATTTCTGTAATGAACAAATTCTGAATTCACAATTCGTGTGAATTTAAAATTCATCCTGAATTTGGAAATGAGTAAAGACGTCTAGTTCTACTTCTATTCAACATGGTATAGAGATCCTACTTATTGTTATAAAGTAAGAAAAAAAAGCAAAAGTTATAAGGCTTAAACAGTAAGATATAAAACTCTATTTACTGGTGATATGATTGGATGTAGAATGAATCTACATGTAAAACATTTGAATACATCAGTGAATTAAGGTTGCAAGATAGAAGCCAACATAAGATTTTTAAAAACTACATATAAATAACAAATAAAAATGACATAAAAAGTTATAATTTGTAACTGATAATGGTTTCAAAACTATCAAATATCTACAAGTAAGTCCAATGAAAGTATCTATACATTTGGAAACTCTAAAATGTTACTGATTTGTTTAAAGTCCAAAAACAGTGGGCAATAACCATTTCCATGGATTAGAATATTGTAGATGTCACAAAGATGTTTACTCTTCCAAAATTGTTCTATAAAATAAATGTAATCCAAATTAAAATACCAATAGCAATATTGACAAAATGATTATAAAATTTATTTGTGCATTCAATGGACAAGAATAACCAAAGAAAGTTTGAAAAATAACACCTGGGCGGGATTACATTCAAGATTCAAGACTTATTATAAAACTTCTTTAAGTAAGGCAGTGTGGGCTTGGCACAAATAGATCTTAGGCCAGTGGAATAGAGTAGAATGGCCTAGAAATAGACATGTACATAAATGTGTTTATAAAATATCACCTAAAGTTGTTCATCAATCCATTCTGCTTTTAGTAAAGTACAACAGCTTTATCACACCATCCAGTCACGTTTAAATATAATTTGTAGGCCAAGATGTTTAAATTTATTTCTCGGAATTTTAGTTTCTCAAATTGTGCAATTCTAACAATAAAACATAATCTTTGAGTATTTTTCAAAATATTTGCTTAATAATATTTATTTAAAAATATTCATAACTTAGGGCTTGATTCATCAATATCCTAGTAAATTTCTGTATAGTTAATAGTAATAATTCATTGGGGACAAGCTATTCTGACTCTGCACCATCCATTATATCATCTTTTCAGATAACATTTACAGATGTGTTAACATGTTTAAACTGGGTGAGTAATTAAATATATTCCAGATAATCATTAGGTGGATAGTTTTTCTCCATTAATGACTTGCAGAGAAGTAGATAATCTACAGAATCATATTCAGCAAGCACAAGTAATTATTATGTTAATATTTGCCTAAATGAAGCTAAGTCTGAATCTATTAAAGATTAGAATGTGTATATTAATTTTCTTATTCACTGATTTTACCCCCCTCACATGCTTTTTTAAAAAACTTAACACCTCAGTAATGTTAGGTGGGGCACCTCCTTTCTGCCATTTGTTTTCTGAAAGTAAAAAATATACAAACTAAATAAATTTTGTGGAATTTTTAATTTTTTTAATATGATTGCCCTTGTCTGCTGAAAAAGAAAGACCAGCATGCTATTTTCTCAAACCCTTTAATCACCAGAGAGGGTAGTTTAGTTTTGGGTGCCCTGTCATAATCTAGGGAAGATAACATATTTATTTTGCTAAACTTATCAGCTAGAAAGAGTTTTGAGACCACAAGGTGAAACATCTGTATGCGACGTCAATATTTTACACAGTTGGTGTTAGATGTAGGAATAGCATCACTACCATTGACACATAAATTGTACCATGCCTGGTTTTCTCTTTCTATTTTGAGACAGGATTCAAACATTGGTACATCTAAATCATCAGGACTCTGCAGTAGAACTCTCCACACTGCAAGTTACATATTATAAGAGAGTGAATATTTTAAAGCTGTAAGTAGGTAATTACTGAATTTATCAAACAAAGATTTGGCAGTCCTTATGACTGAAGCACCTTTTCCAAATCAAGGTTTCTATTTATATGTCTATTTTATTTAAACTAGAAAGATTATTATACCAACATGTTCACTAAGAGATTTTGAAATTTTTGATCCTGATACAAATAGACTATTGCTGCAAAGTGAATTCTATGCCTGGTGGGAAATATAATTAAAAAAAAATATTTTCTGGGTTGATTCCAAGACACTAGGACATCCTTTTTGCCTTTTATTAGCTCCTGTTTCTTCTTCCCCTCTCATCCTCTCCCCACCGCAACCCCCTTCGCGGGACACTTGATTGCTGGGATGGAAAAACACAGCCCTGAGCCCTACAATAATTTGCTATGCCCACTGCAATTTATCCTACTTGATTTTCAAACACCAGGTCTCTGTTCTGAGCTATTTCATTCAACAGTGTTCTTCAACAAGATTTAATCCCAGGGCCAGCCGTATACATAGGCAAAGGAGATAACTGTTTATACTATGTGTCCTACTAAAAGGCTTACCTATTTCCAAATAAAATGTATTATTAATTATGAAACGACAAATAATATGTACTAACACTCTGATAGCGCTGATTACACACATTACAGGCACTGGTCTTTACAGGCTTTATAAACATTACCTCATTGAATACCTACAACAACCTTATGAGGCCTGTATGCCATTATTATTCTATTTACCCACGAGCAGCTGAAGTGCACAGAGGTTAAGAGTCATGCCCAAGTTCACACAGCTAGGAAGTGACAGATCAGGGTTTGAACTCAGGCAACCTGGTTTCAGCCAAAATTTTTAACTGCTGTGTTCTACTGTCTCTCACCACTTGAGAAATATGTATTAAGTTCCTACTATTTCCTCAACTTTGTATTAAGTTCTGGAGTGAACACAATAGTTACAGTACCTGATCTTGCATGGACCAAAGATTAATGAGCATTGCAAACAAATTACAGAGGTCACTAAAAACTTGGTACATTGAGCTAATGTGAAAGCATCTCTTCTGAGCCAAGCAAATATTACTACATAGAACATAGTAATTTTTGATGTATAACCATTTAAAAAACAGAAAAATCCCCTGGAGCCAGCTATGATGGATGAACTCGGAGAGCAGTCATCAAGAACTAAGGCTGAAGAGCTCATGGGAATATATGAACTTGATCTAAGCCTTCGTGCATAGGGCCTGAGGTTCTGATATCCATCCAGGAGGTGATCTCCAGGATGCAGGCTCTGTGCACGTGGGGAGCTGATATTGAGTCATCTATGTACTGTTTAGAGTCCTATCTGCAAAATAAATGGGGAGAGAATGAGTCTCCTGCAAGAAATCAGAAACCCTGGCTTGTGCCACTCTCAGGTTGGGATTTTAATTCATATTTACTTGCGTAGTGGAGCCCTTCCCCACCCCCAAGCCACACATTAATCATTCTGGAACCAGCGAATTCCCTGTGGCCTTGGAAGGGAAAAAAAAGTTAAAATAAACAAATTAAAATTCAATACTCGATAGGTGTTTTGAACGTCTTACTTGTCAGAGCTAAAGAGAATTTTTTTTTGCAGAAAAGATAGGATGTGAGAGCCATCTTGCTGATATGAGGGAAGAATGGGTGAAGAAGGGGACAATGAAGAAAAAATCAGAGCCAGGCAGTACAGTGAAAGCTACAAAGTCCTGAAGACATCAGTGGACCTCCAGAATACAACTTATTTTGGACTTTTCAGTTTTATAAATCAATAGTTTCCTTAAAAGTTATCTTAAGCTACTTTGCTTTGGGTTTCTACCATTTGCAACCCAAATATCTAATACTCAGAATATTGTGTACTAAAGTTTTTTTTTCTTTCTTTTTTCTTTTTTGAGACGGAGTCTTGCTTTTTTGCCCAGGCTGGAGTGTAACAATGGATCTCGGCCTACTGCAGCCCCCACCTCCAAGCCTCAAGCTGTCCTTCCACCTCAGCCTCCCAAATAGGTGGGACTATAGCCGCATGCCACCATACCCAGCTAACTTTTTATTTTTGTAGAGACAAGTTTCACTATATTGCCTAGCCTAGTCTCAAACTCCTGAGTTCAAATAATCCTCCTATCTTGGCTTCCCAAAATGCTGGGATTACAGGCATGAGCCACCAAACCCTATACTGAAGTTTTGACTACCTTCCAAAATATTAGTACTAACTCTAGGTCCTCTTTATAAAATGAAAAAATATATATAATTGGTAAGGCTTTCTATTTTGATCATGGCAGATTAAGCTGTAACAAGCAGTCCTCTCAAATGATATTGGATTTATACAACCATGTTGTATTCCCTTCTCACATTTTGACCACCAAGGTTGGCCCTGGCGTGGCCTTGTGCTGTCTTTATTTTGGGACCAGGCTGAAAGAGCACCTCCTATCTAAGGCATCGCTTGTCCTGTGGCAGAAAACAAGGGGGTGGGGAGAGGAAAGCAGAAGCAGAAGATAACTCTCGAAACTTCAACTCGAAAGTGGCATACGTTACGTCTTCTCATATTTTATTGGTCAAAGCAAACTATATGGCCAAGCTTGATGTCAAAGTGGTGGGGAAGTATAATCCTCCAACAGAGAAAGTAGTGTTTGGAAAAATAATAACATCTATTCACATTCTTGAAATAGAGTGTGAATAGATGTTATTCTTTATGTATATTTGCATATGTATGTTACACTTTGCCATATAAGTAAAATCACAGATTTGAAAATATTAACACTATTCACTTAATCTACCTGAATTAATACAATATGCAGCAGGATCATGTTTCAAGATAGTCACCACACTCTGCAACCATAGACATTTTTCCCCGATTTGCCTAAAAATGCAGGAGGTTTACTACGTCTGAAGGCACCACTCCTACTTGCAGACACTGAGTGAAAAGTCAATAGTGTGTACTGATTTTTATCTTTAATTGCTTCTGTCATTGTTGCACTATTTGAGAAGTTTTTATCCACTGCTGTAATAATTGTCTTGCTTGTCTACCTCCCTGTGCAGCCCTTAGTGATTTTCTAGGAGGGACAATTTCACCAACATAATGCATGCCAACAGTCTTTCCACACTTGGCCTCCCAATACTTCTATTTATTGAGTTTACACTCATATGCATTGACATCCCTTGTGCCATAGGACAGCCAGGTCTGAGGTAGATTCATATTATGCCTGAACAAATCCTTCTCACTGTAACTTTCTATTTTGTTAAACCAGATGTCTTGTTCAGAGAGCTCCTACATTTACTGAATGTTCTCCTTGGGGACTATTGGTGTCTTCAATGCTGATGAACCTCATTTGGCTTTCTTAGTCCATCAGACTCCACAGAACAGAGGAGCTGGGTTCTCAGTCACTGTTCTTACAGGATACTCCATGACACACATTTACCAGTCTTGTCCCTGAAAACAAGGTTCAAGGAAGGTTATCAAAATGAGTCACTTTTGTCAGACTAATCAGTGAAGGATCAGTTGCATTTTATCCTCAAATTATTGAGCGTCTGCTTATCTCACACTTACATAACTAGAAATAGCTACAGAAGTGACTCTATCCTTAAAAAACAATCTGGTCCAAGATGACTTGTCTCCAACCCTAAAGGAAAGTGACCTGCAGTTTATTATAGTTCTGTCCAATCAGGATGTGCTCTGCAGGTAGGACTCTATGTGGGAAAAAATTTTGGAGAAAGTAGAGGGAAATATTATTTTAGTAATATGAATCCTACTATGGGTTGAATTGTATCCCCTGAAAAGTTTAAGTCCAAGTTCTAACCCCCAGTACCTTGCAGTGCAATCTTTGGAAATAGGGTCAGTGCAGATGTAATTAGTCAGATAAGATGAAGTGCTCCTAGAGTAGAGTGGGTCCTAATGCAGTATGACTGGTATTATAAAAAGAGAAAATTTGGACACAGGCTTACAGGCAGGGAGGAGGAACGGTATGCAGACATGAAGATAGTCATCTGTAAGCCAAGGAGAGAGCTCAGAGATGGAACCTTCCCTCACCCCCCTCAGAAGGAACCAACACTGCCAAAACCTTGATCTCGGACTTCCATATTTGCCTAGATACTCATCCTAAATCTTATATAATAGTTCTGAAATTATTTTCATTATAAACCATAAAAATCTTTGAAGATTTTAATATTTCCTTAACTAAAATACTCTAAATTGTCCCACCTAGCTGAAAGTGGCCTAGAAGCCCTTTGTCATAACATAGGGTCATTTATTTGTTTGGAGAAAATAATGCTCAAATAAAAAATATGCATTAAATTTCTGAGAGGATTGCTAGGCTCCTAGGTTGGAGTGGTGAGTGGCTTTCAGATCTGTCCCAAGAGATGGAGATCCAAAAGAAGAGAAAAAGAGAAACAGTTTTCAAGAGAAGGTTCTGAACTTTATATGCCCCTGCTAATAATTTAACTCACCGCAGCACTCCTCTGAATTCTTCTTTAGAGCTAAATCAGACAGTGTTATAGGCTTCCTCCTCAAGGTTTCTATTTTAATTTCAACTTTGCCCACATGAATAGAAAGTTTGCTGAATTCTGTTGGGTTTTCCTTAATTTTTTAAAGCAAGGCGGGTGGAATATATTGTATTCCAAAAGAAGTATTGTCAAGGTTCATAAGTGTTAAGGTTGTGTTAGTAACTAGGACCTTATTTGCCTGAAAGTGTGAACATTGAAAATATGAGGTAGCATATTTATAAGTCTCTATAATTGGATCTGTACATTTATTTACAGTAGGAAGTGAAGCAGCATCCCACAAGAATTACCCTGTTTTTCAAAATTATTTTGATACTTTGTTTTTAGAATTTAATTATTCGAAAGTCATTCCTAAGCTTTAAATAAAACTGTAGCTAAAAATAGCAAATACTTTATATTTGAGGTGTTTTTATACCTAGAAGCTGAAGTTGTTCTAAATATCATCCTCTTTACAGAACACTTCACTATTTAAAATGTGAAAAACATCTGGGGGTGGCAGAAGACTACATGTTTTAATTAACAAAAGACTTTCCAAAGATACATGCTACGCAACCCCGATGTGTAACGTTTTTGAGAATATTATTTTAAAGATGGAGAAAACAAAGTGGTTGCCAAGGTTAGGATAGGGAGGGATTGGCGTGGCTATAAAAGGGAACACAAGGAAGTCTTGTGATGATGCTACAGTGGAGAATGTGGTTTGGGTGGTGGTTAGGAAGGTACACATGGTAATATTGCAAGGATACATGCTCACACTGAGTGCATGTGTAACTGGTGAAATCTGAGTAAGTTTATAAGCTTTATTGATTATACCAGTGTCAACTTCCTGATTTTGATATTATACTGTTGTGTAAGAAGTTCACTTTGGTTGGGTGAAGAGCACGCGGGGATTTCCTGTACATTTTGCAAACTCCTATGAATCTATAATTATTTCAAATTAAAAAATTAAAACTATTGAACGAATTGAAAGTACAAAAAAAAAAAAAAAGAGTCCTGGAAACTAATTAATTCCCTATCTTGGGTCAAGGCTTCCATGAGAAGAGTGTTATTCCTTCTGTACCTTGGGTCCTCTCTCACGCCTTTATGTTCCCATCCACTAGAAGTTGCTGCTATTTCCAACTTGCGTAAAATTCTTAGGAACTGTCAAATTACTTTAATTGGGCCAGGAGATCATTTAGAACAAAGTTACATAAAAATTAAATGGACTCTTTGCAAGGAAGTTGTAGCCTTCCCGTTTATGAAGACATGTTCAATTTTCAACACACAATGACAATCCTGAGAGATGACTATTCTTATTGACCTTCTGTCTTGGCTATGGATGTAGAAAACTGAAATCATTCTGGGTCTTTCAAACAGACAGGGTTTGATAAAGGGAACTGAATACTTACAAAATCGTTGGAAAGACTGGAGAAGTAGAAATAAGGGGTTATAACTGAATGTTTAGATACAAATATTAGGAAACTATTTATGCTACTGCCACCACCCCTTCCACTGCCAGTAGAATGTGACTAGGCAGGAGAATGTGAGATCCAATCCTTACAAACATCCATGTCTAGGGGAGTTTGCTTGCTCCCTGCCACAGATGCAGGTTTATGGTCTCTGGCTCCCTTCTGCCTCTTAAACTTCTTCAAGTGCATTTTCATCATTGAAACTTAGATCTCATTCGGAGCTCAAGCTCAAGGGAGTCAGAAATAAAGTTTTTAGACTTCCAGCCCCTGAGATACAGTCATGAAAGAAAAACAGATGAGAAAGGACGTCAACTGCCAATAAACATATTGCATTTATGCCTAAGCGTGTGGGAGTTATTTATATCCTTCTGCTCAAGGTCATCACCAAGGTCTGATTGCAAAAATTCAAAAAATTGCAACCTTTGGCACAAATGGGTTAATCCTAGGAAAACTTTCCTTCAATAGCATAGCCCATCCAAATACAATTCCTGAGAATACTTGTTTTGGAAGCCTTGTGTTTCAGGAGTTCTTGGCCAGTGCACAAACAGAAGGATCCATTTATCTATTTTAGCTTTCACTTTTTTCTCACATATTTCTCATACATTGCTCTGTTTATTCTTTTTTCTAAGCCCAAGTCGCAGTCCTCTTCTTTCTCCACAAACTGTTCCTTATGTCTTCTGCAGTTAAA
Organism: Homo sapiens; assembly: GCF_000001405.40. NCBI lineage: Eukaryota > Metazoa > Chordata > Mammalia > Primates > Hominidae > Homo > Homo sapiens. Next base: position 24,598,410 of record NC_000008.11, on the reverse strand, counting down.
CTGTATTCCATTCCATTGTAATTAAATGTTAGCAGAGCCTTATCCACTGTCTCCTAATTGTGCCTTTGAGCCTTATTCAAGCTGGGTTTTCTAGCTTGTATGCTTACCCCTCACTGTCACTGATTTCCTGAATACGTCTTATTCACTGAACATTGTTACAGATGCTAAGCTCCTAGTCTCCTTCCTATGGCCTGTTATTATTCTACTACATGAATAGTCCTTAATTACTATAGACTCTTACTTTATTCCACATTGGCCACTCCACTTAGCCACCCACTAATACCTTGATTTTACCCTGGACTTACATCCCTCACTGATTTAACTTAAAGTCAATTTCAATTAAAATCTCACACTGGGACAAACTTGTTCCAGTTTGTCCAGGACTGTTCTTGCTTTAAAATGGAGCCCATTCAGTCCTGGGCAAATAAACAGAGCTGACCACCCTATTCTTGGGACACTGTAATACTTTTTAAAGCAGTTGAAAAACATTCTATGTGCCATATATGTATTCCATATGTACATGTGAAAAATAGATTTTAATAAGATGAATTTGTTTCATCTGTTGTAGTCACTATTGTCATTTATTCTATTAAACAATTCAGTAAAATATGATAAAGTGTTGCACAGTCCTGAAAACTGGCTTGCTATTGATGGTACCTTAATTTTCCCCTAATCCAGGTATTTCCAATAATCTTAGCCTTGGTTAATTGTGACACATATGAGATGAACAGGATTTCCAGTATCATTAAAGTAGTGAGTTAATCGCTGCTTATTTTTGTGAGTTAGGAAGACATACGGCATGCTATTAGTGATGTGGCTAACTTACATCTGGTTTTATATTCTTGCTAACCTTCATTTTTCTTCTCTACGTAGATTAATGTTCATATTAGTGCCTTTGTAGTAAATGAAACTCCTACAAGCAAATGCAATATTCCTTGTACATTTTCTTAAAAGATACACAGTTTAAACTTGGTACCCATCCAACTCCTCCTAATTCACTTTCCTTTTAGTGTTTCCGAAAGTAAGATATTCATATCACCTGCCACAATATCAACCAGGGTGTGCCTTGTTTTATCCCAGGTGCCTGCATTTAACAAAATTCCAGGTGATTGCAATATCCAGCAATGTTTGTAACCCATCAGCAATATAAGTGGAGTAATATTTGTAGAGGAAAAAACTCAGTTTTGAAGCCATGCTTCCTAATGTACTAGAACTGTGATTTTGAGAAAATCACCTACTGATAGGGTTTGGCTCTGTATCCTCACCCAGATCTCATGTCGAATTGTAATCCCCATGTCAGGGGAGGAAACTGGTGGGAGGTGATTTGATCATGGGGGCGGATTTTTCTCATGCTGTTCTCGTGATAGTGAGTTCTCATGACATCTGATGGTTTAAAAGTACGGCACTCTCCCCTCCCCACTGCTTTACCATAAGACATGCTTGCTTCCCGTTCACTTTCTGCCATCATGAGTTTCCTGAGGCCTTCCAGTCATGCTTCCTGTTAAGCCTGAGGAACTGTGAGGAAATGGAACCTCTATTCTTCTTAAATTACTCAGTCTAGGTAGTTCTTAATAGCAGTGTGAGAATGAACTAATACGTCTACCTTCTCTGAATTTTAATTTCTAATCTGCAAAATTGAAAAGCATAATAGCTATCATAAGGCTTGTAGAAGTCAAATGAAACATGTGAAACCTGAAATGTTTCATGGACTGTAAAGTTCAAGGGCTATTGTTAGCTGCTGACTTATTCATGATCCTTCTCTTCTTTCTCATTAGAAATGCTAAAGAAAAGTTATTTCATGGTGTTTGCATCCTAGTTACTTGACTGCCTTTATTTAAGGTTGCATGGTTTTAAAAATCATACTGACCCATTAATTCAAGTCAGTTTCATGGGTATTTTGTCTGATTTGATTATTCAGTTTGGTTGAACTGGTTATGTGTAAAACTGCAGGCAGTTTTGATTAAAAAATTACTGTTACATTCAAACAAAATCAAGGATCACTCAAATATGAGACCTATTCCATTTTGTGGTGTTGATTGAGGCTATGCAGTAAGTTACTGGGCAGGTACTTTCAGATTCCAGCTGTTTTAACAGGTGCCTATTATGAATTGGAAAAACCACTGCTAACAGTTGCTTCTGACTCAATGTGTCCTACCTGCTGCATTTGGTCCATTTTTAATAAAGAACAAATTGCCCTAAGACCTTAATAAAACAACTACAATTAGTAGCACTGGTAAGGTCTTTCTCTTTAGGAGACCTTCCCTAATTAACCAAAATTTATTCTGATTATTCCTTTATTCCTCCTCTTCTAGAGTAATTTTTTTGCATGGATTTGATAAGAAACTCTATGTTCTTTCCATGTGTTCTTATTTTTCTCTCTTTTATTCCTATATATTATAGATTTTATCTAGTTTGAAGTACCTCAGAAAGTACTTACAGAATATACAGTAGGTGCAAGACAATGTTAAATTCTAAACAACTGTACACTTGCATCGTTGTCTATGAGCTTATGGTATATTTGAAGAGATAAAATATACACGTTAGTAAATATGCAGTAAAGCAGGATCAATGTGGTAAATCCCAGAGTTCAGAAAATTATGTTTTGGCCTGAGTCTGTCATTAACTTACTATGTAGCATAATGAAAGCTTTTGGCTTGTCTGAACTCTTACAAAGAAAGGCAGTTGTGGAGAATTGTTAAACTAGAGCAATCTGGTGTAGAAATTAGAGTCTTGAGGATAAAGAAATCAATAAGTGTTAGTTGATCCAAGAAGACTGCAGTGAAGATTTGTATTCAGATCCTGAAATGGAAAGAATGAAGAATAGGGGGAGGAAGAAACGAGCATCTACTAAATATGGTATTAAGTTGGTGTCTTTGCATTCTTTACCTCATTTAATCCTTCCAATAATGCTATGAGTTCAATATTACATTGAACCATATAAGTTCATGACTTTTGTAGGTTACTAACAGTCAATATGGGCAATTATGTATGTGTAATAACAGTGCTATTATCCTTTTTAAGTAGATAAATACACTTAGTCTCAGAAAAGTTAAAAAATTTGTTCAGGCCTAGATAATTATATCTGACTCCAAAGTTCTTATTGAACTATTTCTTACCATGTTCCCTATGTTGAATTCATAATCCAGGTCTTATAAGGTCTACTCTTAAGATACCCAGAATCCACTGACTTCCCTCCATCTCCACTGTTAACATCCTGGTCTAGGCTGCAATAGATTTTCCCAGATACTCTAATAGTCACCCTGCACCTATCTTGCTTCCCAAGAATCCATTCTCCACCCACCCTCCAGAGTGAGACCCTAAAGACTCAAAGCAGAACCAGATCATGTCAGTTTCTGTTTAGAAAACACAATTAAACAAGTTTGAAAAACAAAACAACACCTCTGATGACTTCCCACTTTGAAACAAATTTAATTGTTTTTACCATTGCTCCTGTCTACAGTTTAAATAGTATGGGATACACTGGGTTTTCAGATATTCTTTGTTGAATGAATAAAAGGTGAGATGTTTGTTAAAGAGAGTTTGAAAAATAAAGTAGAAGAGAGAAGGTGGGAACCAGAGCATTTTCACTTTATTCTCTTGGTCATTGGAACCTATTGTGAGTCTATAACTAGGGAGGTATAGAGGAAAAAAAATATCATCATGGAAAGATCAGTTTGAAGGCAGGGAATTAAAAGGGAGAGAAAAGAATAAGGAAGGCCAAGAAAACCAGTTGAAAAATTATCTCAGACTCCACTGGTTTATAATGGCTTGAGCAAAAGAGGAAGATGTTTGCAAAAACGAACGAACAAACACACACACAAAAAAAAAATAAAAAACAAGAAAAATATAGATTTGAGAATTTGAGTTTCTTGGCAACTAATAAAAGAGAAAGGACAAAAGACACTGTGAACTAAAGAAGGTTATAATTGCTTTTCTCCTCTGACCAGATGATGCTTGTACTAGTGACAAGTTAGAAGGGATAAAGCTTTTTTTTTCCTTTTTTCTGGAAAGATGAGTTTTCGTTTTTGATGCTTTTAGTTACGTAGTAAAATGTAAAAATGAAAAAAAAAATTAGAGCTATGAGACCAAGTCTTTTATCTCTTAAAGTCTTGAATATACCTCCATCCTCCCTGCTGATACCCTAGTTCACACTTTCATTATTTTTGTTCTCTTTGCCTGGGCAAAGGTATTGATCTCCTTCATTGTCTATGGGGCTCTAACTTTTCTTCAGAGTAATTCCTTACATGTAAATATGCATTATCTGACTCAAAACTTCCAGTGGCCTCTGTTTGTGACCCCCTCCCCCGCCACCCCTGTGTTCCCTTTTCCCAAAGCATCATGTCCCAAATCCTTAGCACAGTGTTCAGGGCAGTTCCCTACCTGTCTCAAGCCTTCGCCATCTCTCACTGCTCTATCCCCCTGCCATGCACAAGTTGTTATCAGCAATTGGTCTCCCCACTGCTTCCCACTTCATTCCTGACTCTAAGAGGCAGAGGACAGCACCTTCACTCAGGAAGGCAAAAGAGGCCATGGCTATTCTTTTTTGTATCAGCTACACAGAAGAAGAGTCAAACGTGTTACATTCCCCGCCCCCCTAAAAAATAAATATTCTAACAGAGCTTCCAGGAAGGAGCACAAGCCCAAGAGTCAAAAGGTAGAACTTAAAGAAAGTTAGAATATTTTATGATGCAAATGCTTTATTCCTAACACAGGATCTATTTCTATGCAAAAAGCTGCACAGCATCAGAGGTCTTCTAATTCTGCAGTATAGGGTAGGAGTGAGACTGGGGAAGACTTGAGCTGCCCTGTAACTGTGCGTTTCATGGTTTTTTGACCTTGATACAGAGTAAAAAATTAAATTTTACAACGTGAGCCAATATTCTCATATACACACATACACAATATATGTGTTATATACATATATAAGCATGTATATGCATTTATATGTGCATATATAAACATGTATATGACTATTTAAATGCATGCTATAGAGGCACATGTGATATATATGAAAACTGTTTTACAAATAATACTTCTTACTGTATGTCATGTACTTTCTTTTGTATTCATTTCTATTTCCTATTTATATTTTATTTTCTATTTTCTATTTGAAATATTTTATTCTCTTCTATTTGAAACATTATTATCGAGCGGCTCTGTTCACTAATGGGTTGACACCAGTGTAGTGAAGACCATTGCCTAAAGTTGTTATTAATCAACAAATGGCATGATTATTTGCACCTTTTGGACAGTGTTAACTGTGAAATCATGACTGGCTTTATTTTAGGATCAACTTTGTAAATGTATTTACATTCAGTGTGTGAAATGAAGAGACAATACAGAGAAATTACCTTGCCGTTTCCAGGTTACTTTTACCTAACTCACGTTGTGGAGCTCTGTTTTATCTACAAATTATCATATTGCTTTGGCAGTACAAACATTCAGCTTACCTTCCAAAACAGTGTGTTGGTAGAGGTGAGTTGTAACCTAGAGGTCTTGCATCATCCACTATTATCTCTGTTTTAGACAGCATCCCATTCTCCTATCACTTTATAAAAACAGCAGGGACCTTAGAGGCCATTTGTTTCAACCTATCATTTGATAGATGTGGGAACACAGGCATTAAAGATTAAGTGACTTGTTCCAAGTTATAGACTGTTGGCATCAGTGACAGGTCTGAAACCTAGATTTTTTGTTTCTTACTGCATTGTGTTTTCACTGTGTGACATTTTTCTCTCCTTGGGTATTTAATAAATGTGAGTTGATTTGGATGGCCACTGAGTAGGAAGAGAGGGCATAATAGAAAATAATTGCATTCTGTTTATCCTGTGTTTTCCTCCAAGGACTCAAGGTATCTGATGACTGGCAGGTTCTGTTAAAAATATTCATTATTTTTGTAAAACTGGAAGCAGGTTGACTGGAAAACATTCACATATTAGGTCTCTAGTAAAGCTTTTATGTTCTCTTAGCTTCTATGATTACTCTGTTACTCTATTATCTTAGGGTTGTCTTCCTTGAAGGCTTGAATTCCGGATTTCTCCTACTAGCTTTTCACAATTTGAAGCCCAAAACATGGCATTAAAAAATGCAGGAATGCAAAAGGATGACTTAGAAGTTAGCAAGCATTTGGTAAACATCAGTGCTTTATGTTTCTCCCTTTATCATTGTTTAGGGAAAAGGCATCCCTCTCCTCATCACCCCACCCCGTACGCAGCTCAACATGAAACTTTAGGGAAGAATGAAAGAAAGTATGATTGGCATCTCCTTCCAGCTGTTTCCTGAGGTCTAAGGCCTGATGACACAGTCTGGTGCAACCAAAATGTAGTTTAAGAAATTTAAGGAGATGGCCAATGGCAAGAGGACACAGGTCTCTATCATTATAAAATTTAGAAATGGAATCCAAACTGGTCTGATTGCAAAGTCTAGTCTTTGCCTCTACTCCACGCTGTCTCAGATGGTTTCCTGTCTGGCTTGATTGTGATCCTAACATTGAAGGACAGAGTTCCCCAAAATTATGACTTAGACTTTAAAGGAATAGAAAATTTAGAATACATCATAAATTGCTTTATTCAATTTGCTTCATAATTCCTGTCCATGTCTTCCCCTCTGTCTGGTCCTCTCATGGTAAATCTAATTTGTCTGTTTGTTGTTTGTTTTTCTAACTCTAGGATGTATACCTCTAAAGATGATTCTAAACCTTTGGGGAGTTTTACTTTCCTGCCCCAGAGTTCTATTTTTTTTTTTTTTTTTTTTTTTTTTGAGACGGAGCTTTGCTCTTGTTGCCCGAGCTGGAGTGCAGTGGTGCAATCTCGGCTCACTGCAACCTCCACCTCCCAGGTTCAAGCAATTCTCCTGCCTCAGCCTCCTGAGTAGCTGGGATTACAGCAGTGCGCCACCACACAAAGCTAATTTTTTGTATTTTTAGTAGAAACAGGGTTTTACTATATTGGTGAGGCTTGTCTCGAACTCCTGACCTCAGGTGATCCACCCACCTTGGCCTCCCAAAGTGCTGGGATTACAGGCATGAGGCACTACACCTGGCCCCTGCTCCATAGTTCTAAAGCTCCTGGGCTGAGCTTACTGCTGGAGTTATCCAGCTATTCAAGAGCTCACTGTCTCTCCCATTCCCTAGTTTCTCCTTGATGTGAAGACTCCTCTGGTTTCTGCCATTTCTCCATTCCCCACACAGAAGTTTATGACCTATTTTCAGCTCATTTCAAGAGATTAGAATTCATTTTGTTAACCTTATGAGACTGGAGAGATACCCCAGTTACCCATTCACTACCATTAACTTATGAAAATAAGTTTCAAAAACTTTAATGATATAACTAAATGCTATTATTTAATTATATATTAACTATTATATTTTAAAGTACAATAAAATACTTATTTGTTGTGCATTTCCTATATCTCTGTACACTGCATATGTTATCTGATATAATCTTCAAAACTCCTTGAATAGGTATTATCCTCATTTTACAGGTGAAAATATGGGCCATGGAAGTAATTTAGAAAATGGCCTGCAAAGAAATTTGCCAAGTGGCTCAGCTAATAGGTACTAGAACCAAAATTTAATCTCTTTAATACCTGGTTTCAAAGTCAGGGTCTCCTTAATGCTGCATGACCTGTGAGCAAAGGCATCATTAGAACCTGCCATGCGCCCAGACTCAAAAGTTGTTACTGATCCAGTGAAAATATTATAACATTTTGTTACTTAAAAGTCTCTAGTGGCATGTTTGTTTTTTAACCCCTGCATTATACCTAAATTATCCCATCTGTTTTCAAGACCCTCTTGTATCTGGGCCCAACCTTCCTTTCAATTATAAGGATGACCCAAAGGAGAGCTATTTTGTGTTCTCAGTGTCTATAGAGCTATTAGTGAAACAGGCAATTTTGACCTCCACCCTCTATCACTCTTCACTACAACCATGTAACTGCAGGCTTTGAACAGAAATTAGGGCCTGAGAAAAGAGACTGACTGACCAAGGCAGGCTCCATTCTGTGATTTTCTCCAAAAACAAATACTTGTCTTTATGCAAAGCATATTCACCCAGAGTCTTTTTTCCCCTTTGGATGAGACTCTTGAAACTTCCTTTGAAGAGATTCCGGAGTAGGGGTGGAGAATAGCTAAGTCCTCCCAGATCTTCTAAAGCACAAATCCACGTCTCATATCAGACAATGTCATGACCTCATAAGGTCTTTATCAGGCCCAACCTCAAAACTCTACCCTAGTTCCTTGTACTTAATTAAACCTCAAGTCCACAAACCTCTTATTTTAGTTCTCACCCATAAAGAGCTTGGAGTTTTCACTACCATCATTACAATAAGAAATAGACAATCTGCAAGCAATGACTTTTCTTGGACACATCAGAGAACTCCAGACACAAGGCAAATGCCAACCCCAAAATCTGGAAAGAGAAGGATATCCAGAGAGAGACAGTGACCATGATCTGCTTACTGCAAGGGAGACAACTGGAGCCATGAACTGGTAGAAAGACTCAATTTTGACACATTGCTGGAAGCTGTGTGTGGACTAACAGGAAAGTGAGAAACTCCAGGAGTCCCAGTTTGAGGGGAATCTTGTGGGGACATTTTCCTGGGCTTTCTCAACAGGAAACACACCAGGTTTTCATAATGAGGATTCCAGAAAGACCCTGTTAACTATGGCAGGGTAATAGAAGAGATACCGTTGTGAAATACTCCTAGAACGTTCTCCATAACAAAGGCCTACACTGCAATAGAGAAACCTTAGGCTTATTTCTGAAACTTAATGTCAGCAGGGAGAAGGAAATTCTTTTCCGCTACACCAGTCATCTCCTACTTTCTGTCTTACCCCAGCGAGAGGAAAAAAAAATAATATATACATATATACATATATATACGTATATATATACACATATATACGTATATATGTATATATACACGTATATACATATATACACATATATACGTATATACATATATATGTATATACACATATATATGTATATATATACATATATATATACATATATATATATATATATATATATATATATGGAATTGAGGTCAGGACTTCAAAGAAATGGCTTGGGAACTCTGCAGCCAGGAAAGAAAGTAAAGGGAAGGGGTAAAAACTTATACAATTGGAAAAACACTTGTGAAGGTCACAGACAGGGACACAAGTCTACTAAAAGACCAAGAGTTAATCATAATATTATAGAGCACTCCTCCTCTCCAAAACCTTTTCATTAAAACCTATAGGTCTCAACTATAATAACTGTGGATTCCAGCTGAAGGAGCTGCTAGATTCAGAGATTCTCTGAAGAAGAATATTTATTTGCAGGAGCTCAAAAGGGGAAGGGAAGACGAAACAAGGTCACCAGAGAAATTTGAAGCCTCTCGTACCTAAAGCTACAGAGAACATTAAACACAGCCTGACTTCTAGCAAGATAACATAAAGCCAAACATTAGGCCAGGCACAGTGACTCACAGCTGTAATCCCAGCACTTCGGGAGGCCAAGGCAAGTGGATCACCTGAGGTCAGGAGTTCAAGATCAGCCTGGCCAACATGGTGAAACCCCATCTCTACTAAAAATACAAAAATTAGCCAGGCGGGGTCGGGGGCACCTGTAATCCCAGCTACTCGGGAGGCTGAGATAGGAGAATCAATTGAACCTGGGAGGTGGAGGTTACAGTAAGCCGAGACCACACCACTGCACTCCAGCCTGGGTGATAGAGCAAGACTCTATCTAAAAAAAGAAAAACAAACATTAAAGGCCCATTTACTTCAGTTCCTATTACCCAATACAATATATGTGGCATTCAACTAAAAATTACAAGGAATGCAAAAAGGCAAGAAAAAACACGGTCTGAAGAGACAAAATAATCATTAGAACCAGATTCATTGATGCAGATGTTAGAATTATCTAGAAAAAATTTAAAACAAAAATAATTTTTATGTAAGGGTTTGTCTTAGTCCATTTGTGTTGCTATAACAAAACACCACAGGGTGGGTCCTTTATAAATAATAGAAATATCATACAACACATTAACAGAATGAAGCATAAAAATCATATGATCATCTCAATGATGCATAAAAAGCATTTGACAAAATTCATCCTTTCATAATAACAGCTTTCAGTAAATCAAGTGTAGAAGTAATGTATCTCAATCTAATAAAAGCCATATATGACAAACCGGTGGCTAACACTCAATGGTGAAAAGCTGAAAGCTTTTTCTCTAAGATCAGGACCAAAACAAGGATGCTCATTCTTGGCATTTCTATTCAACATAGTACTGGAAGTGCTAGGCAGAGCAATTAGATAAGAAAAAAGAAATAAAAGATACCCCAGCCTGAAAGGAAGAAGTAAAATGGCCTCTGTTTGCAGATGATATAATCTTATGTACAGAAATCCCTAAAGAATCCACCAAACAAACTGTTAGAAATAAATGCAATAAAGTTGCAGCATGCCAAAGTCAGCATACAAAAATGAGTTGTGTTTCTATATACTAAAAATGAACTATGTGAAATCGAAAGTAGGAAAATAATCCTCATTAAAATAGCTACAAAAACAATAAAATACTTAGGAATAAATTTACTTAAGGGTGGTGAAATAATCAGTACAGTGAAAACTGTAAAATGTTGATGAAAGAAACTGAAAAAGATACAAATAAATGAAATAACATACCATGTTTTTAAATTGAAAGAATTAATTTACTCTTTCTTAAACTATTATGTTTTCTTACTGTTACTGATTATGTGATAAACCACATAGGTGTATCTATTCAATCAATTAATATCATAGGTTTATCTATTCGATGACTTTTTCTGGGGTCCCAAATATGAGTATAAAATAGAGATCAAGAGCCTATGAACTTCTGTTAAAAATTTTGGTCTCATCATGTATTTGCTGTGTGGTCTAAGATTTGCTGTGTCATTTGATAAAATTTCATTGGCCCCTCAGATTTCATATCTGCATAAGGAGACAGTAAGATAATACAGTAATTTTGAGCATTATTGTGGCAAAGAGTTGAAATATACTTAAGTCAGGCACATAATAAGGGCTCAATAAATATTGGCCATTATTAGAAACATGGAGTATGATTTTCCACAAAGACTTGGTTGAGACGTATAAGGAATACTACCAGTAGGGAAAAAGAAAACTTCAAATTGGAATGCTAGAAGGCCTGACAATTTTACAACTTTACCAGCCAATCTGGGCTGAAATATTGACTAGTACAGTGAAGATTTTGTTTGGCTTTTCAGGATTTTTTATTTTTTTAGTTCAGATGGACTTGGGACACTCATATTTCACTTTTCTTCATTTTCCTGAGGTAAACAAAGGCTTCTGCCATAGAGTAATATCCATGTCAATATCAATATCAATGTATAATTGGAAAAATCAATCATCTCTTGACCTCTGGATCCAAGCATTAATGAAAGCTTTCAAGGAACCACTTATTCTTCATTACTTTAGTGTATCTAGAATTGCACTGAAGCATTAAAGCAGGTTTTCTAAGGACCTATTTTATCAGATTTATCTAGAGAAACAGAACCAATAGGATATATATTGATATATAAAAGCAGGTTTATTATGAGGGATTGGTTCTTGCAATTATGAAGGCTGAGAAGTTCCCCAACCTGAAGTCTGCAAGCTGGAGGCCCAGAAAAGCCAGTGCTATAATTTAACATTAGTGCAAAGGTCTGGGAACCAGGAAAACTGATGGCATAAGTCCTGTTTCAAGTCCAGAGGCCCAAGAACTAAGAGCACAGGTGTCTGAGGGTGGGAGAACATGGATGGCAGAGCTCAAGCTGTGACAGCAAATTTGCCCTTCCTCTATCTTATTGTTCTACCAGTCTCTCAACAGATCGAATGATGCCACATTGATGAAGGTGATGCCCATGTTGATGAAGGTCACCTACATCAATGAGGGTGATGCCAATATTGATGATGCCCATCTGCATTGATGACAGTGATGCCAATATTGATGATGTGCAATACACTCACATTGATGAGGGTGACCTTCTTTATTCAGTCTGCAGATTCAGATCTGGATCTCTTGTGGAAACACACGCAAAAACAATGTGTACCTGCTATCTGAGTATCCCTCAGCCCAGTCAATCTAACACATAAAATTAACCAATGTACCAATATTCTTTTTGTTTTTCAAATCATTTTTTCTCCTTCACATTTAACACTTAACACATTTAATTATTTCATTGGTTTGTGCCTGTTATGAATCAGCATGTACCTGCTCTTAAGAAAAAAGTGGAAGATTTGCAAAGGTCATTGATGATTTATCAAATCTGATGGAACCAGGTGAGGCATGGGCCAGAGCTGACAGACTGTATAGCTCCAACAAAATTTGCATTTATTCTATTGGCATATAATGCATGGAGGACAATGTAAGTGCCTAAAGCCCTCTCCCCAAAATAGCCCCACATTGATGACTTATTGCAGGAAGGGAAAAAAGAAGTTTTTATCCCATTCTTCAAAGGACGAACTGAAACAAAAGACTTTTACAATCTATATCAAAAACTCTGTGAGCCTAGGGCTGTCATTTTCAACATCCCCTTGGGTGAATTCCTGGTTTTGAAAGTTCCGTATCATCCCAATGATTAAGATATAGTATACCAATTTTGTAAAACTTAAGATGCAGTCTGTCATTTCTGACTTAACATCCCAGGAAAGATATTTTTATTTGGTAAATAATTTGTGATTTATTACCATGAAAACCTCAATAATCCCAGGTTGGAACTGTTTTCCTTCTTCTGTAGCTACCCTAATTCCAAGTCATTTTTCAATTTCCAATTTCTTCCTAAACCCTTACCTGATCTTTCTAAGCTAACTCTTTGAGCTTATAGAGTGTATTTTTGGTGTCATTCATTGTCCATAAAGTATTTTTATTTCTCTTGTATTAAATCAAATTTAGCTCAAAGCTGTCTCCTTGCACATTTTAAGTTCAGCCTAAAGGTTTCTCTATACGTAGTAAACTGAAACCTAACTGGATCCATAAACAGGCTGTAACCTACTCTTGTGACAGTCATAGAGTTTTGGGCAATCAAAGGGGGCCAACTGTTTAAGTCATGTTCAAATAAGGCAAAGATCGAGCTGTAATCATTCTAGCCATTTTTTTTCTTAACCTCACTTCCATTTTCTGTACATCGTTTTCCTTTTGCCATCCCTAAGTCTTCTTACACCATGCGGTTGTGCTGGTGTCTCTCTGAGCCTACCATGGCACAGGAGGCTGGCCGATTCATGAATCATTCTTTTCTCAATTAAACTCTGTTAAATTTAATTGTCTAAAGTTCTTCTTTAAACACTGGTATTATTATTTAACTTTCCATGTGCTATATTCATGTTCATTTCATGCTGGTTACTCTTCCATTAATCACTTAATGATCATTTTTTGGTCAAAAAATTTTTTTACAAAGCAATTCCTGCCTTCAAGTAATCCATAGGGTACTAATGGACATATAAGTAGTGGATATATACATTACTGACACATAATGTACTGATGAATAGATAGATTCTGTATGTACACTTTGCATATAACTGAGACATGACAAGACATGGTAGAAATTCAGAAAACTGAGCTGTCAACTCCACTTGGGGGAGCAGGGCAGAGAATCCAGGGCATTCATGGAGAGTGGATGGCCTTCCTGGATTTGGGTCTGAATAGATACAATAAGTGCATGGTACATAGTGAAAAGGTGGAAAGATCTCCCAATCAAGAAATAATTAAGCTCAATTTGTATCTTGAATCACTAATAATTTCTACTTGTACTTATGTTGTTCTAGAAAGATTTGCATTCTGGCAATTTCAAGTTTTCTTAGAGGACTTAACAACACTTGGGCAGTAGATTTTATATAAGAAAGTTCCTAAGAAATATTTGGCTTCCTAATATTATTCTAAAGTGCCCTGGCTCAAGACTAAGATAAGATATGGTAAACTATGAAATATAAGCCAAATTTAAGAAGAGTCGAGCCTCAAAATATAATGTTGGAGTCAATAAAGATGCTATCTTTCACATTAGTTGGTAGGAAAACTGAGGTCTTCCTAATAAAATTAAAATCAAATATCTATATCTGTATCTGTAATCACCTAGGCATGGAAACAATTTTATTAGGATATTTCTCTGTTGAGGGAAAGGCATCAGGCTGCAGCATAATACAATAACCTTGATTTTTCAGTCATTAGATGACAACAGGTCAACTTTGCCATTTGTCAAAACGTAAGTTTCACAAACGTAACACTAAGAAATAAAATTTAAAAAATAAAATTCACATAATGTTTGGAGGTGTCCTATCCCATAAGGTGGTAAGAAATTTAAAGCTAACCACATCCAATGGTAGGATGGATTTAAAGAAGAGTCAACATCCAAGTCAACATGGATTTATTTTCTCCAGATTTTCCTCTGAAAATATGCTAAGGGGAAAAAAAACAAGAAGATGCTAAAAGGAGTGATTTACACATTTTATGTTAGCACTTCTGTATATGGCATTAACTCTGCCAGAAAATATATACATTTAGGTTTCATATAATGCTTTTGATATTGATGGCCTGTAAAATTACACCAATAAAAAAAATCAATGTATTAAAAATACTTAGGTGACAGGGAAATAGGTCATTGTCACTTTACAATTGCTTTTACTTTACACATTCTAAGTCCATTGTTGAAATGTGTCTACGGTTAGACAAAGAAATTTTTCTATGAATCTTTGAATAAGGCCTTCTCACCATACCCACTCAGATTTTTATTTTTTTAGTGGAGAACGAATGTTGACAGAGAAAAGGTATTAGATTTATATATCCATTAAAACCATTTCTAATTATTTCTAAAGTATTTTTTAATTCTAAAATTAAAAATTATTTTAGAAATGCATAGTCATTGGAGAATTTAGTCGTGTTAAAGACATGCAATTATCTTGGCTAAAAATTGTAGAAGTACTCTCTGGCCCTGAGTGAACAAAGTGTAAGATTGCATGATGCTTTTTACTATTGTTCCTTAGAATGGAGCTTGATTTTAAAATATGCTATGTTCAGAGGATTCTGCCTTCTGATGTGGACTATAAGATAACGGAATTCTGTCTCTAGAGTATTGCTTTCCTGAGTGACCCATCCCTACCCAGTAGTGATTTATTTCCTGGAGGGCAGAAAGATTACAGAACAGGTTGCAAAATTATTTTGTGCTATTTTCTTGTTGTTGTTGCTGTTGTTGCTGTTTTTGTTGTTGTTGTTGTTGTTGTTGTTGTTTTTTTGAGATGGAGTCTCACTCTGTCACCCAGGGTGGAGTGCAGTGGTGAGATCTCGGCTCACTGCAACCTCTGCTTTGTGGGTTCGAGTGATCTGTAGTTTACTTTTCTTACAACTTAATAGTAAGAATATGATAGGGTGATGTACAGTCTTTACCCACCTGAACTGTCCCTAGTATCTCCCCAAAAGATCACGCATTACCTCATTGGCTTCGGTCAGTCAGCAATCATCCTGTCTCAGATCACGCCAACCATACTAATTTGCTCAGGCAACCGTAACAAAGTATCACACCCTGGGTGGCTTCTACAATAAAAATTCGTTTTCTTACAATTGTGGAAGCTGGAAGTCTGAGATCAATGGGCCAGCAGGGTAGATTCCTTCTGAGGCTTCTGTCCTTGCCTTGCAACAGCATCTTCTCCCTATGTCTTCACGTGGTCTTTCTTCTGTCCGTGTCTGAGTTCAAATTTTCTCTTCTTGTAAGGACATCAGTCATATTGGATTAGGGCCCACTGTAATGTGTTATAACTTAATTGCTTTCTAAAGACAAATTATTTTTTCTTTTTCTTTTTTTTTTTTTTTTTTTTTTGAGACAGAGTCTCGCTCTGTCACCGAGGCTAGAGGGCAGTGGCATGATCTCGGCTCACTGCAAGCTCCGCCTCCCGGGTTCATGCCATTCTCCTGCCTCAGCCTCCTGAGTAGCTGGGACTACAGGCGCCCGCCACCATGCCCAGCTAATTTTTTGTATTTTTAGTAGAGATGAGGTTTCACCATGTTAGCCAGGATGGTCTCGATCTCCTGACCTCATGATCCCCCCGCCTTAGCCTCCCATAGTGCTGGGATTACAGGCATGAGCCACTGTGCCCGGCCTAAAGACACTATCTTTAAATGCAGTCATGTTCTGAAGTACTGGCGGATTAGGAGTTCAATATATGAGGAAGACATCATCCATCCATGACACCAAACTTAGTTGAGTGTACAGAAAACAATTTATAATTGAAAGGTGTGAGAACTGCTATCTCTCTCTTTCTCCCCTCACTCTCCCTTCCTGAATTTTTACTGCGGGCAGGTAGAAGGGCTGTTTAAGTGACAGGGTCTTGCTCTATCTCCCAGGATGGAATGCAGTGGCACCATCATAGTTCACTGCAGCCTTGACCTCCTGGATTTAAGCTATCCTTCTGCCTCAGCCTCCTGAGTAGCTGGGACTACAGGCACACACCATGGTGCCCAACCAGAAAGATTATATTTTTCCCTAAATAACAGCTCAATGGTGACAGCTTTTCTTTTCCTTCATGCATGCCAGCCTCCTTAAAGAGTGGGGGCTTCAGGCCAGGTGTGGTGGCTCATGCCTGTAATCTCAGCACTTTGGGAGGCCAAGGTGGGTGGATCACGAGGTCAAGAGATCGAGACCATCCTGGCCAACATGGTGAAACCCCGTCTCTACTAAAAATATAAAAATTAGCTGGGCATGGTGGTGTGCACCTGTAGTCCCAGCTACTCGGGAGGCTGAGGCAAGAGAATTGCTTGAATCCAGGAGGCGGAGGTTGCAGTGAGCTGAGATTGCGCCACTACACTCGAGCTTGCCAATTAGAGCGAGACTCTGTCTAAAAAAAAAAAAAAAGTGGGGGCTTCTTGCCACATACCTGGCTTCCAAATGATGGCTGTCTTCCCATTTTGGCACCTTAAATGGTCCTCGGTATTCATTTGGATTCAGGGTTCCTGCTGAGACTGTACTCATTTTCTTCCCAGTACCCCTTGCCTCCAGGAGACATCTTGCAGGCCTCTCATTGATCCATCCCTTTGTGCCAATAATTAGTTGCTTAATGAGGTGAAGAAGTGGCCAGTGAACACAGCCTCCAGCTTGGAAATCCATCATGCCAAACAGCTTTATATTCTCCCAGAATCTTGGATCCTTGAACAAAACTGATTTTATTCTTGATTGTTACTATGCTGATATTTGCAGCTAGGCCATGGCCTTTAGGAATATAATAAATTTCTGAAAAATGGTATTTATCTCTGCTATTAACATATTACATAAACTTGGGAACCCTGATATTTTACATTATTTTTAAACAACTTTATTGAGATATAATTGACACAGATTAAAGTGTTCAAATGATAAATTTTGACATTTCTATACCAGTGAAGCCATTACCACAGTCAGTAGAGTGAACATATCCATCACCTGCAGAATTTTACTCATGCTTTTATTCCCTCACTCCTGCTTTGACCCACAGCCACTTCCCTGTCGCCACCACTCATTTGTTCCTATAGATGAGTTTGTATTTTCTAGAAAATATATGAATGAAATCGTAGACTGTGTATTCTTTTTATCTCACTTTTTTCACTCAGTATAATCTGAGATTCATCCCCAGTGTTATATAGATCAATGGTATACTCTTTTAAATTGTTAACTAGTACCTGGTTGTATGGGTTTACCAGATTTTTTAAATCTATTCATCTGTTCATAGGCACTTTGATCATTTCCGGTTTTTAGCCATTTCAAAACAAGTTGCTATAAACACACCACTGCACTCCAGCTTGGGTGACAAAGCGAGACTCAGTCTCTAAAAAGAAAAAAATTGCCATAAATATTAACGTACAAGTCTTTATACAGATATGTGTTTTCATTTCTCTTGAGTTAATAGGATGTGAATAAATGGGGTGGAATGGAAGAATCATGTTATAGATATACATAACTTTCTAAGAAAACATCAAAGTGTCTTCCAAAGTGGTTGTATCATATAATAGTTTTCTATTGCCAGTAGCAAATTATAGAATTTGCGTAGGTTGAGTGTCCCTGGTCCAAAATGCTTGAGACCAGAAGTGTTTTGGATTTCAGATTTTTTTTAGATTTTGGAATATTTGCATATACATAATGAGATATCTTGGGGATGGAAACCAAGTCTAAACACAAAATTTATTTGTGCTTTATGGGCATCATATACATATGCCCTAAAGGTAATTTCATACAATATTTTTAATTTTGTACACAAAATAACTGTGTACATTGACCATCAGAAAGCAAAGGTGGCAGTTGTTCAGTTGTGGAATTTTCCACTTGTGGTGTCATGTTGCCAATCAACAAGTTTTGAATTTTGAAGCATTTTGGATTTTGGATTGTCAGATTAGGGACTCTCAACCTGTACCAAAAAACTAGTAACCAAAGCAAAATCAAATTTATTATCTTATAGTTCTGTATGCCAGAAGTCTGATACAAGTGCCATGAGACTAAGAACCCAGCTGTTGCCCGGGCTGCTTTCTTTTCTGGAGGCTCTAGGGGAGAGTCTGTTTTGTTGACTTTTCTAGCTTCCATAGGCTGTTCATGTTCCTTAGCTCCTGGCACTCTTCCTCCATCTGTCTGATTGCTGTTATTTGCTTAAGCCAGTTACTTGATATAAGTGTAGAAGAGTTAGTGTCCCTTAGGAATCCTCAAAACTTGACCATCATAAGGATATTAATTTCAACCCAGCCCAGCCTTTCACATATTTTTGTTTAAGATTACATGAGAAAACAGCTGAAGTGCTTTGCAAGTTATTTAATATTGTACAAATACAAGGTGATGTTTTCTGTTTCAAGTTTCTTATTTCACAGATGGGGAATTTGAGGCTCTCATGAGTTAAGTGATGCATGCAAGGCTATAAAATTTGTCCAGTCGCAGTGCCTGAATGGAGCACCACCTTCTATTTCCTCAGCCTCTGAAACGGGTACTATTTTATACATACACACACACACACACACACACACACATACACACACACACATATATATATACACACAGTTTAAATTCTGGGATACATGATGTGCAGAACGTGCAGGTTTGTTACATAGGTATACATGTGCCATGGTGGTTTGCTGCACCCATCAACCCGTCATGTACATTAGATATTTCTCCTAATGCTATTCCTCCCCTTCACCCCCACCCACTGATAGGTCCCGGTGTGTGATGTTCCCTTCCCTGTGCCCATACGTTCTCATTGTTCAACTCCCATTTATTTGTTTGTTTGTTTGTTTGTTTGTTTGTTTGTTTTAAGATGGAGTCTCGCTCTGTCGCCCGGGCTGGAGTGCAATGGCGCGATCTTGGCTCACACTGCAAGCTCCACCTCCCGGGTTCACGCCATTCTCCTGCCTCAGCCTCCTGAGTAGCTGAGACTACAGGTGCCTGCCACCACCCCCAGCTAATTTTTTGTATTTTTAGTAGAGACGGGGTTTCACCACGTTGGCCAGGATGGTCTCAATCTCCTGACCTCGTGATCCGCCCACTTCAGTCTGCCAAAGTGCTGGGATTACAGGAGTGAGCCACCGCTCCCAGCCTTCAACTCCCACTTATGAGTGAGAACATGCGGTGTTTGGTTTTCTGTTCCTGCGTTAGTTTGCTGAGAATGATGGTTTCCAGCTTCATCCAGGTCCCTGCAAAGGACATGAACTCATCTTTTTTATGGCTGCATAGTATTCCACAGTGTATATGTGCCACATTTCTTTATCCAGTCTATCATTGATGGGCATTTGGGTTGGTTCCAAGTCTTTGCTCTTGTGAATAGTGCTGCAATAAACACACGTGTGCATGTGACCTTATAGTAGAATGATTTATAATCCTTTGGATATATACCCAGTATATGCAAATATTCCAGCAAAATACCATTTGCTGGGCCAAATGGTATTTCTGGTTCTAGATCCTTGAGGAATTGTCACACTGTCTTCCACAATGGTTGAACTAATTTACACTCCTACCAACAGTGAAAAGTGTTCCTAATTCTCCACATCCTCTCCAGCATCTGTTGTTTCCTGACTTTTTAATGATTGCCATTCTAACTGTCATGAGATGGTATCTCATTGTGGTTTTGATTTGCATTTCTCTAATGACCAGTAATAATGAGCTTTTTTTCATGTTTGTTGGCCCCATAAATGTCTTCTTTTGAGAAGTGACCATTCACTTTTTGATGGGTTTGTTTGTTTTTTCTTGTAAATTTGTTTAAGTTCCTTGTAGATTCTGGATGTTAGCCCTTTGTCAGATGGATAGATTGCAAAAATTTTCTCCCATTCTGTAGGTTGCCTGTTCACTCTGATGATAGTTTATTTTGCTGTGCAGAAGCTCTTTAGTTTAATTAGATCCCATTTGTCAATTTTGGCTTTTGTTGCAATTGCTTTTGGTGTTTTAGTCATAGAGTGTTTGCCCACGGCTACATCCTGAATGGTATTGCCTAGGTTTTCCTCTAGGACTTTTATGGTTTTAGGTCTTACATTTAAGTCTTTAATCAATCTTGAGTTAATTTTTGTATAAGGTATAATGAAGGAGTCCAGTTTCATTTTTCTGCATATGGCTAGCCAGTTTTCCCAACATCATTTATCAAATAGGGAATCTTTTCCCCATTGCTTGTTTTTGTCAGGTTTGTCAAAGATCAGATGGTTGCAGACGTGTGGTGTTATTTTTAAGGCCTCTGTTCTGTTCCATTGGTCTATATATCTGTTTTGGTACCAGTACCATGCTGTTGGGGTTACTGTAGTCTTATAGTATAGTTTGAAGTCAGATAGCATGATGAACAGGCACTAATTTTTAACTCTCAAAAATCCTAGAAAAATTACTCCAGATTGGGTATCTGGTATTAGTGGTGTGGCCTCAGTTTCTAACATACCTGGGAAATTAGAAGGAAGGCCCCATCTGGGAGAGTTCAATCACGTCCTAAGGAGTGACTCAGGGCTGGGCCCAAGTGACTTGTGAGTGATTTAGGTCATCCTAATGCTTGAATGGTGAACAACACTATTTACACAGTGGTGGTGGTGTTTTTTTTTTTTTTTTTTTTTTTTTTTTTTTTTTTTTTTTTTTTTTTTTTTGCTTAATAGGCAAGCCACAATTATTCCATGTTTCTAAAACAAAATATAAAATCAATTTTTAGGAAAGATATCAAATACACATTTGTTGCTGTTGTTCTCTTATTGCTTTTGTAATTGACATAAAGTACTCTCCTGTGACTTGATTCAGCAATAACTAATTTACATTTTTATTTTCTGGAAAACTTTCTGAAGCACCAATACTTGGTCTATATATGAATCTTAACTGTTGCTGCTTTGGCTTTTAATATATACTAGAGGTCTCTGAAACAGAACCTTTTCAGGAGCTTCCTGAGGGAAAATTGTTCATCTGGATTGGCACAGTGCTACTCCCAAATTGCAGGAGATCCTAGGAATCTATATTTAGATTTCAAGAAATTTGATGCATGAGAATGCAAAGCCAAATTGCTTTTTCTCAATTTGTTCTGTCAGTATCAGCAATGCGAAAGTTACAATTAGGAATATGACTTCAGTAAAACTTCATTAATCCAAAGGCCACTGATTTGATATTTTTCATCACATGGGTTGAGGCTGAAGTTTACCTTTTCACTCTTGAAGACTATTGGGTTTGCTATTTTTATAATCTTACAGAGGGCACAAATTTAACTCAATTTAGAAAGAAGTGCAGAGAATCATTTGAAAGGATTTAGGAAAAGTCTGGGGAAAGTGAAACAAGCCAGTAGCTGTCATTTCCTGTTGTCCAGGACCTAAGGAGCCCCCTCTCTCTCACTCACTGGCCCATCAATCCTCCTCAGAGACTCAGAGCCCACATTAAGATATATGATTTACTCTACCATTGAGAGGTAAAAAGTTGCCTCTCCCTTGGAAATTAACATTTTGAAGGTCAACCAAAGCCATACGTTTTGAGATGAGGCTCAGAGAATGTAGTTTCTACTTTTTTCCAGGGAGATAAACATTTTGTTAGAAGTTAACCTTTAAAACCTTTTCTCCTTTCACCAATTCAGCAAATGCACCCACAGTGTATCAGGAAGAGTGTTAACTGTTGCCAGTGAAGAAAGTAAACACACGAAGACAGAGTCCTGAATTCACAGCCTTGATTGTACGGTTCCTTCTGCGTCCTTGACTTCTGCAGCAGGGTAAAGGGAAGGGTAGTGGTGGTATGTAGGTGCCACTGTAGCATTTCAGTCTTCTGCCTGGCTACCTTAGATGGTCATGAATGTTAAAAGGCTGAACACACACACACATACACACACACACACGTCAACCTTAAATAATGAGATTAAGAATATGTGATTAAATGTACAGTTTATTCATACAAAAAGCTTGAAGATGACTGCCCAGGAAGCACAGACTCTAAAGACTGGATGTCACTGTTCTGAAGTGTAGAAGTTTGGGGTTGTCTTTATAGGCAGGGTTTAGGGAAACTTAGCAGGATTCCAACATCTTTCTATAGAGGCTTACTGCATAGTTATAATGATCTGATTGGTCAAGGTGTTTTTTTTTTCTCTCTCTCTCTCGGGAGAGGTATGTTTAACATTCCACACTGAAGATGTAACAGTCACGAAGTCTTTTGTGTCACCTGGTCTGAGTTAGGTACAGGACAGTAAGGGCAACAGTTAATCTGTAACAAAGGTAAGTAATTAGAAGGGGAGGATGTCTGGCCTTTGGTCTCTCCTAGTCACTTACAAAACAAGAACACTAAGAAAGAGTAAATCTATAATCTAAGAAGAAGTAGTTACAACTACATGCTCTATGACTCAGATCACACAATCACATGTCTCTGAAGACTGAAAGTGTTTTAGGTGTTCCAACAACTTTTAAATTTTACTTTCTAACATAGGAACACACAATTGCAGTGATAAATAATAGTGAGATGATGATAAGGAAGTGTGATAAATACACAGTCACTTCAGGAGCTCACGAGACAGGCACATGAGCAGGTTATCATTGAGATGAGAATTGAAGTGCATGACAAGGAGGAGCCCTTATGAATAATGGACCCTAGAGCTATTCCTAGTGCAAGGACATGTGAGAAAACGTGGGGAGAAGAAGGCACGTGGTAGGTCTGCCGTTTCTAGGGAACTCTAGGAATTTCAGGGCAAAGGGTTGTTTGGAAAGGATAAAGAGCTAGGAGAGGATGGTGAAGACCAGTTCATAAAGGACCTTTTAAGTCTTGCCAAAAGGATACCTGCTTTTATTTCAAAGGAAATAAAA
Source organism: Homo sapiens (assembly GCF_000001405.40). Lineage (NCBI taxonomy): Eukaryota > Metazoa > Chordata > Mammalia > Primates > Hominidae > Homo > Homo sapiens. The sequence goes on along the minus strand of NC_000008.11, from coordinate 24,575,169 downwards.
TTTAAGGTAGCTAGTTAAAAAAATCAGTTTAAATTTAGATATTTCACTTTGACAGGATTGTTGGGTGGTGATTTGAGGAAAAAATGCTAACAGAAGTAAGCAGTATGGCCTCTATTGTAGTAATGCAGGTGGGTAATGAGCTGCCCTATGATGTAATCAACAAGAATGCACAGTAAGAGCAGATTGAGTTCTATGTGGGAGGCTGAGTTGCTTGCACTTGGAAATTGATAGATTTAAGAGGTGAGGAAGAGGATGACTAGGTGAACAGGAGTAGGGGGTTGGAATGTAAATTCAGCTTGAATATACAGAAATGCATGTGGAAGTTTTCAAGTATACATATTCTGGTGCCCTGCTTTGACTCAATATTCTCAGATAAAGTTACTCATTCATAATATAAATATTTCCCAAAATTACAACAATTAATTTGAGGAGCAAAGTCTCAGAATATTTATTATTTTTCAAGAAATTTGAAGTGCATGTTGTCCACCTACAGATAAATCCTGTGTTGATTAAACTTGCATTGTCTGTTTCCCCAATTTTACTCTTTGCTTTAGTGTACAGACTATGACAGACACTGTTGTTGCCTAACCAGTACTCATTTCCAAGCACTGCTAGCCCTTGCTGCCTTCACACTGAGAATGGAAACTGCATAGTTCACTACCTTCCCTGCAGCAGTGGTGGCCATGTGGTACAATTTTAGACAATGACACAAAACAAAATCTTCTGGGGGCTTCTCATTTCTGACAAAAAGAACAAATAACTTTGGTACTATATTTTCCTCTCTTCTTTTCGCTTTGTTGAAATACCTAAAGTGGGAATTGTCATCTCGCATTCATGAGAACCCCAGGGACCCTGTAACTTGTGTTGTTAAGCTGCTAGGACAGTTTCAATTACTTGAAACTTTTCATCGGGTGAGAATTTTTAAAAAAAGCTCTCATTTGTTGATGTCATGTTAGTCAGGTTTCCAGGTATTGGCAGCTCTGTGCTATCCTAATATCCATCCCTGCCCAGAGCTTTAGTTACAACATATAATCACTTTAAAAGTTGCAATAAAGAATTCCATGAAAATAACCAAATTCACTAATGAAATATCCCCACCCTTCAAAAAGAATCTCTGATCCTGAGGAACACATGCAATAAACTATATCCCAAATTCATGGCTCAGATTCTCCAATTGTACTAACTGTATAGGTGAACTGGATATAGCAGAAGTAGGAAAAATCAGCCCTGATAACTGGACATGTCATGGAATTGAAAGAAACTGAAAAATAATGGATTGGGGGTGGACAGGAGGGATACAGCATAGTGACATCTGTGCCTCTAAGTATTTATTGAGGTCCACTGAAATAACCACATGATCTCATTTAATCTAAGAAAAGAGAAGAAAATGAAGACAAAAAGTCCTGATCACTTATTTCTGTCCTCCCCCTGGTGTAGTCCTAGCAGAGTCTGGGTGCGTCTGTGATAAAGACGATCTTAGAAAACATATGTATTAGTTAAATTTAACACAATGATGTTACATGACAAGCCATTCCCAAACTCACTGGCTTAAAGCAAATGTTTTTTATTGCTCAGGAGTCTATGGGTCAGCTTGACAGTTTTTCTAGACTGAATAGGGCCCCCTCATATGTCTATGATCAGTTGCTGGTCAGCTGGGCAGTTGTGGTTGTCTCAGCTGGACTTTTTCACAGGCCTGATGCCTTGGCTGGGACGATTGAACTCAGCTCTGGTTCATGTGGTCTCTGGCTCTCCATCCAGCGATCTTGATCATGTTCTTTTGGAGGCAGAGGTCCAAGAGAAACAGTGGAATTGTGCAAGGTCACTGGAGTCCTGAGCTTGGCTCAGTGTTCCATCCCTTTCTATTAACCAAAGCAAGTCACAAAGCCAGACTAAATGCAAGGGGTGGGGCAATAATTAGTGTTCACTTGATGAGAGAAGCTGCAAGGTTACATTGGAAAGGATGTGGATACAGGGAGGGGTGAATAAACAGGCCATTTTTGTCATTAATCTACTTCAGTAACCACACGTCAGAATGTAGAGTTGAATTAGATGATCTTTAAAAGATCCTTTTTACCCTAGAGTGGAAACTAATGGAACTTGAAAGGAATTAATGGTTATATTTGTCTCAGAATGGTGTCTCCTGAAAGATTTTTACTCTCCGATGTTTCTGATAGCAATAATTGTTGATTTGTGTTCTTAGGGATACATGTCCAAGTATATCAGTTTGGTCCTCCAAGAAGCAGACAGCAAGATAGAATTAGGTATACAATAGATTCACAGGAAATGCCTGAGAAAGAAAGGGAAAGCTTTCAAACTGTGGTGCTAGTCAGATATCTGTGCAAAGAAAGAGGAAGAGGAGGATTAGGTAGGGACAACCTCAGATCTCAGTCCAGTTCTGGAAAGAAAATGTTGGCCATGTCAATATGTAGGATTGGCCCAGTGCTAATATCTCTGCTAGGCCCACTTATCAGCTGGAAGTGAAACATAGGAAGTGTGTCCCGGTGTGAATCTGAAGGTATATCTCAAAGTGCAGCAGCTGGAAGTTGCCAGTCACCTATGCTCTCCACAGCAGATTCTCTTGAAGTGAGATCTGAGTGGATCAATCCCACAGTTACCACATAAGAAGAATATAAAATATAATGAATGTTCAAATATGGGTGGGACCAAATTATATCTATATTGGTCATATTATTGTATTCAAGCTGGTGCACTGTGCTGTTATATGAAAGTGCACTCACATTGTCAGTGGGGAGGGTACTATTAAGGAAAAAAAATACTCTTCTTATGTGTTGTACATTGTTATAAGGATCTCTCCAACCAGCCTCTTCTACTCTCTACCTCCCAAACATGGTGGTTGTTAAGTCTCACCTATTATTTATGCTGTGTTCTCTGTGATGTCTGTCATTTCTCCTCCACCTGACACCCGAACTTCCAAGTTCTACCTGAGTACCACCTCTATGACCCCTCAAACAGCAAACCCCTCCCTTCGAATGCCTAAGAAATATCGTTACCTTATGACTGTTTTCCACTTAACATATATACCCATATGTATCCTTATAATATTAGTTAGCTTTCTATGGTCACTTAGAATTTACGTTATTTGAGGATAGGAACTATGAGCTTTTGCAGATTACTCTATTTGTAATTTCTCTTCTTTTGTTTTGTTGGGTAATGTTGGGGGAGAAAAGGAAACAGTAGAAAGCCACCTGAAGCCACCTGGAGATTTTCCATATAATCAGTGTATGTATGAAATGTAGGATAGAAAAGTAAAGATTGCTTGGTGTCTGGGAAGGAATTCCAAATCTTCAGACTATGCTTATCTGCAGATACAATCTTATATTTGTGTACTGCTTATAGTCACAAAGAGACTATGTAGGGAGTATCTAAGGGATTTGGGGAACTGGTAGGTCTCTGTCTCCTGGAATTTCTCAGTTCCACACCTTTGCTGATTCTAGCTCACACCTCTGGACAGCTCTCCATCCCCACTGTCATCATCCCACTGGGGGTGGATGAGTGTGACAGCTTCCTAATTTGTCTGGCTGCTTTTATTCCAATCCATTACTTACATATCATCTAGAGTCATTTTATAAATTTATAAATCAGAAATGTCATTTATCTGTGTGAAACCATTATTGATTAGGAATCTGAAAACATTCAGATTCCAGATATTTAGCATATTATCATTTTCTCTTAGAAGTTTCCAATATTTTCTTTATATACTATATTAAAGTATTGTAACTCAGCAGACCTTTTACATGTGGAAACTCATTTCCTCAACTCTAGGAATTTTCCTGTATTATTGCTTTTATGACTTTTCCCTCTCCTTTTTCTTTGTTTCAAAATTCTACTGGAATGAACTTTTAGTTTTCTTCAATTTTAATCCTAATTTCCATCCTACAATATCCTTACTAAGGAGATGGAAATTATGTACTAGATAGTTATTCCCCAAACTAGCTTTTGAGGGATTGGTTTGAATAAGCTTTACCCCAGGGGCTATTTTTAACATACTTTACTTTCCAATTAATTTTTTCTCTGTCTCTTCAATAGTTCCATACACCTTATCTTGAACAGATAGGCTTACTAAGAGCTTAACTTAAAAATTAACCCAGAAATATGTTCATGTCATTTTATTTTTCCTTCAAAGCAGTGAAATAAACTGGGTGGTTAGAAGTGGGGGTAAAATGCAATGTAATATAAATTTAGAAAGTAGGTCAGGTCCTACTTCTGTGTCAAGGATAAAAAATGAATCTAAGATTCAGAAAGGGGTTATTCAGCAATTGACACAAAGAGAGAGCTCCCTAAAGTCTAAGTCGTTTGTCATTTAGTTATGGAATTCAGGAATTCTAATCAAGAGCATAAACTCCAGGGAAGGTAACTCTCACCTATTCATTGTAGAACTAACAAGAAGTAATAAGATTTCTGGAATGTAGTCGGTGAGAGGAAGAAAATAGAGAGAGGGAGGGAGGAGACCCGTGAACAGGCAGCATGGGGTAATGGGAAAATCACTGGATTAGAAACTAAATTCTGGTTCTGCACTGTAACCGAGGGCAAGACAACACTGTCTGCCTGAGCCTCAGGATCTTTCATAAAATATGAGAATAAAATAAACCATAATATTTGCCTCATCATTGAAAAGTATACATTTCAATTAAAAATTAATAGTTATGATTGAGGAATTATTCTAATTTGAAATAGAATCCATAATATGGAAATGCTAATTGTATTGTTTCATATATCTTTTTTTTCGGATTAGAAAACTGTCAATAAATAAAAGGGAAGGATCTGGAAGTAGATAAAACAAAAACTTCTTAATGTTGTCCCACTAAACATAAACACAGTTTAGTTGAGAATTTATGATGACCATATAGAGAGAAATTGATGTCTTCAAAAATTGCAGCGACCTTTTTCAAGAATAATTGGGAAAAAATAGGATGAGTTTAACAAATTGAAGCATTTGCACATGATTCTTTGTACTCTCACATGATCTAGGGAATATTTTACCCAAGACAGAAATAGGTAGTATGTAAGTTCTGAAGAATATTTCTTATAATAATTAAAAAATTAACCAAGTGTTGTTAGCTGATGAAAAACATTATTAGAGAGGCTGTAAAGTTTTATTTAATGAACTGATGACCCACTTGGCTGGTATCATTAGGATACCATGTGGTAGCTAACAAGTCTAGGCAGACTCTGGGGAACCCCTCTAGCTCCAAGAATCTTTAATAGAATATAGGTTAATCATTACCTTCTAAACCATTCCCCAAGTAAATTATATTTAGAATATTAGAACATTTGTGATTTACACCTCTGTATCTTTCTATATGCTGTTGCCTCCGGACAAGTGTTCTCCTTTATTCTTTACCCAATCTTTGTACCTTCAAAACTCAACGTATGTCATTTCTCAGATAAGCTTTTACTGACATCTTCTTTTTATTTAAATGCAAGCCCTCTATGCTCACATACCACCACCTACATGGTATGGTAACTGTTACACTCTGGAAATGGTGGGTCATTACTGTGTGTCTTCCCATGGACTACACAAACACAAGGATAGGATCTCATATGTTTACATTTTTCCAGTTTCTAGCACACTATCTCGTATGCTAGTAATCCAGATTAAACCAAGGAAGTAAATAAAAAGAGCGTGGAATTTATAATAGGAAGACCTGGAGTTGAGCTGAAGTTCAGTTCATTTCTAGCTATCTTACTTTGGGGATATCAATTAATCCCTCAGATGATCAGTTTTTCAGTTCTCAAATGGAGATACCAAGAATAACTTTGTTATATACTTATTGAGATGCAAATATGAGATTACATAAAGCCATTTTGTAAACACAAAATGTTATATTAACATTAACATAATTGTTCTACAGAAGGAAAGAGGTATCAAAACTTCTTGATCTCATGATAACATGCAAATGCTGGTATCAAATGCCTGTGTATTTTTAAAGCCTCAGATCCCTCTACAAACATGTTTCAAAACAAATTACATTATGGAAGACAAAACTCTCCAAATGCCTTATTAACAACACTGGAGAAGAAAGGGATGTTTGGGTGCAGTGTGGGGCAAGAGTGAACTTAATCTGCAACCACTGTCAGTGAAGGGGAATAGGGACAGAGAAGCCAGAAGTGGTATAGATTGATTTTACCAGTCTTTAGACAGATAATTAGAAAACATTTCCATAGAGTGTTTGAGTAAAGAAATTCCTACTGAGAAGTCATAAATATGATCATAAATATCCTATTGTCTAAAAGCTAACATTTATAGAAAAACTAATAAACTAGTTTTGGTGTCTTTTTTTCTTTCGGTTGTAGAATAAAAACACCCAGCAACTTTTGAAAAAGATGACATGACTTACGGTTTGTGGTTACTTTGAAATAAAATTATTTTGTCAGTATTCATCTATGTGTAAAGAGGTTGTGAGTAAGAGCCATTGGATATGAGTTCAGAAGATCTGAAAGCAAACTCCATGTAGAAGTAAAAAAATGAAGAATGACATTTATTTTATTTATCGAAAAAGCCAAGTCAGGACTTCTTAGGGATGGGATGGAGAATTTCGTAGCAGACCAGTGTTCCCACTGAGACAAACTAGACAAGTCAGATAAGATACAATTTTTATAGCTATAATAATGTGAGAGAACCACAGAACTATGAGGACTACAGAGTAATGTTCTAGGCAGAGAAACACTTTTAGAAGGTGAAATTAAGACTTTCAGTTCTTTGTGGACATTATCTGATTCTGTCCACGGGGCTGAAACTGAGAATCGAAGTGCAGCCCAGACTGTGAACCAGAGGTAATCTTAGCAGTCATGAAGGGTTTCAGGGACAGATTTAGAGGTGTGAAAGTCCTCAAACAGATGGCTAGTTTTCCTTTTAATACATTTGCTTCACTCCAAATCTGCATGGGAGAGGAGGCTAAAGAATTAAGCCCAGATCTCAGAAACGCTGAGTGGAATTTTTCAGTCTCGTTACTCAGCAAACAAATATGTACTAGGGACAGTACACACATACTAAAAATAAGAGAGGAGAGCTAAAATACCCCCCTCCCCCCATGATGGTAAACTGACATGGATACAAAACTCCTGTTTCTTTGTTCATAGAGGTACTTGAATATCTGGATATAGCTACAATCTTAAAATCCAAGCTTGACCTCTAGAAGCCGACCATTGCTGTAGACAAAGAAGCCAGAGGGATGTTTGACATTTGCTCAGAACTTGAGTGATAAAATTGGAAAGTTGAAGGCCTTTAAACACAGCTGGTCTCCTCCTCAAGACCATTGTCAAATTCTAATATGTGGGATGGGAGACTAAAGCACTAAGCTGAAAACCTTGTGAAAATCAGAGCAGAGATTCCTGCAGCTTCTCATTGCTGAGGAGACAAAAACTCACAATGATTGCAACTGAAATCCCTGAAGGGCTGTATCCTAGGAACAGCTATAAAAAAGAAGTTGGCTGCATCTTAACAAACTGCAACACGGTGTTATCTGGAGTATTCTTTGTGGACATTATCTGATACTGTCCATGGAGTTGAAACTGAGACTCGAAGTGCAGCCCAGGCTGTGAACCAGAGGCAGTCTTAGCAGTCATGAAGGGTTTCAGGGACAGATTTAGAGGTGTGAAGGTCCTCAAACAGATGGCTTTGAAATAATCAGTCTCCTTTTAACCATTTAACAGAATAAAGGGGAATCCTCTCTTGTGGAAGACAAAACCATTTAAAGTATCTATATTTTTTTAACCCTTTACGTGTCATTCAATAAAAAATTCCTAGATATGTGAGGAGATAGGATCATAGGACCGAACTCTAAGATGAAATTGACCATAGAAACAATCCAACAAGGAATCCATATATCAAAGTTAGCACACAAGTTCTTTAACTGATCAGGATGTTCAAAAAATGAACAGAGAAAAATGGAAAGAGTGCAGAATTTCAACACAGAATTGGAATCTGTATAGAAAATCAAGTGGATGTTCTTAAACTGAACAATAGAATTTGTGAATGGATGAGTTTAACAGCAAATTAAATATACCAGAAGACAGAGTGATGACCAAGAGGAACAGCTGATAGAAAATACCCAAAATGCAGAGAGGAATATGAATTGAAAAAATAGAGCACAGTATAAGAGACATATGAGTCATGCTCAAAAAGTGTAACGTGTACTTGGTTTTTGGGTGGGAAAGAAGAGAAAATGGAAAGCAAATAGTTTTTAAGGAAACGATTGTTGAAAAAACTTCAAAATTTATGAAAAAACATCAGCCTATGGCTTCAGATAACTTAGGGAAACCCAGGTTGGCAAATATGCATTAAACAATAGGAACATGATAGTCAAATTGTTAAAAAAACAAAGAGAAAGAGAAAATCTTAAAAGTAGTCATAGGAAAAAACAGCACATTAACTTTAAAGGATCAACTGACAGTTGATTTTTCTGTGAAAGAAGTAAGAAAAAAATACAATGGTATCTTAAGAGCGCTGAAACACGAATAACTGCCAACCTAGAATTTTACACCCAGCAAATATATCCTTCAAAGATGAAGGTGAAAGTAAAGACATATTCAGAATAAAACCAAGTAAATTTGTCACCAGCAGACCTACATTAAACAAAATACAAGAGAGGTCTACAGGAATAATTAATGATTTCAATGGAAATATGGAAAAGCAGGAAAGAATGAGAAGCCTGTTAGAGTATATATGTGAATAAATGTGAGGAAATTGACTGCAGAAAAGAAAACTCCTAATGTCTGTGAGGATCTAGAACTAGAAATACCATTTGATCCAGCGATCCAATTACTAGGTATATACCCAAAGAGTTATAAATCATGCTACTATAAAGACACATGCACACATATGTTTACTGCAGCAATGTTCACAATAGCAAAGACTTGGAACCAACCCAAATGTTCATCAATGATAGACTGGATAAAGAAAATGTGGCACGTATACACCATGGAATACTATGCAGCCATACAAAAGGATGAGTTCATGTCCTTTGCAGGGACATAGATGAAGCTGGAAATCATCATTCTCAGCAAACTAACACAGGAACAGAAAACCAAACACCGCATGTTCTCACTCATAGGTGGGAATTGAACAATGAAAACACTTGGACACAGGGCAGGGAACATCACACCCTGGGGCCTGTCATGGGGTAGGGGGCAGGGTGAGGGATAGCATTAGGAAAAATACCTAATGTAAATGATGAGTTAATGGATGAAGCAAACCAACATGGCACATGTATACCTATGTAACAAAACTGCACGTTGTGTACATGCACCCTAGAACTTATCATTTAAAAATATATATAATATATGGAATTAAAATGTGTGATAAATGTAACATGAAATGCATAAGGGGTAATTTTAGTTAAAGTATTGTAAATTCCAGAATTATTAGGAGGTGATAAAAGTAATATTTATACTGCATTATACTCACTCAAAAATGCCTGCTATGATACCATAGCAGTAGTAACCACTGAAAAAGAATGAAACAGAAAATAACTAAGAAGTTAATAAGAGCAAAATGGAATAGTGAAAATAACATTTAAATAATATAAAATATAAAATGAGAAAAAATTAAAATTGGGTCAAATAGAGAACAAGCAGTAAAGTGGTAGATAGAAGCAGAACTAAATAAGTAATTAAATTGAGTATTAATGGATTAAGCATTTATATTTAAACACTTTAAACATAGAGATAATAAATGGATTAAAATAACTATATTCCATGCAAATATGTAATAAAAGAAAACTCTAGTAGCTTTGCTAATATCAAACAAAATAGGCTTTAAGGTAAGAAATCTTACTAAAAATAAAGGGGTATATTTCATAATAATAACTGGGTAAATCTGTCAAAACAATATCAATATTTTAAATTTGTATGCCTTCAATGGTGCATCTTTATGATATGTAAAGCAAAAAATATTAACATAATTTAAAGGAGAAATAGACAAATCAAACTGATAGACAGATCTTAACAAACATCTATAGCTTATAGAACAAGTAGACAAAACTCAGTGAGAATATAGCAGAAATTAACAACACATTCAGTAAACTTGATCTGATTTATCCATTTATGCCTGAGGTTGCAATTTTTTGAATTTTTGCAATCAGACCTGGGCGATGACCTTGAGCAGTAGGATATAAATAACTTCCACAAGCTTAGCATTCCAATAATGGAACACTAGGTATTTAACATGAAGAATACCCCATAAAAATCACAATAGAATTCACATTCTTTTCATTTTTGTTTTTCAATTTTTATTTTAGGTTCAGAGGTACATGTGCAGGTTTGTTACATGAGTAAATTACATGTCACAGGGGCTTAGTTTACAAATGATTTTGTTATCCAGATAATGAGCATAGTACCCAATAGTCAATTTTTCAACCCTCACCCTCCTTCCACCCTCTACCCTCAAGTATGCCCTGGTATCTATTGTTCCCCTCTTTGTGTACATGTATACTCAATGTTTAGCTCTCACTTACAAGTGAAAACGTGGCATTTCTTTTTTGTTGTTGTTTCTGCATTAATTCACTTAGGATAATGGCCTCCAGCTGCATCCATGTTGCTGCAAAGGACATGATTTCATTCTTTTTTATGGCTGCATAGTATTCTGTCATGTATATGTACTACATTTTCTTTATCCAGTCGACCATAGATAAACATCTAGATTGATTCCGTGTATTTGCTTCTATGAATAGTGCTGTGATGAACATATGCATGCATGTATCTTTTTAGTAGAATGACATTATTTCTTTGAGTATGTAGCCAGTAATGGGATTGCTGGGTCAAATGGTAGTTCTATTTTAAATTCCTTGAGAAATCTCCAAACTGCTTTCAATAGTGGCTAAAATAATTTACATTCCCACTAGCAGCATGTAAGTGTTTCCTTTTATGTATAACCTTGTCAACATCTTATTTTCTAACATTTTAATGATAGCCATTCTGACTGGTATGAGATGGTATCTCATTGTAGTTTTGACTTGCATTTCTCTAATGGTTAGTGATGTTGAGCATTCTTTCACGTGTTTGTTGGCCACGTGTATGTCTTCTTTTGAAAAGCATCATTTATGTTTTTTGCCCATTTTTTGAAAGGGGTTGTTTGCTTTTTGCTTGTTTATTTGTTTAAGTTCTTTATAAATTCTGGATATTAGACCTTTGTTGGATGCATACTTTGCAAATATTTTCTCCCACTCTGTATGCTGTTTGTTTACTCTTTTGACAGTTTCTTTAGATGTGCAGAAGCTCTTAGTTTAATTAGATCTCACCTTTCTATTTTTGTTTTTGTGGCAACTTTTGTTTTGTTTTGTTTCGTGGCTACATGTTTTTTTTTTTTTATTATTATACTTTAAGTTTTAGGGTACATGTGCACAATGTGTAGGTTAGATACATATGTATACATGTGCCATGCTGGTGTGCTGCACCCATTAACTCGTCATTTAGCATTAGGTATATCTCCTAATGCTATCCCTCCCCCTCCCCCCACCCCACAACAGTCCCCAGAGTGTGATGTTCCCCTTCCTGTGTCCATGTGTTCTCATTGTTCAATTCCCACCTATGAGTGAGAACATGCGGTGTTTGGTTTTTTGTCCTTGCGATAGTTTACTAAGAATGATGATTTCCAATTTCATCCATGTCCCTATAAAGGACATGAACTTATCATTTTTTATGGCTGCATAGTATTCCATGGTGTATATGTGCCATATTTTCTTAATCCAGTTTATCGTTGTTGGACACTTGGCTTGGTTCCAAGTCTTTGCTATTGTGAATAGAGCCGCAATAAACATATATGTGCATGTGTCTTTATAGCAGCATGATTTATAATCCTTTGGGTATATACCCAGTAATGGGATGGCTGGGTCAAATAGTATTTCTAGTTCTAGATCCCTGAGGAATCACCACACTGACTTCCACCATGGTTGAACTAGTTTACAGTCCCACCAACAGTGTAAAAGTGTTCCTATTTCTCCACATCCTCTCCAGCACCTGTTGTTTCCTGACTTTTTAATGATTGCCATTCTAACTGGTGTGAGATGGTATCTCATTGTGGTTTTGATTTGCATTTCTCTGATGGCCAGTGATGGTGAGCATTTTTTCATGTGTTTTTTGGCTGCATAAATGTCTTCTTTTGAGAAGTGTCTGTTCATGTCCTTCGCCCACTTTTTGATGGGGTTGTTTGTTTTTTTCTTGTAAATTTGTTTGCGTTCCTTGTAGATTCCAGATATTAGCCCTTTGTCAGATGAGTAGGTTGCGAAAATTTTCTCCCATTTTGTGGGTTGCCTGTTCACTCTGATGGTGGTTTCTTTTGCTGTGCAGAAACTCTTTAGTTTAATTAGATCCCATTTGTCAATTTTGTCTTTTGTTGCCATTGCTTTCGGTGTTTTAGACATGAAGTCCTTGCCCATGCCTATGTCCTGAATGGTAATGCCTAGGTTTTCTTCTAGGGTTTTTGTGGTTTTAGGTCTAATGTTTAAGTCTTTAATCCATCTTGAATTAATTTTTGTATAAGGTGTAAGGAAGGGATCCAGTTTCAGCTTTCTACATATGGCTAGCCAGTTTTCCCAGCACCATTTATTAAATAGGGAATCCTTTCCCCGTTGCTTGTCTTTCTCAGGTTTGTCAAAGATCAGGTAGTTGTATATATGCAGCGTTATTTCTGAGGGCTCTGTTCTGTTCCATTGATCTATATCTCTGTTTTGGTATGAGTACCATGCTGTTTTGTTTACTGTAGCCTTGTAGTATAGTTTGAAGTCAGGTAGCGTGATGCCTCCAGCTTTGTTCTTTTGGCTTAGGATTGACTTGGTGATGCGGGCTCCAGTATCAGGATGATGCTGGCCTCATAAAATGAGTGAGGGAGGATTCCCTCTTTTTCTATTGATTGGAATAGTTTCAGAAGGAATGGTAGCAGTTCCTCCTTGTACCTCTGGTAGAATTCGGCTGTGAATCCATCTGGTCCTGGACTCTTTTTGGTTGGTAAGCTATTGATTATTGCCACAATTTCAGAGCCTATTATTGGTCTATTCAGAGATTCAACTTCTTCCTGGTTTAGTCTTGGGAGGGTGTATGTGTCGAGGAATTTATCCATTTCTTCTAGATTTTCTAGTTTATTTGCATAGAGGTGTTTGTAGTATTCTCTGATGGTAGTTTGTATTTCTGTGGGATCAGTGGTGATATCCCCTTTATCATTTTTTATTGTGTCTATTTGATTCTTCTCTCTTTTCTTCTTTATTAGTCTTGCTAGCAGTCTATCAATTTAGTTGATCCTTTCAAAAAACCAGCTCCTGGATTCATTAATTTTTTGAAGGGTTTTTTGTGTCTCTATTTCCTTCAGTTCTGCTCTTGTTTTAGTTATTTCTTGTCTTCTGCTAGCTTTTGAATGTGTTTGCTCTTGCTTTTCTAGTTCTTTTAATTGTGATGTTAGGGTGTCAATTTTGGATCTTTCTTGCTTTCTCTTGTGGGCATTTAGTGCTATAAATTTCCCTCCACACACTGCTTTGAATGTGTCCCAGAGATTCTGGTATGTTGTGTCTTTGTTCCCGTTGGTTTCAAAGAACATCTTTATTTCTGCCTTCATTTCGTTATGTACCCAGTAGTCATTCAGGAGCAGGTTGTTCAGTTTCCATGTAGTTGAGCGGTTTTGAGTGAGTTTCTTAATCCTGAGTTCTAGTTTGATTGCACTGTGGTCTGAGAGACAGTTTGTTATAATTTCTGTTCTTTTACATTTGCTGAGGAGAGCTTTACTTCCAACTATGTGGTCAGTTTTGGAATAGGTGCGGTGTGGTGCTGAAAAAAAAAGTATATTCTGTTGATTTGGGGTGGAGAGTTCTGTAGATGTCTATTAGGTCTGCTTGGTGCAGAGCTGAGTTCAATTCCTGGGTATCCTTGTTAACTTTCTGTCTCATTGATCTGTCTAATGTTGACAGTGGGGTGTTAAAGTCTCCCATTATTATTGTGTGGGAGTCTAAGTCTCTTTGTAGGTCACTCAGGGCTTGCTTTATGAATCTGGATGCTCCTGTATTGGGTGCATATATATTTAGGATAGTTAGCTCTTCTTGTTGAATTGATCCCTTTACCATTATGTAATGGCCTTCTTTGTCTCTTTTGATCTTTGTTGGTTTAAAGTCTGTTTTATCAGAGACTAGGATTGCAACCCCTGCCTTTTTTTGTTTTCCATTTGCTTGGTAGATCTTCCTCCATCCTTTTATTTTGAGGCTATGTGTGTCTCTGCACGTGAGATGGGTTTCCTGAATACAGCACACTGTTGGGTCCTGATTCTTCATACAATTTGCCAGTCCGTGTCTTTTAATTGGAGCATTTAGTCCATTTACATTTAAAGTTAATATTGTTATGTATGAATTTGATCCTGTCATTATGATGTTAGCTGGTTATTTTGCTCGTTAGTTGATGCAGTTTCTTCCTAGCCTTGATGGTCTTTACAATTTGGCACGATTTTGCAGTGGCTGGTACCACTTGTTCCTTTCCATGTTTAGTGTTTCCTTCAGGAGCTCTTGTAGGGCAGGCCTGGTGGTGACAAAATCTCTCAGCCTTTGCTTGTCTGTAAAGTATTTTATTTCTCCTTCACTTATGAAGCTTAGTTTGGCTGGATATGAAATTCTGGGTTGAAAATTCTTTTCTTTAAGAATGTTGAATATTGGCCCCCACTCTCTTCTGGCTTGTAGAGTTTCTGCCGAGAGATCTGCTGTTAGTCTGATGGGCTTCCCTTTGAGGGTAACCCGACCTTTCTCTCTGGCTGCCCTTAACATTTTTTCCTTCATTTCAACTTTGGTGAATCTGACAATTATGTGTCTTGGAGTTGCTCTTCTCGAGGAGTATCTTTGTGGCATTCTCTGTATTTCCTGAATCTGAATGTTGGCCTGCCTTGCTAGATTGGGGAAGTTCTCCTGGATAATATCCTGCAGAATGTTTTCCAACTTGGTTCCATTCTGTCCGTCACTTTCAGGTACACCAATCAGATGTAGATTTGGTCTTTTCACATAGACCCATATTTCTTGGAGGCTTTGTTCGTTTCTTGTTATTCTTTTTTCTCTAAACTTCCCTTCTCGCTTCATTTCATTCATTTCATCTTCCATCACTGATACCCTTTCTTCCAGTTGATCGCATCGGCTCCTGAGGCTTCTGCATTCTTCACGTAGTTCTCGAGCCTTGGCTTTCAGCTCCATCAGCTCCTTTAAGCACTTCTCTGTATTGGTTATTCTAGTTACACATTCGTCTAAATTTTTTTCAAAGTTTTAACTTCTTTGCCTTTGGTTTGAATTTCCTCCTGTAGCTCGGAGTAGTTTGATCGTCTGAAGCCTTCTTCTCTCAACTCGTCAAAGTCATTCTCTGTCCAGCTTTGTTCCGTTGCTGGTGAGGAACTGCATTCCTTTGGAGGAGGAGAGGTGCTCTGCTTTTTAGAGTTTCCAGTTTTTCTGCTCTGTTTTTTCCCTATCTTTGTGGTTTTATCTACTTTTGGTCTTTGATGATGGTAATGTACAGGTGGGTTTTTGGTGTGGATGTCCTTTCTGTTTGTTAGTTTTCCTTCTAACAGACAGGACCCTCAGCTGCAGGTCTGTTGGAGTTTGCTAGAGGTCCACTCCAGACCCTGTTTGCCTGGGTATCAGCAGCGGTGACTGCAGAACAGTGGATTTTCGTGAACCGTGAATGCTGCTGTCTGATCATTCCTCTGGAAGTTTTGTCTCAGAGGAGTACCCGGCCATGTGAGATGTCAGTCTGCCCCTACTGGAGGGTGCCTCCCAGTTAGGCTACTCGGGGGTCAGGGGTCAGGGACCCACTTGAGGAGGCAGTCTGCCTGTTCTCAGATCTCCAGCTGCATGCTGGGAGAACCACTGCTCTCTTCAAAGTTGTCAGACAGGGACATTTAAGTCTGCAGAGGTTACTTCTGTCTTTTTGTTTGTCTGTGCCCTGCCCCCAGAGGTGGAGCCTACAGAGGTTTTTCGTTGTTGTTGCTTTTGGAGAGTTAATGAACTATATACCAAGGCCTATGTTCAGAAAGTATGACCCAGGTTTTCTCCTACTGTTTTTATAGTTTACATTTAAATCCTTAAAACACCTTGAGTTAATTTTTTATATGATGAAAGAAGGGTCCCATTTTCTATCTTCTGCATATGGCTAGCCAGATATCGCAGCACTATATATTGAATAGGGGGTCTTTTCCTCATTGTCGACTTTGTTGAAGATCAGATGGTTGTAGGTGTGCCACTTAATTTCTTGTATTCTTTGATTGTATCAATTGGTTTATGTGTCTGTTTTTGTGCCAGTATCATGCTGTTTTGGTAACTGTAGCCTTGAAGGATACATTGAAGTTGGGTAGTGTGATGCCTCCAGCTTTGTTGTTTATGCTTAGGATTGCTTTGGCTATTCAGGTTCTTTTTCGGTTCCACATAAATTTTTGAATATTTGATTCTCAAAAAGGATATTTTGATAGGAATAGCATTGAGTCTGTAAGTTGCTTTGGATAGTATAGCTATTATAACAATATTGATTCTTCCTCTCCAGGAGTGTGAAATGTTTTTCCAATTTGTTGGTGTCACCTCTGATTTCTTTCAACAATGTTTTGTATTTCTCATTGTGGAGATATTTCACCTTTCTGGTTAGCTGAGTTCCTAGGTATTTTGTTCTTTTTGTGGCTATTATGAATGGGGTTGTGTTCTTGGTTTTGCTGTCAGCTTGGGAGATATGGGTGTATAGAAATCCTACTGATTCAAAATTCACATTATTTTCAAGTACACATAAAACATTTACTAAAACCATCATGTGCTGAACCATCAAGAAAGCTTTAACAAATATCAAAGGATTAATATTCAGAGGATGAGGTCTGATCTTCAGGGAAATCAAGCTAGAAATATATAATTAAAAATAACTTAAAATCCTTTGACTTTGTGAGGCTGAGGTGGGAGGATTGCTTGAGCACAGGAGACTGAGGCTGCAGTGAGCCATAATTATAACACTGCACTCCAGCCTGGGTGACAGGCTGTGTCTAAAAAAAAATAAAATAAAATAAAAATTGGGCCAGGCACAGTGGCTCATGCGTGTAATCCCAGCACATTGGAAGGCCGAGGTGGGTTGATCACTTGAGGCCAGGGGTTTGAGACCAGCCTGGCCAACATGGCGAAACCCTGTCTCTACCAAAAATACAAAAATTAGCTGTGTATGGCGGTGAATGTCCATAATCCCAGCTACTCAGGAGGCTGAGGCATGAGAATTGCTTGAGCCCAGGAGGCGGAGGCTACAGTGAGTCAAGATTGTGCCATTATACTCCAGCCTGGGTGACAGAGGGAAACTGTCAAAAAGAAAGAAAGAAAAAATTGAAAAATAAATAAAATCTCCAAACTTAGAAATTTAACAATGCATTCCATAGTAATTTGTGAACCAAAGAAGTTACAACCAAAATTATAGAATATTTTGAATTCAATTTCAGCAAAGATATAACCTTTTTAAAAAAGCAAATTGTGGAACTCAACTAAGGCTCAGAGGCAAATTTTTAGTGTTACATATCTATATTAGGAAGGAAAGAAAGCAAAGTACTCACAAAGCTAAACTAAATAAAATAGAAGAAAAATAGTAAAGTTAAAAGCAGAAATAAATAAAATTAGAGTACAATAGTAAGCAACAAAGTTATAAATTGACTCTTTTAAAAATTAATAACATTGATAAATACCTAGAAAGGGCGATTAACAAAAAGGAAGAAAGGGTAAAAAGGAAGAAAGGAAGAAAGTATGGAAGAAAGAAAAGGAAAAAACAAAGAAGAGAGAGGAAACGTAAGTTACCAATAGCAAGAATGAGTATTACCATATTTCCTATACACATTTAAAGTGGTAACAGGATGTTAGAAACAACTTTTTGCCGGTAAAGTTGACAATTTGGATGAAACAGGTAAATTGCTTAAGAAAAAACTAACATAAACTGAAAGTAATAGGAAAACAATCTCTAGCCTAATATTTAGTAAAGAAATTGAATCTGTTGCTAAATACCTTCCATAGACACAAAATAACAGTTAACGAAAACATACTCATATAACTTTGCCAGTATTCTTTCAATACTTAAGGAAAAGAATAATACCAATATTAAAAAATTCTTTCAAAGTATAGAAACATAGAGAATACTCCCCGACTCTTTTTTGAGGCCAATATAACCGTCATCCCAAACTTGATAAGGACATTATAAACCATTAGTCCTCAGGGATATAGATGCAGTAATTCTAATAAAATTTTAGCTCAGTGAATCCAGCAAAATATATTTTAAAAAAGAATACATCTTGAATAAACTAGTCTTATTCCAGGAATATAAGAGTAACCTAATATTTGAAAATCAACCAATGTTTTCTTTCATATTAGCAGAAAAATGTTTGTGAGCAGTGGGGATCAAATGATATTTTTTTTTCATCTGGAGATGAACATTTGAGTAATGTCAATACTATTCACAATAAAACAACAACAATAACAAGCCAAAGAGACAGCAACAACAAACAAGGAAAATAAATTCTCAAGAAACAAGGAAAAAGAAAAAGCATTTCCTTATTCTGGTAAATATGAATGAATTTCTCATTATGTTTATATAAACCAAACCTAATGAATGCACACAGTGTAAGTCGACTTATAGAAATACCATTTGACCCAGCAATCCCATTACTGGGTATATACCCAAAGGATTATAAATCATGCTGCTATAAAGACACATGCACACGTATGTTTATTGTGGCACTATTCACAATAGCAAAGACTTGGAACCAAGCCAATGTCCAACATCGATAGACTGGATTAAGAAAATGTGGCACATATACACCGTGGAATACTATGCAGCCATAAAAAATGATGAGTTTATGTCCTTTGTAGGGACATGGATGAAGCTGGAAACCATCATTCTCAGCAAACTATCGCAAGGACAAAAAACCAAACATTGCATGTTCTCACTCATAGGTGGGAATTGAACAATGAGAACACATGGACACAAGAAGAGGAACATCACACACCGGGGCCTGTGTGGGAGCGGGGAGGGATAGCATTAGGAGATATACCTAATGTTAAATGATGAGTTAATGGGTGCAGTACACCAACATGGCACATGTATACATATGTAACTAACCTGCACGTTGTGCACATGTACCCTAAAACTTAAAGCATAATAAAAAAAGAATTCTAAACCAAGGAAAAGTAATCTGTAATGTTAGAATTCAGAGAAGTAGCTACCATTGGTCTTTATTGGCTTGGGCTGTCCAGAGTGAGTGGTTTCAGCAGCAGAACTTTATTTTTCACAGTTCTGGAGGCTGAGAAGTCCAGGATCGAGGTGCCAGCAAGGCAGATTTCATTCTGAGGCCTCTTGGCTTGCAGGTGGCTGTCCATCTTGCTGTGTACTCTCATAACCTCTTCTTGCTCTGTATGTGGAGGGAAAGACAGCAAGTACTCTTTTGTTTCTTCTTATCACAGTATCAATTCCATCATAAGGGCCTCATCTACTAAATATTAGTATTGTATCCAAATACCATCACATTGCAGGTTAGGGTTTCAACATATAAATTTGAGGACGGGAGAAAAGCATTCATTCCCTAATACCGTTTTCAAGAGAAAAATAATGACTGGAAATGGGTAAGTGCAAGCTTCTATACTGTTAGCCAAGTTCTGATTCTTGAAACTGGTCACTGGTTATATGGATGTGAACACTAAATATACATTACTTGTCCACTTACAATCTGTGCACATTTAGGTGTGTGTGCTAAAGAAAACAAAAACAAAAAGAAATAAACAAAAAACACCCTAGCTGAGTGAGGTGGTGCACATCTGTAGTCCCAGGTACTTGAGAGGTTGTGGTGGGAGGATCACTAGAGCCCAGGATTTTGAGGCCAACCTGGACAACATAGTGAGACCCCATCTCTAAAAATCAATAAAATATATAAAATTAAAAACTCTACAGGATGTCGTTTTTATATATATTATAAATTCATAACTTCTTCCTTTTTTTTAGACTTAGGAAATGTGCCAAGGCAATCTGCATCAATTCTGATCACTTTTCCTACCTTGGAATAGGCTTAGTTTGTATTTCTTAAAATGTCATCCAGGCTCCCAAACATGAAGCCTTATTTTCGACATGATTTATGAAAATTTAACACGTGGAATAATTTTTTTACAGGTTATAATTAAAAAGAACAGGACTTAGCAGGAACTTAATTTCCAAGTGGCCTTTGTGCAAAATACTGAATCATTCTATTTCATGGCCTGAACCCCTACAGTGTTGCTCATTTTGTGTGTGTAGGGAAAAGTATCCTAGAGACAGGCAAACTGGGCTATTGTTCTCACACTCCTCTGGTCCTATTTTCCCCAGAAAATTGTAAGTAGCTACTGCTTTTATTGTCCTTTTAGGAGGAAAACCATGATACTAGCGAATTGTCCTTGACCAATTTTCATGGACATATAAGAGAGAAATTGAGGGAAACTTGTTCTGGAGCTGATAACCAAGTGATGTTTATTTGTAATCTTCCCCCTGCCCACCCTCTTAAAGGCATGAGCCAAGAAGTGAAGACAGAAAGTGGATCTTCATCCCTGGAAACTCTGGGTCCTGGTTTGGGACTGTAGGACTCTGTCTGTCCTGTTTGGTACCAGCTGAATGTGATGTCATGCAGTGTCAGAATGATACTGCTTTGATGCTGTCCTGTTTTTCAAAAGATATTTATAAGCTGCATAACAAAGGCTGCTAAACGATTCTTCCTAGTTGGAATTAAAGTGGAAGGCAACAAGAGAGGCAATTTTCTCCTTTCTGAATGATCATGACCCATGAGTTTAAAATAACTTGGGCTATTAATCACTAATCAGATTTTCCGGATTGTCAAGTCCATATTTATCATAGTGTAAATTCTGTAAATTGTGCAGATTCCCATCATCCTTTGGGGGAATATGTAATAATAAAGCATCTTTAATATCTGTTTTGGTTCAGTACTTTAACTCTTGAATTGCCATTTGATGGTCCACTATAGTTTGCTCTTCTCTCTCAAATCAATTCCTTTCTCACCAGATGCACACGTTCTTATTCATTATTCACCCTCAGATCTCACCTAAAGCTTTCTAAATGACTCTGTTTTGCTTTCCTCTGCCCATGGCTCCACGTTTCTTCCCCAGTCCCCAACTCCAGGTCTAGCTTTATACAATTCAGATAAGATCATGTCACTGTCTTGTAAAAATCCTTCTGCATCTCCTCATGGCTTTCAGGAGGAAATTCCGTCTGACTTTGAACATACGGCCTTTCATTCCTTGGCCTTTGCCCAGTTACC
The DNA here is from genome assembly GCF_000001405.40 of Homo sapiens. Taxonomy (NCBI): domain Eukaryota; kingdom Metazoa; phylum Chordata; class Mammalia; order Primates; family Hominidae; genus Homo; species Homo sapiens. The sequence continues at coordinate 24,553,901 of NC_000008.11, read as the reverse complement.
ATGCTCGATGACCTTGGCCAATCCACTGTGCTTTTTGCACCTCAGTTCCCTCCTTTGCAAAACGGAAATAATGAAGTTCCTACCTCATAGGGCTATGGTGAGGTTAAGATGGGATAAGGCATATAATATATTTAGCTTAGTGCTTCATGTGCAGGCTGAAGGTGGAAGGGCAAAACAGGGTGTATGTGTCTTCACATGGCAGAAAAGAAGAAAAGGGGAACCCATGTCCTCAAGGCTTTTTATAAGGGCCTGCTCCCCATCCATGAGAGCTTCTTTCTCATTAATTAATCGGCTCCTAAAGGTCCCATCTCTTAATACTGTTGCCTTGGAGATTGTTTCAATATGACTTTTAGAGGGACACAGACGTAGACCATAGCAAGGGCAATTTTAGTTCCTTTTTGTCATGATACATTTTTGTACTATCTGAAAAACATACAATAAAGAAGTATTACTTATATAACCATAAAGTTAATAGGGTTATTTTTATGTGGGAAACAGAAAACACACAAAAACATACAAATAATATAAACAGGAGTTTGTAAGACTTCTGAATGAGATGGCAACATGAGCAGAAAACTTCATGTATTTCTCTAAATGGCTCTCTCCCTATTTTTTCCACCCTCCTCACAGTACCTTAATGAAATGAGCAACACAAAATATAATGAGGAAAAATCTTCATCAATGCTTTGACAAGAGATAGGAGTGATCCATAGTCCTTAAAAGTTAAGAAATCTGCAGGATAGAGTACAAAAGTACTTGGGTTTCAAGGAAGACAGGGCTGGCATGCACTATTCACTTGAGAATGTTCTGTTACAGGAAACATACAGAGGAGACCACAGTAGACTTCACCCTCACTATCTTTTCTGGAGCAATGAAAGCCTGTGGCTGAGGCAGATCATAGGTGTGACACTGTACACACTTGTAGGCTCAAAGTCACCATGAGGCCACTGTGCTCATGTAGCACCTACAAGTGGGAAGAGAGGATGGCAGAGAGGGAATGTAGTCATTATATGAAAAAGATACTTGCACACACATGTTTATTGCAACACAATTTGTGATTTCAACAATATGGAACCAGCCCAAATGCCCACCATTCAATGAGGGGATAAAGACAATGTGGGGTGTATATATATGCACACACACAATAGAATACTACTCAGCCATAAAAAGGAATGAATTAATGGCATTCACAGCAACCTGGATGAAATTGGAGACTATTATACTAAGTGAAGTAACTCAGGAATGGAAAACCAAACATCATATATTCTCAGTATAAGTGGGAGCTAAACTATGAGGATGCAAAAGTATAAGGATACAATGGACTTTGAGGATTCAGGAGGAAAGTGTGGGAAGGGGATGAGAGATAAAAGACAACAAATTGAGTTCAGTGTGTGCTGCTTGGGTGATAGATGCACCAAAATCTCACAAATCACCACTAAAGAACTTACTCATGTAAGCAAACACCACCTGTTCCCCCAAAACCTATGGAAATAAAAAAATTAAAAAACAAAACAGCTTACATACAACCTGTATCCCTTACATGCCCCCAAATTGGAGAAGCAAGTGTTAACAGTTAATGGAAGTTTTCACAGAAGACTGAAACCTTATCAGTTGATTCCATTTCATATCTATAAATCCAAAGCACTAAGAGATAGTTACTATCTGTCTTGTTACTGACGTTGTTACTGAAAGTGTGGGTCTTAGGGCTACAGCATCAGTAATATCTGAGAGCTGATTGGAAATGAAGACTCTCAGGCTCCACCCACTGCTCTCAGTCAGAATCTGTTTTTTAAAGAAGATTTCTAGTGATTTATAAGCATGTTAGTAAGAAAAACACTGCGTTAGGAGGCCCTAAATTAAAAATAAAAAGAGTTAAGCAGCAGTCAGGTAAATTAAGAGAAAAACCCAGGAGGTCTCAACCACCGGTTAGAGAGAAAAACATTTGGGTAGACCTTTACTCGCTCTCACTTGGGAGTGAAAAAACAAAGCCCAGTCAAATCAAAACAAACAAAACACAGAGTTGAATGACTCTACAACAATTCTGTGCCCTTAAGGAAAGAACACATTTTTGAGATTGAATAACCATAGCAAACAGGACATATAATAAAGCAAGATAAAATAAAAACATTTCTCAGTAAAATTGACATAAAATTATTTTTAAAAATTTGTAAATCAACAAGAACAGAAGGAGATAAGAATTAAAATCTGCATCATATTGAGGGGAACATATCATAATGGCAGAAATCCAAATTACTAAATGGAATCATGATAGACAAAAACTCACACCATTAAAAGCAAAAACATTCAAATGGCTAAAGGGTGAAAGTTTTCATATAAAAACTGGAGATAATCTACACATAATTGGCATTCTTAATAAAAAAGGAAAAAAAAACCCCACAAATGGAACAGTAATAATATATATATACAGATAACAGAAAAGACTCTTGAATGATACTCTAGTTTGCAGATCAATCAGATCCCCTGGGTTAAAAAAAAAAAAAGTTGAATGCGAACTCTAAAAAATGTTGAATGTAAACACACCTTTTAAACAAGCTCAAAGGCACACCTCAAGTACATGCTGAAAATATTAATTCCCAGGCCTATTCCTAGAGAGTATGATTAGGTAGGTTTGGATGGAACCAAAAAATTCAGAATTGCAACCAAAGCCCAATGTGATTTTGATAATCAGTTAAGTTTAGGAAACTAAAACCTAGTGACAAAAAGAAAGTCAAACAAACAACTAATTAAAAATATCATAGGTATATCTGGGAAAATAGCACCCGAAGCATAACAGTATAGGAAGTTTATGGTGGTGCGTCTCTGTAGTCCCAGCTACTCGGGAGGCTGAAGCAGATGAATCACTTGAACCCCAGAGGCAGAGGTTGCAGTGAGCCGAGATCACGCCACTGCACTCCAGCCTGGTGACAGACCGAGACTCCGTCTCAAAAAACCAAAACAAACCAAAACAGAAAAACAAAAAAAACCCCACCATATCTTTTAAAATAGAAGTCAGTTAATATTTTCCCATTTCTAACACTTATTATTAGAAACATACATTTCCAATATAGTTTTAAAAGTTTGAGTTAATCATACATAAGATGCGAAATGGTTTTAAGTTCTCCAAATTATTGGAGAAAAGCAAAATCCAATAAGAAATCTTAGCTCAAAGAGCAAAATAGAAAAAAAGGTATAACAAAATGTAATAAAATACCCAACATGAGTTTTTATAAAACGTTTAACCAAGATAAACAGCCTGATTATAAACTGGACAAAAGCAAAGAACAATTCTGTTGTTCAGTAATCTCTTCCAAAATAAGGTGAAATGGATTTGTTATCAGTAACTTGTTGGAGAGAATATTTTGGATGAAAAATTTATAAAATACTAAAGCAAAGTGTAAATAACATTAGTTACAGCTAGAGGGTTCCAGGGCAAAAACTTTAAGTGGGAATACAAAGATCACTTATAAATTAAAATGATAACTTCCCAGAAAATAAAGTACTAATTAACTAAACTTTTATCTATCTTAAGAAAAGATAGAGGAAAAAAACCCCACAATGTTATAAATAAAAACGATATGTGACTAATAAAAAATATATTTTAAATAACTAACATGTAGAATACTCTGCTAATAAATTTTAATTCATTTGAATTCTTGACAGAATAAACATAATTTCTGGAAAATGTTATGACTTCATTTGATTTAAGAATAAATAGAAGATAGGAATTGATCATGGATATGCAAATATGAGATTTTTTTTTTTTGGCCAAAAAATTACATCTGAAAAATACTGTTGCCGCAACTAGTAATTCCAGGTCTATCTTTATTTTGAATTTCCAAGATTTAATGTCCATAACTAATTATGCCAGGTTAAAAGAAAATAAGATCAAAAGCTTTCCAATTCATTTAACAAAAATTTACATTTTGCTAAAACTGTATTTGATAATGATAGAAACAGAGAGTGAAATAAATACTATAAAAATTATTTTTTGCACTATTAAAGACCATGATCAAGGATATAATATGATCATTACCAAATAATAGGAAAAGAAATAAATAATCATATGGGAATGTTCCCTTTGTTAGTAATCCAATAATGCAGATTAGTATTTTTTGCTATTGTGATAATACTTATTATCTTAGTTGTGACTATAGGGCAAAATAAGCAATATTCGTTTAAGAGCAAAAATTTCTATACATTCTCTAAAATTTTGTGGAAGTTTACCAGGCTAATCCTAATCAAGAAATTTATTTATAGGAAATAAACAGAAATGCCCATAAAGACTTATGTACAGTAATATTTATTATACTCTTATTTATGATAGCAAAAAATAAAAATTACTAAATATCCAACAATTAAAGTTTATTTACATGCATGATAGCATATCCATAATATGGGATTTTAGATCATTTGTAAAAATTTAGCAAAGTGACCTTGATATAACCTGAAAAGAGAGATATCAAACAGTATATAGATAAACTACCACTGTCTTTAAATATATAAAATATCCATTTAAAAATATTGTGTGTATGTATATATGTGTATAGATAGGTTAGATGGATGATAGATAAATGGATATATGGATAAATTTGTATGAAGAGATTTATGTGATATGTATGTGTATATATGTATAGATAGGTTAGATAGATGGTAGATAGATACACAGATAAATTTGCACATAGAGTTTTATGTAAGATAAAATAGTTGTCTCTATGTTTATAGCATTTATAATTTTTGGATTGAGGAATTAAATGTATTTTGGCTTTCTTTATACAACTTTGTATTTTTCACATGTTGCGCAAAGATCAGCTCATGATTGGGAAAACAATGCTTAAGTGCACAATTTTGTAAAAAATCAATACTATGTAAGGAAAGTTTGAGGCTGAGTTTTGGAACTTTTCCTAGGGATTCAGAAATAACCAATTATAGACACTGTCTTAACATATCATTGGATCCTATTGTTTTGTAGCTTCTGTGAATTGTGCTTCTTGTTCCTTACCAATCTGTTTCAAGTAACATGCCCTCATAACTCAGAGGGGACTGATTTGGAGGAAACTGGCTCTGTGCTGAACAGACTTTGGGAGTGGGTGCTTTATATATTCATTTTCAAATAACTCAGCATCCTTCCTTATCTATTTTATCTGGTTAGATTAAAATTTACTGTTGCTATTTTAACTGTTCCCAGAAAACCCTTAGAAGGTTTTAGCTAGAGTGTGTTTATGAATATTCATAGACAGTTAGCTTCTGTATTGGAAACCACACCCACATCTCTGCAGTATCTGCAGAAAGAATAAGGGCGTCCTCTGAGACCCATAGGGCAACATGGAAACTTGACAGCAGCTGCCTGCAGAATGCACATAAGGTTTGCTTGGCTGTATTGATTTTTCTAAAAAAGCCTTCTGATTTATGTTTTTGCATTATGGAAATATTTTTAAGTTTCTTATATCTGCTTTGCATGATTCGCCTAACACAAAACCTCATAAAATTAAAAAATTATCTTCTTCTAAAACCAGAGATTAATATGTAGCTTTTTTTTTTTTTTTTTTTTTTGAGACAGAGTCTTGCTCTGTCGGCCAGGCTGGAGGGCAGTGGCACGATCTCAGCTCAGTGCAACCTCCGTTCCCAGGCTCAAGCAATTCTGCCTCAGCCTCCTGAGTAGCTGGGATTATGTGCCACCACTCCTGGCTAATTTTTGTATTTTTAGTAGAGACAGGGTTTCACCATGTTGGCCAGGCTGGTCTCGAACTCCTGACCTCAGGTAATCCACCCACCTCAGCCTCCCAAAGTCCTGGGATTACAGGTGTGAGCCACCACACCTGGCGAATATGTAGCTTAAAATAACAAGCAACAAAAAACAATACATATACTGTTCCTGTATTTTTGGGGATGTACAGTGAAGCAACAATTTGCATATGCACATGGTAGGGAATGTATTAATAGAAAGGAGGTTAAATATATAGACATGCTATGCATGTCAATGAGGCTATCATTTTGAATTTGAATTTGATATAAGAATACAGAGGCATATGTAAGTGAGTCTGTATATGGGTAAATATTGGAAACTTGCCTAAGATCACATAGCTAGCTAGCTAGCTAAATGTGTTGTATGTGTTTTGTTGGTATATATCATTTATGAATATCTATACTGTGTAGCACATGGGTCAACAGGAAACTTCTAGCCCCTGGGGGAAGTAGGAAGTCCTCCTCACAATTTTTTTGTGTGTCAGTTATTGCTGCCTAGTCTCTCATGGCCTCCTCTGTCTTATCTTATAAACATTGTCTTTTAATTGCACTAAGTAGCCAAAAGTGGAAATCAATAGCTCTTAGAGAACTGACCCCCTCCACACAATCCCAGACCAGTGAATCCACAGGTGTAAAAAGATATTAGAGAACTGTGGACTTACTGAAGTTTTCATTTGGGAAGAGTGTAAATCACAACATAGAATTTCAAATGTTTTTGAAACATATTTTTTCTAAAGTTCCTGCCAGAATCTCGCTTTCTGATTTCCCTAAGCATCTAGTCTTCCTTTTTGGTTCTTTTGTCTGTATTTTTCTCTAAAGAACTTCAATTCTCTTGTTCTCATTTGCAGAGTAATTTAGCAGATTTGCATATCTCATATTTGCTTATCTAAACCTATCAATGTACTCTCAAAACAGGGCTTTTCTTACTAACATAATTCATCCTGCTTAGGAACAGTTGGGGTTATATAACATAAGCCTTTTCTTTTTAATTGAACACACAGTGGTTTTTCTTATGCATGAGTGCACCTGGGTTCCATTTTTGTTGTCTTCTCACACGGTGTTCTTCCTGTGTACGCTCTCCATCTCTAGTGGTTCAAACTCCTGTTTCTGTTACAGTGATTTGCAATTTCCCGTCTCACCTTCTACCTCCACCTGCGTCACAAACCCACACACAGATCTGCATTCCAGACATCTAGACTTGGAGGTCACTTGAGCACCTTAAATTCAACATATTCGAAACAAATCTCTCTATATACCCCACAGGTGACACGTTTTTATTTTATTTCATTTTTCTATACTCTTTATATGTATTAATACTACCACTATCTTCATAAGCACTCAGAAGTCTTACCTTATAATTAACATTGGATTTCTAATGAAAATCTGTCCCCTCTAAATTTGTCACTTCCTTTCCAACCTCATTTGCCTTCCTTGAAACCCTCATTATTATTTTTCTCCTAGAGTCCAGAAACCACCAAAGTAGTCTTTTTTATTTGGTCTGTTTATACTTCAGTCTCCCTCTTCCACTTGTGTCAGAGAAATCTTTCTAAACTGTAAATCTGACTTCCACTCCTCTGTTCCTCCTATAGGATCCTATTGCATCCCAAACCCAGGGACGCAATTAGAGTACAGTGTCCATCACAATCTGGATCCAGGTGACTACCTGCCTTACTCATTTCCATTCCTCTTCAGGCACCCCATGCTGGGTCCAGCCTCTTCTTGCATCTCCCAGTGAGCTATCTTATTTGTTTTGTATTTCTGAACCTATGTAAGTGTTGTTGCTTTTTCCTTGAAAGATATTCCTCAATTTTATTTTTCTGATCAGTAAACTCCTACCTTTCCATCAAGACCCAAACCGAAAGAATAGACTGCTGTGAAGACTTCCATGACCCCTGTATTTTTCTCTTTTGTTCAACATCAATTCCCTTTCTTCCTTGTGTTTCATAATATGTTCTTCACCCTCTATTAAAGCACATGCTGTATTACATTGTGATGATTATTTTACACTTTGGTCTCTCCACTAGAGTGGGAGTTCCCAGGTCAAAATGGCATTATATTTGAATTTATTTCTTCTATATTGAGCACAGTGCCTACAGCAAGGTCAGTGGATGCATATTGTTGAATTAAATAATGGCCAAGTCTTATTTATGATATTTGGAGACAAATGAACTTCAGATGGGCTCTTGATATGATCTTTTATATAATAAAGGTTCTCTCATTAACCAGACCTTAGCCAGGCTCCTCTGAGCTGCCTTTAAGACTAGGCCTCATTCTTGGGTTTTACCTTAGGCCTGCTTAGTGCAATTTTAGCCAGAATCCTGCTAAGCCACTTTAGCAAGAATCTTCCCATCCTTGATATCCGATCATCCTCGATAACTCATCAGATTTCTCATTCTCAGCCTTTGGTGCATATATACTTGGCTTACCTTTGGTAAGAATCTTGTTAAGTCAGTTTAGCAAGAATCCCACTACCCTGGATCCTAGCTGTCACCTCCTAGTAATTTTCTTTTCTTTTCTTTTCTCTTTTTTTTTTGGGACAGATTTTCACTGTGTCACCCACGCTGTAGTGCAGCAGTGCTATCTCGGCTCACTGCAACCTCAGCCTCCTGGGTTCAAGTGATTCTTGTGCCTCAGCTTCCCAAGTAGCCTGGATTACAGGTGTGCACAATCACGCCTGGCTAATTTTTGTATATTTAGTAGAGACGGGGTTTTGCAATGTTGGCCAGGCTGGTCTTGAACTCCTGGCCTCAAGTGATCTGCCCGCTTTGGCTCCCAAAGTGCTGTGATTACAGGCATGAGCCACTGCACCCAGCCAGTAATTTTCTCTCCACTGATTCTCTCACTCTGCTCTTTGGCTATAAATCCTTAAAGGTCTGTTTTGTATTCAGAGGTCATCTCTCTCCCCTACTCTAATGGTCTTGATACCTATGGTAATAGTCCTCATTAAAATCTTTTGTATCCTTTTAACAAGTATCAGAATAATATTTTCTTTAATATATACCATATTGTTTCTTATGAAGGTACTCCCTCTGCACATCAATAAGGTTCTCAGAGACATGCTGATTTTTCTAGATCATTTTAAAAATTCTTCCTATCTGAGATGAATTAAGTATGCACTTCTCAACCTACATGAATAACTAGTTAACTTGGGCTTAGAGAGTAACTTACTCATATATCAGAATTTCACTGTCTGTAGTCAGGATAATAGGTGATATTTCAGTATCTTATTGGTACACATGTGTTTATACATCAACAAAAAGGACTGATTTTATAATGAATGCATAAGAATATGTACATTTAAATGATTATTAACCACTGAGATTCCTGAAATTAGATCAAAATGCTAAAGAAAGAAAATCTCCCAGTGTCTGAGTAATTCTAAGCATTCATTTATACATTACTTTTTCCTATTTCTCCAATCAATAGAATGTCCTTGAGCATCTATACACTTAGTGCAATGATACTGACACTGACTGAATGCCTCCTCTGGGAACATATAAATTACAATATTTTTAGGATCAATTTTAAGAGTTCATAATTACACTTTGGTTTTCCTTAAGTATTAAATATTTTATGACTACTTCAAGTAAGATGTGAATACACTACCTTTCCTGCGTACTATATTAAATACTTTTCAGCACCTACTGCTAGGCGCTGTGAATATGGAAGAAAAATTATCAAATCCTGTCCTCATGGAGCTTATGTTGTCGTGCAAAAGGATGACAATAAACAAGACAACCTAAAATCTGCTAGATAGCAACAAGAACTGTAGAGAAAAACATAGCAATGTAGACAAGAAAGGGTTTGTGTAGAAGATATAATTTTATATGGGTTTAATAGTCAAGGTTCTGTAGAAAAACATAATTAATATATATGAGTTTAATTACAGAAATCAGTTCATGCGTTTATGAAGATGATGACCCATGACATGCCATCTGTAAGCTGGAGAACAAGGAAAGCTGGTGGTGTAATTCAGCCCAAGTCTGAAGGCCTGAGAATCAGGGGAGCCCATGGTGTGATTCCCACCCTGAGTCTGAAGGCCTGATAATGAGGGGAGCCCCTGGTGTGACTCCCACCCTGAGTCTAAAGTCTTAAGAACAGGGTGTGTGTTTGGAGGGGGTGCTAGTGTTGTGCCAGTGTAAGTCCTGGAACCTGAAGATGCAGAGACCAAGAACTAAAATTTCTGAGGGCAGGAGAAGATAGATGCTCCAGTTCAAGATGTGTGTGTATGTGTGTCTACGTGAGAGAGAGAGGAAGGGAGGGAGGAAGGGAAGGAGGGAGAATAAGAGAGAGAGTGCATTTTCCCTTCCTCCACCTTTTTGCTCCATCTTGTCTCTCCATGAATTTCATGATGCCCACCCACCTTGGTGAGGGGGGATCTTCTTTACTCAGTGTGCTGAGTCAAATGCTCCTCTCTTCTGGAAATAGACACAAGCAGAAATAATGTTTCATCAACTATCTGGGCATCCCTTAACCCTGTCAAGTCGCCACACAAAATTAACCATTGCAATGAGAGTAGATTAAGAATGCAATTGAAATGGTTCTAATTGAGAATAAAGATGAGGAGAGAGCAAGAGAAAGTTTGCTGGAAGATGGTCATCCCAGACAGAGGAAGCACCCAGTGCAAAGGTGTGGAGGGCGGATGCGGATGCTTGCTGTATTCCAGGTACAGAAGAGGGCAGTAGTAGAAGAGGAGTAGGGAAGTCATGTTGGGGCCAGGTCAGTGTAAGGCCTCTGACTTTCACTTTGAGTGAGATGGGACCTCTGAGGGTCTGGAGCAGAGAGGTGACGTTATTCATTAACTTTTTAGGAGAATTACTCAGGTTGCTCTTTGAACAGTAGATCGTATGGGATAGGCATAAGCAGGGAGACTAACTAGGAGGTTTTTGCAATAATCCAAGGGGAAAAAATGGCAGCAGTTTCCACCAGAGTGATAATCACAGTGGTGATTATGAGTGGAAGAGGCTGGATTGTGAGTGTATTTTGAAAGTAGGTTGGCAGTATTTGCTGATAGAGTCAAGGTCGGGTGGAGAAAAAGAGAAGAAATAAAGATGACTCCAAGGTGTTTTGCTTAAGCAACATGAAGGATGGGATTGCCATTTACTGAGATGAAAGAGGTAGGGATTTGGGAAGGCTAGAGTTGGGTAGTAAGAATATCAAGAGTTTTGCTTTTAAATATGTTAAGATGTATAACTAGAACTCTCTCCCAGAAAATAAATCTGTTGCATTTTTTTTCTTGCCAAGATAGCAATAGACTTGAAGCTACCAATGTGCCTATGCAGTGGGTTGTATACTTAGATGGCTAGACATTGCAATGAGTAGTGGGATAGTTGCCTCAAAGTCTAGTGGCCTTGAAGATAGGATTTAAAACTCCCAATGGGACAAACAGCCTATCTATATTTCACAAAGCTAAGAGAGCTATTCTAATTAGATAATTAAGTCTCAAGACGGTTTGGCTTGGATAGAACTCTACCTCAATGAAATCTGTATCTTCCTCCCTAGCATTAAAGCAGACTACCTTCTCAGTTTCTGTTGGTTTTTTTTTTTCTTTTAACATATGGACGTATCATATCTAGCTAAGAGGATTTCTGTGCTTGCTTATGAAGGGTGCTAATGTTACCTCAAAAAGGAGTCATAATGTCATCTTTCCATAAAATTACAGGAAACCCTGTAAGTTGAGGTAGATATGATATTTTTCAGAGCTCTTGCATATTCAATATTTCATTGGATGCCCTTGCATGCAAAAAGTCTGCGGAATAGGTAGGACTGCCACAATTATTGTCATTTTTCAGCAAGAAATAAGAATTTTGAAAAACAAAAACAAGATGAACCTAAATTCTAGAAGTGGTAAGTAGCAGCACAAGGTTGCCAAGGTGACTGTATCAGAGCTTGGATGAGGAACGAGGTGTGTTAACTTATAGTTTAATATTCCTTTCAACATAGTACACAAATATAATTACTCAGAATTTAACTCTGCATTTCTTAATCTCTTATGTAGATTTTGTTTTGGAACAAGCAGAAATCCCTGCAGGCTAGTTTATGTATGAATTTGTTGGGAAATAATTCTAGGCTATTGGCAAGTTGAGGAGGGACTTGCTTTTACTGAGTGATCATAAAGTATCTTATATAAGCAATTGGAGACTATCCAGTTCTTTCTGGTTGCAGAGAAACTTGTCCTCCAACTCCTGGAAACAGAAATTTTAGACTCAACCAATGAAACTTAAGCAAATAGCATTACCTCATCAAAAGAGCTTTTCATTGGCTGTTCGTTTTCCATGTCGCTTTAAGATAGTTTTTAATACTTTAACCCTTGTGTGTATAAATCTATGTAGTGCAGTGTTGGAGCTAACTCTTGATACTAAAGACATTTTCGGTGATATACATGTAGCATATGGATAGATTAAAGAAGTGAATGCCATTTATTTCCATTCAAAACATACAACAATACTAATAGTAAATTTGACTTATAACAAAAACTTTATTTTCTTTTTGCTGACTCATAACACCTCTGTTTGAATGCTAAAAAGATACCAGTTCTTGAAAAAAATAAAAGAGCAAGGAGAACCATAGACTGATGCTCTACTATATGTACTAAACCTTGTGGCTTTGGAAACATCTATTTCCCATGGATTACACCTCCTTAACCATCTGTCTTTGGTAAACTGGGAGTTAGTGTTGGATTTATGCGCTGGGGAGGGGAATAGAAATCTACACATGTGGGAACAAGAAGGATGAATACAGCTTAAGGATTTGAGCAGCATTGGAAGGATCCGTGAATTAAAAATCTCCTATAGTTAACCATGAGCACTTACTCGTTCTTCTCTGGTATAGGGACGCTTTTGCCATTACCTCTCTTTCTAGTCCCATGAATCCTTTAGGTCATAATAATATCTCATCTCTTCTAGTTAAAGCAGTTCCTATTAGTCTGAATTCACATTTTTGACTGCTTACATTTTTTTCTTCTGTCCTGTGAAGTCAAGATTTAGGAGTTACAAGTTTTCAATCTCTCTCAGAATACACATCTGAAGATTGGTAATAGGGATGATGATTGGAGTCAGACTCTGGAGTAAGGACTGAAAATGATCACACTTCTTAATAGCTAACAGGTGAGGACAGCCCAGTCCAAAAAAGAAGGGCAGGCAGTGTCTTTTGTTTCTGTTGCAGTTCATAGACTTAGATTCTCAGAGTCTTAAATTAGCTGAAGGTGCCATAAGATTGAAAAAGATCTACCTTTGATAACTATCTCTGTCTCTTCCTGTATTGTAAATTTTTATAAATTATTTAATTTCCATGAGCTTTAGTTTCCTTGTCTGTAAAACTGGGAGAAATGAAACCTAGATCACAAAGCAGTTGTAGGGATGACAGGCAGGTACATAGACCCACCCTCTCTGGCATCTCCTTTAGCATCTCTCTTTTACGCTAGATAAGATTCATTCATCCTAGGTGGTGAGAAAGAAAATGTTGTACTTAGCAGGAATTTTTTGGTATCACTCTCCATCCATCAAATTACAATAAAAATAAAGCCAATACATAGATATTACAGAATCTGCCAGAAGCGTGTGTTTAAAATGACCTAATGCAAGGACAAATCCCCAGTGCATTTTGTGACTCCCCACTTATTTCTGCCATGGGATACTGAAACCCTCACTTCGCCCTAACTTCCCTCCCAGTTTGTAGCCAATCCCCATCAGAACAGAAAAAAATTCAGTGACGGCGTAGGTCGTGAATTAGATTTGTTGTCATTGATCTGCCTCACCTCTCATGAGCCATGAGCATCTGAAAGCCACAAGGCTACAGTCTTCACCTTTGCCTCTGAGGTGTAGGCCTCTTTGTTCCTCTTAATCTTGTCTTCCTGCTCAACGTTTCATTTCCATGGTGAGAAAAGAGATTTAACCTCAACTGTGGCTCAGCATTATTAGAATCTAGACATCGTTCCTGTCACTTGTCTTTTTTGAGCTGTGCCATCCATTCAAACTATGGGAACTCATGCCAGGAACCACAGGTTTGACCTGATTGTATGTTATCACTACCAATAGTAAGCCAATTGCCTCTACCTATTTGGGCATTATTTGGTATCACTGGTTAGCTGATTAACAGACACATCCTTCAAGATTATTTAATTCATTCACTTTTTCAATTTTTCATCTATTGTTTTGTCCACTTTCTGAGCACATCCTCTACTTCAAATTCTTGCCTAAGCCCTAGGATACAGAGCTACATATATTAATGTTCATCCCATTGGTTTTGATCTGACCAAGCCTCAGCTTCACCTTGAACTGTACTTATCCCAGGGTGACTCATAGCTGAGCCTTAAGTATCCTTAAAAGCTACCTTATAGTGTTTTAAGAAAATTTTTCAAATAGAAGATGAAGACATGTTAATAGAGTCAAATGTATATTGAATATTTTTGATATTTCCTAAGTCTTTAATTCACCTCAAAGCAAATAAGCAAATGATCTTTCTAAAGTGGAATTATTTACATTAAAAAATGAGGAGATTGGCCAGGTGTGGTGGCTCACGTCTATAATCTCAGCACTTTGGGAGGCTGAGATAGATGGATTGTTTGAGCCAGGGGCACAAGACAGACGTGGGCAACATGGTGAAACCCCATCTCTACTAAAAATGCAAACATTAGCTTGGCATGGTCCTGCACACCTATAGTCTCAGCTATTCAGGAGGCTGAGTTGGAAGTATTGCTTGAGCCCAGGAGGTCTTGGCTGCAGTGAGCCATGATCATGCCACTGCACTCCAGCCTAGGTGACAGAGGGAGACCCTGTCTCAAAAAATAAATAAATATTTTTTGTCTTTCTAAATTATTATTTTGTTAATCTCTTTATTTTTATTGGTTTATTTATCTGAGACAGGTTCTCACTCTGTTGCTCAAGCTGGAGTGCAGTGGTGTGAGCATAGCTCACTGCAGCCTCGACCTTCTGGGCTTAAGTGTTCCTTCCACCTCCATCTCTTGAGTAGCTGAGACCACAGGCGCTGCCACCATGCCCTGCCCGAGAAAAAAATATCTTTAGAAGAATGGTTGAGTAACACACTGTGTTTGCTTAGGGAGAGACAGAGATTGGGACAAAACAATTTGAATGTAGGAATCTGTCTTCTCTATAAAAATGCTGTGGTCTTAATAGATGACTGATTTGTTATAGTTCTAATAAAGTTAATGGAAAGAATCAAAACCTTTCCAAGTATTTTTTGCTTTTACTCTAAAAATCAATACCCAGCTTTCCATCAAATTACAACAAAAATGAAGCCAATACGTAGATTTTACAGAATCTGCCAGGAGCATCTGCTTAAAATGACCTAATGCAAGGACAAATACCCCAGTGCCTTTTGTGACTCCTCAAGGCTTGACCTATTAACAGTCAGACTTGTGTTCTCTGAGCAAAACAGCAACAGGGGATATCAATGGTAGTGTCTTCTCTTTGGTTAGACTAGGGATTAAGCCATATGCTATACCCTGAATTTCAGTGGTCCCATAGAGTCTCTGCCAGGTTGACCTTGGATATTGTCTATGGAGGTGAGTCCATATCACACCCACAATTTCAACCTGGTACTTGCCTGATTCATTAGTTCCCTTATGAAGCTTTGCTTTAGTGTTCTACCTAGACTCATGGCTAAGATACTGCTGTTTATGTAGCTTATTGGTTCATTTATTTACATAACGATTATTTATTGAACAATTACAGTGTGCCTGCTGAGTACTGGATTAGAGCAGGACAAGGCTGAGATTCCCTTACCTTCACATAGTTTACAGTCTAGTGAGGTGACAGATAATTAACAAGAAATTGCTATAAAATGTGATAAGTGTTTATGGAGGAAGTATAATTCCTAATCCCTGAAGAGGCTAGGCCTAGAGTTCTCAATGAGGAAACTTCCTGGACTCATAGCAACAGTTTCTCTGATTGTCAAGAATCCTACTCCCTCTTCCTTGGATTTTTCCATAAAATGCTCTCCCTACCTCATTCTGTTCCTCAACACTGACCACTTGGAACACCTTAACTGAGGCCAGTTTCACTGCGCTGGGACCTGCCTGGTCATCTCTGCCGCTGGCCTTTCTAGCAGGGTCAGATTCTTCTAGAATGGCTCTGGTGTGTGTGTTTCAGGCTAGCCATTGTGTCTTACTCTCCCTCTCAACTGCGTGTTATACAGATTCTATGCACATCAGTCCAGAAGGCTGCAAAGACCCCTGCAAACGTATCTTCATGTAAACTTTAACTTGGAACTGACTTTCTCTGTAGCCAAACCATGTGGTGCCTTCTTAAGATACAATGCAGTGCTTCTTTAAGGAACTTGGAAATTCTTACAGAGCACCTAAATCACTTTAAAGCCACTGCTATACTATTTAGTTCCTTAATAAAGGAAGAACTTTTATCATGTACAAAATGAAGAAAACAAATATTGATATAAGGATCAGAAAGAAGGGAAGACTTCTAGCTGCAATGCACCATGACATGTAAAGCAATCTTGCAGTTATTTGCTAAGGAATACCCTAGTAGCATAAAAGAAGCATTGTAACCACCAGGATGAACTTGCTTACAGAAGAGAGTAAGATTTGTGGCTGGATGACTTTCTGACATTAACATTGATTCCATGAAACTATTGTATACTAGAGATGCTTAAATATTTCAATAAGATCTACTCATAGACAAATCCACTATCTGCAAACATTTATTACACAAAAAGCAATTACAAGGAAGCATATCAAGTGACTGGGACTTACAGTGATTTAACATTCGATCATGACCACTGAGGGGCTTACCTATTTTAAGAGACGAGCAGCATATATAGAAAAGAACAACTGTCAGCCCTCAGTTAAGTATTAAATAAAGGATACTGGAAGTGAAGAATGGGAACAAATTCACGGGGAGCCAATGCTTGTGTATAATGTAATCCTTATAATAAGTATGCAAGATTTATATTGGTATATCCATCTTGCAGATGAAAGACAGGAGACTGAGCTAAGTTCAACCTAATCAAGGCAAAATGCTATTAACTATCCACATTCAAGTCAGTTATACAACAAAATGTGAGGTTTTCCACTCAATTGAAATTTTGATAGTCTGGAAATTATGGGTTTCTTATCATAATATCTACTACCCAAACTGGGAAGCCTTTGAGAGTGAGAGGGGCTGTTGTCAATAATTACTCTGAAACAACAGAAGTAAAACAGTAAGGACCTGGGAAAATGGGGACATATGATCATCCTATCAGATTTTATTTAAGTTATGTCTCATGGGAAAAAAAAATAAAGACATAGAAATTATTTAGAGCAGGATCAAAGGCAAGTGTCCCAATCAGTAACTTAGAGAAGGAATCATCTCTATGACCCCGACCCACCAGATTCAGCTGTGTTCTTAGACCCACAGTACTTGAGTCTAATATTCTTTAGCTGCATGGTCGTAAACCAACCAGTTATTTGCTTGAAGCATGTAGCAAGTGAATACTGTGTTAATGAACATGAGGTCCCAAGATGGATCCTCAAATGAACCTGTGAACTTGCTTGGTCACCACTGTCCTTTCTCTGCAGCTAGCTGCCTTATATTTCTTATATCAGTCATAGCGGTGCTTAGAACTCAGCAATTGGCCTCGATTTGAATCTTCACCCTTTCTCTTAAACATGTGACATTTGGCAAGTTATGTAACTTGATTTTGCCTGAATTTCTTTATCAGTAAAATGTGGAAAATAATAGCATGTATGTCATAGAACTTGAATTCCAAATGTATTCATGACGTTTAGTATTAGCATTTATTAGAGTTATCATTACTTTCTACCACCCAAGGTATGGGATAAGTAGCTCAATAAGTGTAATCTTCTGATATTTGGCAAAGAGTATCATTAGTAATAGAGAGGTGAGTTTGGAACTGAAAGTCTTGGGTTAAAGTCCTAGCTCCTCCACAGAATGTTCCTGACAAGTCATGTTACTTCCCTTAGTCTCAGCTTCTCAAGTGTATAAATTGGAGCTAATACCTACCTTCAGAGAGCTTTGCCTATCCCACAAGGTCATTGTAAGCATCAATATTAAGGTATTTTGTATTATGAAAAGTGATATATAAAAGTAAATTATTATAATTTGTAATTCTCACATGTTTTATTATAAGTGATTTAATAAAATTTGTATGGCCCTTGGCAACTTTCAAATATTTTGGAATAATAATTCCTAGCTCTTGTATCACCTTTGAAATAACTGACTGTTTATCATTGCAGAGTTGGCTCAAGAGCTAAAAATAAAACCACTATTGTCAGTTTTTGTGAAGTAAACTGGTTTCAGAGTTGGCTTATGAGACAAAATAATGGCCAGAAGAGCAACTGGCTACAAACGTCGTATTATATCCAAGCCTTTGAGAAACAACTAACTGAATCCTCCCAAATATGTGAACTGAGTCCCAATATTAAAATATATTATAAATTATGAAAACACTGCCAGAGTTAGAGCTCACTGTGCTTAGAAGAGAATGCTGTGCTGCATTGCAGACAAATACGAATAGCAAGGCTGAAACCAGTTAAAGAAGTCAGTTTTAATTCCCATTTGCTCCCCTATTGAAGGAACCAGAGAAACCAAGAGTACCAGAGTTCAGCAGTGGGCCAGAGGGGTCCCCAGGGCAATTTCCAGGGAAAGATCATAAATCAGGTACAAGAAAAAGGCCTCTGTACTATATGCAGTTGCTATAAAAATCAGGTTCCAAGTGAAAATGTGGAAGTTTCCAAGTGAAAATCTTGTTAAAGCAAATAACCAATACATGTAATTTTCATGGAAAAAATCTGTATTTTAAAAGGGCATAGTGAGATTAATATTCACCACCCTTAAAAAACATGCAAGCACTTTCATCCACATGCCCAGAGCTGGTGTGGACTCGGGGTGCTTAATGCTGTAAAGCCAGTAGCCTATTCATTATTCACATCAAGCAAAACAATCCCGTTGTCCAGTTAGAGGAACCGGACTGAGTTAACTTCCCTAAGCTCACAAGCTGGCTGTTTTCAGGTTTGTTCTTTCTCATAGTAAATTCCACCATCATTCAAGTATATCAAGGAGAGAAATTTCATAAAATACACTTGAAACTTAAGTGGTTGAAAGAGCTCATGGTTGCCTAGCAACAGGGCTTCCAGAGGTAAGCAGAGTGACAAGCTGAAGAGATCTCTAGAGAAAAGAGCAAACCTGGCCTCTTGCTGTAGCCTTTTCTGGCTATATTAAGTGGGAAAAGCATTTCAGCGGTTGGAGGGACACCCTATAAAACGACGTGCTTGAACTAGATGATCCCTGGAGTTCCTTTCACTGTTTTATTTATGATTGGATGAACTGTCAAGTTATTGGAGTCTTAGCCTCTGAGACATGACACCTGGGTTTAGATCCTGATGTTATCAATGAATACAACTTCTTTGGTCATTCCCAGTAAATTCTAGACTTGTCTAATTCTTTATGTAAAATACCACCCTTTCATTATATGATTCTTTTCCATGATTTACTTAACACACATTTCTAGTGCACTAACAGTGTACAAGGCATGGTGCTTATGTTAAGGGACTAAACGTGAGTAAATCATAAACTCCATCCTCTAGGGGCTTGTAGCCTTGCAGAGGATAGGAAAATGTACACAGAGGTTTATGAAACAGGGAGTAGCCTTAGAGGGCACCTAGCAGAAAGTCTTTTTGTTGACTCCCAAGGCTCCGTAGTGATCTGGAAGGCTTTTATTTTAGGATGGAGTTTATATTGTAGTGAGTCCTGAAAATTTGCAGCCATCTTCCATATTTTGACATGATAAAAAAGGCCAGGTGTGGTGGCTCACACCTGTAACCCTAGTACTTTGGGAGGCCGAGGCGGGCGGATCACAAGATCAGGATTTCGAGGCCAGCCTGGCCAGCATGGTGAAACCCTGTCTCTACTAAAAATACAAAAATTAGCCGGGCATGGTGGCACATGCCTGTATTCCCAGCTACTCGGGAGGCTGAGGCAGAAGAATTGCTTGAACCCGAGAGGCAGAGGTTGCAGTGAGTCGTGATCACACCAATGCACTCCAGCCTGGGCAACAGTTGAGCAAGACTCCGTCTCAAAAAAAAAAAAAAAAAAAATTGAAGCTCAAGTTAAATGACTTGCCTCAAATCACACACTTAGTAAGCAACAAAGGTAGGATTCAAACTACTGCTTACTCATTACACATTGAGTTTTTTGTTTGTTTGTTTGCAAATTAGGCCATTGATAAAAGGGGAAAATTGATAAATACATATAAAAGATATAAAAATAAAGTGGTGATGGTCCTTGAAAGGAGCGAGAAATTGCACCTGGAAGGAATGAGGAAAAACTTTTATCAAAAAGGTAGCATTTGAATTAGACATTGCGGGATACATAGAATTAGGTCTCTGAAGATAGGAGAATACAAATCCATGGCAGAGGGCCAATTATGAATAAAAGAAACAAAATATGATTAGTAAGACTAGACACAGCAAATGTTGAGAAAATCAGACTAGCTACAAGAATCAGATATGAGAAGTGGAGCAGCAAAAGGCATAAGTGAGATAGCTTGAAACCAGCTATGAAGGCCAGGCCTAGGGGTTTTTATTTCATTCAGTTAGCATTTGGGAGATATTAACACTTTTGAGCAAAAGAATGGTGTCAACGTATTTATGGTCTTGATGGAGTCACAGTTATGATGGATACAAATTGCTGTTGTGAAGACCGATTAGGAGGTAGCTACAATTGTCCAGGAAAATGCATGAGGTGGCAAGAAGAGTGATAATTATCAGGGAGGGGAGGAGAGAATGGACTAAACAGATTTTAGAGGCAGAAAGAATAGTATTGTAGACAAGCTGTCAAAGGTAAGGAAGTGTTCAAGTGGTCCCGTGTGGCAAGTGTGCTTGACAGCAGGATAGGGATGTCAGGGCTACAGCTATAGACTTTGGCATCATCTGCCCACAGAAGAATATTGGTAGAATGAGGATGGATAAATAGCCAAGGGGAAGATTAGGTTCTATTTATAAATCTGTAGCCCCAAAATTAAACAGCAGGAACCTTAATTGCAGGAGGCCATATTTTTTATCTTTAATAATGTTATAATTATAATACATAGTCAGAAAAGTGCACAGATATTGAATGTGAAAATGTCTGTCTTTTTACTGAGAGACTGCAATGAAACATTATCTACATCCTAGGATGCCTCAAGTTCTTCTTTTGTCAAGTTATAGTAGATGGGTGACAATTTCCAGGACTCGCTGTAATATAAACTCTATCATAAAATAAAAGCCTTCCAGATCTCTAGGGAGCCTTAGGAGTCAAAGGAAAGGCTCTCTGCTTGCTGCCTCCTAAGGTGCTACTTCCAATTTCATAAACCTCTGTTTACATTTTCCTGTTCTCTACAGGGCTGCTAGCTCCTAGAAGATGGAGTTTGTGATTTACTCATGTTTACTCCTTAACTCTTGTTCTCTGTGTCTTTTCTTCTGTTTCCCAGAGGTAATCACTATAGCCACTTAGTTTTGTCTGTTTTTGCCCTTTATACAGACACAACCACTGAGAATATATCCTTCTGTGTTTGGCTTTTTCTGCTCAGTTATGCCTACAGAATTTATCTATAATGTTGCATGTACCAATAAATTATGTTTATTTATTATTGTGTAGTACTCTATTGTATGAATAGCCCATGATTTATTTATACATTATTGTTAAATGATTTGAAATAAAAAAATAATCCTGCTATGACATTTTTGTGCATGTGTACATGTATTTCTATTGTAACTCTGCGAATATTATTTTTGTGTGTGTGCATGTGTGTGTGTGTCTGTGAGTGTGTGATTCTAATTTTTAATGAAGTAGGATCGCGTTAGGCCCTTCCATGGGTCATGATGAACTAACCATCTGTAGCTGCTCAGTGAGGACATGAGTGAGTAGGCATAAGCCAGGCCAGAACTAACAAACCCAAATGTGGTGCTATCTCTGAGAGCTTAAACAAATAAGAATGAGAGTATCCACAAGTAGCATTATTTCTTGATTTGAGCTGTCTGTTTACAGAGAGGAGTCTGATCTAAAGAGTGGTGCAAAATAAAGAACTTCTATATAGTGGAGATATGCCTGGTAATTAGAAATCAATGTCATGGTTCCAGGTGGTCCATGTTATTTTGAACAAAATAAAGACCAACATATGAAATAGAGAAAAGTGGTCCAGTCCCCAAAGCAAATAACAACGGGGTAAAGTAGTATGTCAGGGTCCTCTCTATTTCAGCTGGGTTTCGGCTCCAATTTCCAATGCCATCAGGAAACTGGATTACAAATAGAGTGCGACTCAGGAAACAGAAGCAGAAGCCCAGGTATGTGGTCTGGAAACTCATGGTAGAGGTTAATGAAAGATTGCAACTCACTGACAAGCAGATGTCTATGAATCACTGCAGAACAAACCATGGGCTGGTTCAAGCAGGACCAGTTCTTGACCCTATCCCAGGGTGGCTACCAGTTTTCTTTTGGTCTCCTTTGGTTTAATCTAAATTGGATCAGAGCTGAGTCTTTACAGGATAGGCCCAAGAGCTATAGCCCAGCCTGGAAGAATGGAGCAGGAATTAGCTCATAATCACGATACCCTAAGATGTTTCAAACCTATGTATTCAAAGAGAGATCATTCTAAATAGATTACCTATGCATTTTAAAGGCAAAATTAGGAATTTTATTGCCTTATTCTTTTGGAAACAATTTCCTTTGCTCAGTGGAATGTAAAATTAAGACAGACAAACCTCTAACCTATGTGTAGGCTATAGGATCAGAAAGTTCCTTCCCTAGTGGAACTGCAATGGGAACTCAAGGGGAGGGAGTGTGGGCAAATTAAAGGCCTCAAAGAGAAAGCTTATGATAAACATGTTATGCCCAGGGTATTCTAGTAAAAAATGCTACACACTGTAATACTGAATTCAAACAAGGGAATTAAGTAGCATACCTGCCCTTCTGTTCCTTTTTGCAGTTGTGAGAAAATGCATTCTATTTCCAGATTCCTAAGTTAATGAGTAATACATTGTGTTTTACAAAGGAGCCTCCTTGAAATGCATTGATTGGTTTGTATTCTAGGACATGAGAGCAACTTGGGAGATCTGGGGATGTATAAAATGTTTACTCTTACTTCTTGATAGTTAATCTTTACCTTCACTTTCCCCTGCTCTTCACTGGGCAATTTCAGTATTCATTAATTGTTTTAATAGAGTCTTGTCAGGAAGGGAATAAACAGGAAATCATAGAGTTAATAAAGATCTTTTTAACAAGGTCAAATTTAATAACATGTACTTGTGTTTTCTATATGCCAGGCTCTGCCCTGATTGCTTTACTTATATTTACTCAGCTAATTATTATAACAATCTTATGATGTAGGTACCATTATTACAACATACCTTTGATGAAAGTGTGGTACAGAATGATTATGGAACTTAACCAGGTTTACATGTATAAACAGTGAAGAGTCAGACTCAAGTTTACTGGGCTCAACCTGTGCACTTAACCACCATACTATGCTGCCTTTTAATTATGTGTGAGCACTACAGGCAATAAGAAGACCAAGCCCTAATTTATTCAATAGACCTAACTTTAGTGTCATCTATGAATTAGATACTGCTGTGATCTAAGTGTGGTAAATATGACCAAGACATGTCGTCATTAGAATTGGTAGATATATGTTTAAAACTACAGATGTGAAAATAGGCACCGGAGTTCAAATTTTATGTCCAATATTTTCAAAGAATCAGAGCAGAGCTAGGAGCAAATCTGTGGTTCTTTTAGCACCTGGTTTAAACTTTAACCGTAGCCTCGTAGATTTTAACCACAATATTTTACAGAAGAACATGTTCCTGCAACTCTTTCATATCTGCTGGTAAAATTCCTTCGTCATGATTTCATTTCTTCTTCTTATTCTGCTCATAGTGTAACTGGGTTTCCAATGACTATCTATTCCTGAAGCTGGGGGTAGATGAGAAAGCTCCTAGGTTTTAGATCCACCTTGTAGCACCTTGGCTTTGTTTAAATGTACCATTCCCAAATATTGAGTTTCGGGAGCTGCAAGACTGGAGTTGAAGGGAAATTGGTGCCGCTTGCTAGAGGTCACTGCAATGTAAATCAGAGTCACATCTATGCTGTGTTTATGCAAAGTCACACAACATAATCAATGAAGCCGAAGGAAATGAATGTGAAAGCAGTCATTGTGTTGGCCACTGTACAAAAGTGTTGTAACACCATGACACTATCACCTACCCCGCTGAACCCCAGTAGATTTTTATTACATTGCATAATACTGGGTGACTTAAGGCCAAGGGTTCATTAGGTTGCATGGAGGCATTGACACTTCAATGTGGTAATGAGTCTTCCACAAATCACAAACCTCAGTTTCTGTGACTTTCACATCAATCTTGGTAATGTTTTTCATTTTGCTCTTTAAAAGAGACACCTGGTACTTTATTTATTTTTATTTATTTTTTTTTAGACAGGGTCTTGTTCTGTCACCCAGACTGGAGGGCAGAGACACAATTTCAGCTCACTGCAGCTTCAACCTCCCAGATTCAAATGATCCTCCCACCTCAGTCTCCTGAGTATCTGAGACCACAAGCAAATGCCACCATGCTTGACTAACTTATTTTTAATTTTTTGTAGATATGAGGTTTGCTATGTTGCCCAGGCTGGTCTCAAACTCCTGGGCTCAAGCAATCTGCTTGCCCAAGCCTCCAAAGGTGCTGGGATTATAGGCATGAGCCACCGTACCTGGCCGAGACCTGGTATTTTAGACAATAGCTCCCAGTGGCCCTGATGAGTCTACAATTCTGGAGCTGAGATGAATGGATTTATGAACGTAGGACATGGACAAAACCCAGGAAACTTAAAAAGCTGTAACTCATCCCTGCCTCTGAGGCCATAGAATGACAAAGTCAGTTCTGTTCAGGCTCCTACTCCTTGCCAAAACAAAACAAAACAAACAAACAAAACAAAAAACAAAAAACTAAACACTATGACTTGCAAAATCACTTATAAAGATTTTCTCATTGATCAGACAAAAAAATTATAAAACATTTGGGAAATGCAAAATGTCATACCAATTCCAACATGGTTCTGTTAATTTGAAACCCTGAAATATACACATATAATTACACTATATGAAAACAAATATTTCTTTTGCTTAATTTCAGGGCAGAGTTGGTGCTTTCAATGAGTAACCTGGCACAGTGTAAGCAGCATGAATTTAAGTTCAGAGAAACCAAAGTTTCTCTGAGATTTACCATTTACCAGGTATGTGACCTGCACAGATAACTTCTCAGAGCCTCAGTTTTTTAATCTACAAAAGAAAGACAATCACACACACACACATACCACATACAAACCCGTCACGATTTGTGAGGGCTGAATGAGATAACCTAGGCAAAGTACCCAGAAGAATTTCTGTCTTGCAGTTTCCATAAAGTTTTCTATATAAATCACTAGAGGATATCATGTTCAATACAAGAAACAGACTAAGGTGGCCCATCCCAGCAGAGGTGCCACAAAGAGAAAACCCTGTTTGTGTCATTCTTTCTCATTCGAGCTCCCTGCTTGGAATAAATATCCATGTGGACTCATAATAGTGTTTCATGAATAGATAGAACACTTTTTGAACCTCATGCCATAATGGGTCACTGTGAGTTTATTGATAATGGAAAAATTATATTGGAGAAGGTATTGCTGTGGTTCAGATGTGGCTTGTTCCTGTCAAAGCTTATGTTGAAATTTGATTCCCAATATGGCAGTTTTGGGAAGTGGAGCTTAGTGGGAGGTGATTGGGTCACAGGGATGGATCTCTCACGAGTAGATTAATACCATCTGGGGAAGAAAGTTCTCCCTCTTGCAGGATTGGATTAGTTAGCAGAAACCAGGTTGTTCTTTCTCGTGTTTGGTCTCTTTACACATTCCCCTTCTCTTCCCCCTCCCCTCTTTCTACCATGAGTTAAAGCAGCAAGAAACCCTCACCAGGTGGGCTGCCTGATTTTGGAATTCCCAACCTCCAGAACTGTTATCCAAATAAATTTCTTTTGTTAATAAATTACCAAATCCCAGATATTCTATCATAGCAGCACAAAACAGAGTAAGACAGGTGTCCAGATAATATGTTGTAGCAGAAGCAGCACCAGACAGTTGCTAGGTATTTAGGGATCTAGTTTCATCTGGCAGCTAACTAGCAAGTCATCCAGTTTCTCTGAGTGTCAGTTTCCTCACCTGAAAAATGAGAAAAATGCCCCAATGACCATTACAGCCCTGAACCACTCTTTGAATCTGTGAAGTAAAATTCCTTCATGACAGCGTGAGTTCTGCAGCTCAGCAAATGGACCAACTGCTATGGAAGATTTAGAAGGTTTTAGAGGAGTCAAAAAACCGATCTCTATTATTTCCTAAATGTGGGTTTAGCTTAAGGAGTTTCTGGAGCACTGGCTGATAGCAAAGCAGTGGCTCCATCGCTGAGGAGAAAAGTGCAAATGAGTTTATTCCAAATGGGAATATTGCCTGCAATGCAGCAGTATTTTTCTAACAGTGTCATTAATGAAGCTATTCAATATCTTGAGGATTTTACAACAATGTCATATGAATTTGACAGCATTTCATTTGGAATGTTTTATATAATACTCATGCATTTTAATAAGCATAATGGGTAATTAAGATGCCACAATATATTTATTATTCTCTCCTAATACCCTGTGAATCCAAATGGATTAACACATGTATTGCTTTGCATTTTACCCTCTCCCACATTAAGGAAGTTTTTCTAGGTCAGGGGCTGTGTGTCACTTTTCTCCTCACACCCAGCACATAGCATTGTGCTTAAACTGTTATTTATTTGGCAAATAAGATAATGAATCAATATTGGGTCACAAAGATCTGACGAAGTACTGATTTGGGAGTTAATAGACATTCAGTTCAATGACAATCTACCAGGAAGTTTAAATTTAGAAAATGTAGAATTCAGGCCCTATCAGATCCAGGCAAGTAATTTTCACTTATCTGAGCTTGCATGTCCTCCTTGTCAAATAAGAGGATAGAACAAGGTAATTGTAAAGGTATTTTTCCATTCTAAATTCAGTACTTACATGCTACATATATATTGTATTTAAGAAACTACACATATTCAAGGAATACTAAAATGGCTTTTCTCCTCAAAAATATAAAATGACTGTCCAGTGCCCAGATAAATTTCAGTTCCTTAGATCTGGCATTCCATTCCTTCGTCAGAACATACAATTTATTACATTTGACATGACACATTTTGCAAGGTTACTTTAAACATACAATATTCACTATCGAATATACAACTTTGGAAGATCAATAGCATTTCTTCTCACAATTGTCCATTCACTTCATTTTAAACTTCTTGAGTGAGGGATTGTAGTTTTTATTTTGGTTCTCATTGATGCCTTCCATATAAGAGGTGCTGAAATATATGAAAGTATGAATGAATAAATGATATCAAAGCTTAACTTCCTTCAAACACACACAGCGAATGAATAAAACAATGAGTAAAACCAGTTAGAAAATAGGAAAGGACTATAGAGGGGATCTCCTTTAGCTATAGGCTTGATTTAATTCAGAGAGACATAGCTCAACAGTATGACTATTGAAAATTCTTAGAAGAAAACTCAGATCAATTGGGCTGACCATATATATATTCAGATAAATGATTTCTGTTAGTTATACCAGGTGAGTAACATGTGAAAGGTATTGATTATGAAGGCTGAGTGTCCTAATTTAAAATCTTTTTGTGTGATTTTGAGCAAACTACTAAATACCTATAGACTTAATAAAGTTGTTACTAAATAAGGAAATGCACAGAATAGTGCATGAAGCTTAACTTTTTAAAAAATATTCTAAATATGCTAGCTTTCCATTTTCCTCCAAAGATTTTGTATTTCTTACAGTTGTCCTTAAGGGAAAAAGGAAGCATCATATGCAGAAAATTTAGATAATCAGAAAGCTTAGACCACTTTATGACCTGTAATCTTGTTGGAGTCCATGTCATATGGACTTTGTAGCCATTTCTGATCCTTTTCATCTCTTTGCCCTTTTTCTACATTATTGCTTCTTTTAGACTACATTTCAAAGCGTGTGTCATCACAGAGGTAGCCTGGGCCTAAAGAATTATTATCTACTCACTTTTCAAGAAATAGCAAGTAAGGAAACTTTCTTGTATGGAAACTACTTCTGGGTGAGTTTCTGAACATTTTGTCAGCTTTGCAATTTCCAAGTGCAGAGATGTGTTGAAGGCTTATTTATCTGTCATCTGTCTTCTGAGCGGATCTTTAGCAAAGTGCCATAATTCTTTGTAAGGCTCGCTTAACTAAAGATGTAAAGATTTCCACATCTGCCATTATGGAAGAATGGGCTTGGCTTCTACTGGTTTCTACATTGTCCAGGAAGTTTAAAAGGGCCATTTTGAAGATAGCATTACCAGAGTTCCAAGATCTCATTAAATTAACCAAAACTAGTAGAACAGAATTCCTTCCAGTGGCCTGTCACTTGTCTCTTCAGGTTGATTTTATACCTTCCATGTTTTCCTATTGCTGATTACATCTAATGTAAATACTTCTACGTAACTTTCAAGATCTGCCTTTGAGTGGCTTCCTCTACCCATCTGACTTTATCTTCCATTGCTCCCTAAACCCCACTCCCCTCAATGTATTAATGTCCTACCTCATTATCTTTGCACAAATGTTACCTTTCCCTGAAATACTCTCTAAACTTCTTAATCCTTTTTATCTGTCAAGCCCAAGTCAATTTCATCTTGTCCATAAAGCCTTTTCTGATTTGTCCAACCTTTGTAATGATCAGTTTCTTACTCCTCCTGCCTTCTATTATTGGAACGGAGAACGTTCTGCTTGGATAAGCTAATGCTCTGTAAGCCAAGCCTTCCCAACACTTGCTACCATCAGCCGAACCTCTTTGTATCCATAGGCAGGCAATGCAATTTTTGTTTTATGCCTGGGAGGAATATTGTGATTAGAAGCAGGGTTTATGAAGAGGATAGAGGATGGGAAGAATAACTTGATTCCTCATTTTTATTTTTTTGCCTCTTTTCTAAGATTGTAGGGAATTGAGTTTTATAAGATTTGGTGTAACTATTTGACTTACCTGGATATAAGCTGATCTGCTTTGGGCCCCATATAATTGCATGTGACACCAAATGGGAAAAGAGGATGAATATTCTCCTTCCCCTCCCTTGGCGTGAAACTCAGCAGAATTTTGACACTGTGACAGAATTTTGGCACTGTGACAGAATTTTGACATTGTGACAGAATTTTGACATTGTGATGACGGAGTCCAGGCAGGTCACAGGTGCTGCACTTGAATGGGGGATAATTGATAAGTGTGAATGAGAGGAGTAGCAGGAAGAGGATGATTTGCCATTTTGCAAAAAGGTATATTTAGAAATAGGAACACTTTTACACTGTTGGTGGGACTGTAAACTAGTTCAACCATTTGGGAAGTCAGTGTGGCGTTTCCTCGGGGATATAGAACTAGAAATACCATTTGACCCAGCCATCCCACTACTGGGTATATACCCAAAGGATTATAAAACATGCTGCTATAAAGACACATGCACACATATGTTTATTGTGGCACTATTCACAATAGCAAAGACTTGGAACCAACTGAAATGTCCAACAATGATAGACTGGATTAAGAAAATGTGGCACATATACACCATGGAATACTATGCAGCCATAAAAAAGGACGAGTTCATGTCCTTTGCAGGGACATGGATGAAGCTGGAAACCATTATTCTCAACCAACTATCGCAAGGACAAAAAACCAAACACCACATGTTCTCACTCATGGGTGGGAATTGAACAATGAGAACATGTGGACATAGGAAGGGGAACATCACACACCGGGGCCTGTTGTGGGTTGGGGGCAGGGGTGAGGGATAGCATTAGGAGATATATCTAATGTTAAATGACGAGTTGATGGGTGCAGCACACCAACATGGCACATACATACATATGTAACAAACCTGCACGCTGTGCACATGTACCCTAAAACTTAAAGTATAATAAAAAAGGTATATTTAGGGTTTCAGGAAAATCAAAAAGGATGATGAAGAACCCCAAGGCTATCAACAGCAGCTAGCCCTTACCACCCTTACCCTAAAGGGCAAAGGGAGTGAACTGTTGCTGGAAGACAAAGGTGTGGGGGAGTTGCTGTTAGGGACAGAGCTGCTTGACAAATGCTGTGGACTTTAATAGAGTAGCACAGCAACTTCCCAAGCCATAGCCCTGCGCGAAAGGAGTTGGGAGAATGCAAAGCCCAGTTCCAGTCTTCCCTTTCCAAACTTCAGCCTATTGTACCTCCTATTGGACAAACTCCAAAGGAAACCACAGAAAGGAAATGTTCATTGCTGTTGCCCACAGCATCCTTGGGAAGAAAAAAGGGTGGAAAGTGAATCTGAGAATCACATAGAGAGTATCCAGCAGAGGCATCCTGATGATTGAAAGTTTTGAATTATCTGGAGAAGGGGTGTGCACAGTGCTTGGATGAGACAGCAGAAAGGAGCAAGCATGAGCCTGGGTGTACAAACAGCATAAACCTGCATGATTGCAGCCAACTCTTTATAGGTCGATCTTATTTTCACAATCCAAATAGAAGGATAAAAACTGCATTTCTTCTTTATCATGAGAAATAACAATGAAATTCTAAGCCTCCCAGCTGACTGAACGGACCCCTTCTTGGCCAAGGGGACCCAGAGAAACCTTGAAAACTGACTTCTCAGGCATGATGGGATGGGAGCTTAGACGTGCCTCGTTATACCCCTTCCTTTGCAAACTGCTGTTAAGCTTTCTTCCCTAAGGGAAAAACAGAAAACAGCCCTTTCAAAAGACTTTACCAATGGTGTCAACCAACTGCTGGATACTGGTCCACCCTTTTGTAGTTTCAACAAAACAACAAACCACATTCCTTCTGATAGGAGTCCACCAACCATGGAGTGGCTCTGGCCAGTCTACGAAGAATGTGTAATGAGGGTTTTCATGTTCTCTGCTTCACCTTTTGCCATCAGAGAGCTGAAAACTCTATGTTGGGGTCACGCACTTGCAGCTGTTTATATTCGTGAAGGGACATGAGACTCAACTGTGCATGCACACATTTCTCTTTTCATAAATATACATGGCTACCACAGCTTACCAACTATATGTATGTGTGTGTGTGTGTGTATATATATATGTATATATATGTGTGTATATATGTATATATATGTATATATGTGTGTATATATGTATATATATGTATATATGTATATGTATATATGTGTGTATATATATGTATATGTATATATGTGTATATATATATATATATGATCAGCATAAATTCCTTTTCCCTTTGCCCCTCCCTTGAGGTGTCTGTTTTTGGTTTCTGACCAGAGGCTACGCTTCCCAGTCAGAATGGTCACCCTGTAGGCTGCAACCCTTTATGAGAAATAAAGTTCTCTTTTCCAAATTGATAAACCTAATTATTTTAACATTAACAATAGTTATCATGTATATTTAGTAGTATTTCTGAGGGCTGAACACATAGTAGGTGCCAATTAAATATTTGTTGATGGCTTAGTAGACTTTGAAAGCTAAATTTTATAAAATTTGGTTATGTATAAATAAAAACAACTATCTGGCTATGGCTATTTTATCCCCATAGAACTTCTAATGAATGACACAGACAATGACAATAAGTATCCTTGCTTGAAGCTGCTTTCTGTGTATCTCAATTCCCATGTGTTCATACATTTAACATGGGGGAAGAACAACTGTTATATTTTCTATATCTGGCATATATTCTCTCACTGGTAAGGATGTTAGAATGTCATGAACAGGAATTACAATTATTTTGAGACTTTTTATGTAAAGTGAATTGAAGAGAAAGATCACCAAATCAGGAACCAATGCTTTGATATATATGTACAGCAGATCTAGTACCGTGTTCTATAAATGAGTGCTTACTGCATAGCACAGTGTTACAGCAGGAGAAATGGCTATTCTCATTCACAATCAAGTGACGAAAAACTGAGAAAATAAAACAAGCCAAAAATTTCCCCACAATTGGACATAGAAAGCTTACTACTTAGAATAGTGTTCTTCCAAATTTTTCTTTAAACTAGGATTTTACTCTTGTACTTAATATTCAGTACAGAAGACACATTTAAGTAGGCATCATCGGTATCTTCATCCTAAGGGCCTCCTCTCCAATAATACACAGCTGTTTTGAAAACTCCTAGTAGATTTTTTACTTAGGTGAGAGGTGGGCAGTGGGGTTGGCAAAGCCCTTCATGATCCACTTCTGTGTTAGAGGAAGAGTATGTGATGCCCTTGTTATGGAAGAAGAGCCTGTGTTATTGTTCTGCATCTGTTCTAAGATCTCAGATGAGCCATTTGCTGTTCTGAGAACGAGGATGGCAAGTCAGATGTCTCTCATGTTTCTATCTTAAAAATCATTATTTATTTGTATATTACTACAGGTAGTCCCTATTGATTTTAACTAGTAAATCATGCAACTTTGTAAAGAGAAATTTAACATCTTTGCCTCTTTCATTTTCTGTTTCCCACAATGACCCATGTTTAGAGCCTGAAAAATAGAATTTCACAATGTCCTTCAGGTTCTAACACACAAACTCACTTATAGGGATAGATCACCCTGTGCACCAAGTCTATTTAAGGTTAATGCGTGCCACTTACAATGGGATTGTTTTCTTGAACATATTAGTCCTTCTTCCTAAGCTGATATAAGTTCCTGAGAACAAAAATGATTTAGAGTATCTTTTCTGCTTCCTTTCAGATAAATATGATCTCATCTCCTAAACCAATTCAAACTCACTCAGTGCCAAGGTATACTGCTGACCCTGTCTTGACATGACCTTTTCAATCATACTCTGAGGACCTATTAGAAATCCTAATATTTCTGTGACTATCACTGACTTCCTTTAAAAAAAAAAAAAAACTAAACTAAAGCTAAAACTAAAACAACAATTGTGTTTCTTTTATTTCGAATATCTTGCCAAAATGCAACTTTCCTAAGGAAATCTTTGCACCTCTTGTAATGGGGGAAAAACTATACACTTCACATGTATAAGTAGGAAATTTGACTGTGAAAAGGGAAAGATTTTAACAAATGAATGCAAGTATTAATATCAGTAGCTTAGTGAATTTTTAAAATTTTCTTGTGACATAACTATTCTTCTAAAAACCGTCTTCCAATTATCTTATACATATGCACATCCTCTGAATACACTCATAAAAATTATTATCTTAGTGACTGAAGGAAAATTGCATTCTCATATTCTAAGTACTGCAATGTAATGCAAGACTTTCTAATCATTGGTTCTAATTAAAGTAGTAAATCTCTTTTAAAAATCCTTGTTATCGGTAAAGCCTTGATTTTAACACTCCTATCTTAACAGTGCTCCTTAAAGCAAAGAAGTGTGCTCATTACCTAGAATAAATGAGACCTCAGTGCTAGGCTTTTTAGTAAAAGGCAGGATACAGATACTTTGTCAAGTGAGTCAGATGCTAGTGATGCTGTCATCCAATGATGCTGTCTCACCATCACAACAATGAGCTTTGTCCTGATCATTTGCAGACTGGTAATCTCATCTATTTCATCTGTTTGGAGGGCTCATAGAGGCCATGGATTGAATTTCAAAATTCAGTCCTTTGTGTGTTTGGGTATATATGTATTGCTTTTAATTTTGAGGCCTCCCATCATATGACAGACTGAGGTCATTTTTTGTCCCATCCTTTTTTAAGTGGAAGAACTCACTTATGCAAACGTATGTGGAGAATTTGTACAAGCCTAGTGGCAGACATTGGCTTTCATGTCTGGAATTATTCCAGGCCACTTGTTATTTACTTCCCTCATTTCAGCCAGTTCTCACCAAATTGACTAGCTCTCCAATTCCAGTTGATTTCAATATGTGGACTCTTGATGCTTCCTCTACTGCAATTTTAAGGGCCCATTTTGCACATGCCTCTCTGGCTCAGCCTCAACTTTTCTCTCAGTCACAATTTCATATTGTCCTTCTGGCACTAAGTAGAGATGATAAAGGGACAGTCCTGGTCCTCCCTGACTCAACCTTGTGGACATACCCCCTTCATCCTACTCTGCATGAATTCTCCAGTGGGGAAGTCAACTTGAAATTTAAAAAAAAAATCTATATTTATATTATCTATCTATCTATCTATACACACATCCATAAGTACCGAAATATAGATATATGAGATATAATATTAGATATTTTGATCTTTATACATTGAAGACCAAAAAAATTTGCATCTCTTGGTATTTCAACTGGAAAATAAAATTATTAAGTTTTTAGCAAAATTGTCTAAGTTATTTACTCATTTGTATGAACCAGAAGTCGAATTTCTTAATTAGCTCACTGTGTCTTGTGATGGACAGCTACCTTATCTTCTTCGAAAATATTTTTTTCATAAAATGTACACATAGTTTAAAATATCAAATAATATCCAAAGATTTATAATGAAATACATGAGCTTCTGCCCCATATGTTACCACTTCTGATTCTCATTTGTTGTATACTAGACATTCCATACTTTTACATTCCCACTACCAGCTACCTCTATATTTCTAAGTAAGTTACTTGTACTTCCATTTGTACCTTTGTTACTTGCTGTCTTGCAAGTAAGAAAGTGCAGTCTGATGAGCATTTTCCTTCAATTCTTGAAGGCTTTGCTCCATTTTCTTCTAACTTCTCAAGCTGCATTAAGAAATATAATGCCATCCTATTCTTAATCCCTTTTTTATAACCTGTATTTTCTCTCGGAGGTATTGGATTCTTCACTTTAAACCCTATGACTTGAAATTTTACTATGACTTTTAAGAAGAGTACTTTTTACCTGGAAACCGAAATGCTCTAGTTTTGAAAATATTTTTTCTTTTCTTTTTCATCTCTTTCTTTTTCACGTTACTGGAACAAATATATCCATCATTATTTGAATAATGTCAACCCATTCTATCATCACTTCAGTTAGATATGTTACATCTTTTCACTTTCTCTTACATCTTTCAACTAGTCTTTTATTTTTCAACTATTTTTATTTTCAACTACATGATGTATTTTGGAATAACTTCTTTAGAATTGCCTTAAAGCTCACTAATTATCTCTTTGTTTATGTCCAAAATGCTGCTCAATACATCCATTGCATTTTAAATTTCAACTATGTTATGTGTGTTTTAAATTACACAGACTATTTTTATTTAATATTTCTATTCTTCTGGTCATCCTATAACTTTTTAAATATAATGAATGTACTTATTTTATATTTTGAGTCTATTCCAAAACTGATTATATTTGTGAGGCTTTTTTTTTTTTTTTTAATGGAGTTTCACTATTGTCGCCCAGGCTGGAGTGTAATGGCGCAAACTTGGCTCACTGCAACCTCCACCCCCAGGCTCAAGCAATCCTCCTGCCTCCTGAGTAACTGGGACTATGGGCAAGCACCACCATGCCCAGCTCATTTTTGTATTTTTAGTAGAGATGGGGTTTCACCATGTTGGCCAGGCTGGTCTTGAACTCCTTATCTCAGATGAT
Source organism: Homo sapiens (assembly GCF_000001405.40). NCBI lineage: Eukaryota > Metazoa > Chordata > Mammalia > Primates > Hominidae > Homo > Homo sapiens. Next base: position 24,518,597 of record NC_000008.11, on the reverse strand, counting down.
CCATCTGCCTCAGCCTCCCAAACTGCTGGGATTATAGGTGTGAGCCACCACACCGGGCCATATTTGTGAGTCTTAACATTGTTGTTTACTTTTTCTACTGACCCTTGTTCTGGATGACTTAGTTCCAGTTCCACTCTGTGATTTTCTAAAACATAGTCTCATGTTCACAGGAAGCTTACTGTGAGATGAAACATTGAGGTTGTGATTAAAGTGGTTTGTATTTAGCTTACATTTCTGGATTTATGTTTCTCATTGTTTCTGGACTCAGGATAACCTTTACTTTCTTATCAAAACAGCAATCCATTTAAAAGTTAAAAAATAATTCCAAAACTTTTCAGACCTTTTTGGTGTTTTGTACCAGGTATATTTCTTTAGCTTTCTTGTTCACTATTTTACCAGCTAGGGAAGCTACAATTCAACCTCCCTCTTTACTTGTATCGAAACAGGCATTAACTAGAGAAACTGGGACCAGATTTACCCTTTTATCTGGAACAACTGCAAACACTTAAAGGCAAACAGTATGAAAACAACAGTTTAAGGCACAAGCCATCCAACAATGAAGGATGATGAATCCTGAGAGACTGGAAATGAAGGATCTGAACTATTTGATTTCCCAAACTCACTGCCTTCAGAGTTTTCAGGCTGCAGCACAAAGAAGGGGGAACCCAGGCAGAGCCCAGTGGATTCCCTGAGGTGAGCAGAAGGAGCTATGGATCCAAGCAGAGTAAGGCAGCTGTATTTCACAGGATGTATTAGTTCATTCTCACACTACTATAAAGGAATACCTGAGACAGGATAATTTATAAAGAAAAGAGGTTTATAATCCCAGCACTTTGGGAGGCCGAGGCAGGCAGATAACCTGAGGTCTGGAGTTCAAGACCAGCCTGACCAACATGGTGAAACCCCATCTCTACCAAAAATACAAAAATTTGCCCAGTGTGGTGGCAGGCACCTGTAATCCCAGCTACTTGGGAGGCTGAGGCAGGAGAATCGCTTGAACCTGGGAGGCGGAGATTGCAGTGAGCCGAGGTTGTGCCACTGCACTCCAGCCTGGGCGACAGAGTGAGACTCCCTCTCAAAAAAAAAAAAAAAAAAAAAAAAAAAGAGTTTTAACTGGCTCACAGTTCCACAGGCTCTACAGAAATTATGGCAGCTTCTGCTTCTGGCAAGGCCTCAGGGAGCTTTTACTCATTGCAAAAGGTAAAGCTAAAGTGGGGGTCTTACATGAAAAGAAAACTTAAAATTAACCTAGAACAGACACAGATGTTTGATTTAGCAGACTAGGCTCAGAACACTCATTAAAATAATAATCAATATGTTCAAAAATTTAAGTAGAGACATGGAAGATATAAAAGATATTAAACATTTGCAGCGGACTTAGTGTTCCAAGATGGGGAAACAAGGAAGATTGTGTTGGGTAGAATAGGATAAAATTGTCATTCTGTCTTTTCAAATAAAATGACTTTCTTGCTTCAGGGGACCTTAACTTTCTTCCTTGAGAGGCCTGTATTGGGGCTTAGAGTGAAAGTCACAGAGGGGCTTATTCAGGAGAGCCATAAAGTCTTTGGGGTTTGTAGAGAATTTTTGGAATAGCCTAATAGTCTTTATCTCACCAATGAGTCTGCAGATGAGCAGGGACCATGTACTACATAAGAAGCTAGGAGAGTTGGGTCCTGTTTACACAATTATCCACATCTTGTTTATTTTCCACTAGCTGTTTAACTTCATTGGGCTTTGTTTTCAAAACCTATAAAAGGAACACGTTTCTTTTAAATCTAAAACAATATTTGATAAACCTACACTGTACTATATACCCTCTGCTCCTAGTCCAAAGTTCTAGATAGTCAACTGTTAACACAATAACTGAGTAAAATTGAATGCGTATTTTTAAGTAATTTTTTTAGGAAAACTTATCTGAGTATTTCTTAGTATACTTGTTTTTTTAGATTTTTTGGTTGATATACGTGTACATATTTTCAGGATACATTAGTAGGGTGTCTACACTTAACATTCATCAATTGTACATTTCAAAGTAGCTGGAAAAAAATAACTTGAGTGTTCCTCGCATTAAAAAAAGACAATATTTAAGATGATAGGTATCTCAGTTACCCCAATTTGATTACATAAACTTACCAGTATACTTTTATTGTTATATTAATTCACTATATTTATTTACATAAGAAAGTTAAAAATGCATCAAACTTAAGCTCCATTGTCATCTCCAATCTAACCTGCTTCTCTCTTACTTTCTTTTCTTGGTTAAGGAACCCATAAAACTTCATCTACACAAATCAGAAACATGGAAGACAGCATCAACTCTGCCCTTGACCTCATCCCTGTTCCCTTATCCAATCAAAAAAGAACTTCTTATAGCCCTCCTTTAATCTATGTTTCTACTACTCCAGTCTCTCTGAGGTTTCATATCTTCTAACTTGGACAGTACAGTAGCCTTCTTTTATCCAACCTTCAAAATCATGCAGTTCTCCCCCCTAAAACACAAATTTTACCTTGTTACTTTCATTTAAGTTATTTTACCAAGTCATTTGCCTTTAAGATATCCACACCATGCCAGGCACAGTGGCTCATGCCTGTAATCCCAGCACTTTGGGAGGCTGAGGCAGGCAGATTACTTGAGGCCAGGAGTTTGAGACTAGCCTGGCCAACATTGTGAAACTCTGTCTCTACAAAAAATTAAAAAATTACCTGGGCATGGTGGCACACGTCTGTAGTCCCAGCTACTCAGGAGGCTGAGGCAAGAGAATTACTTGAACCCAGGAGGCAGATGTTGCAGTGAGCCGAGATCATGCCCCTGCTCTTCAGCCTGGGCCATGTAGCAAGACCTTGTCTCAAACAACAACAGATAACCACAGCATAGAATATCCAATGCAGCCTGTCTTTAATGTCCTCTCATACCATGCTTTCCTATATACCTCATGATATAACTACACTAACCTACTTTCTGTGATCAGACCTACCAAACTCAGGTATGCTTAGACTCGCTGCTTCTCCCTGGAATGTTAATTCTCTGCTTGGCAAACCCTTGTACCTTTGTTAAGACCTTGATTAAAAGTTACCTCTCTGACGCCTTCTCCATTCCAACAAGCATTAGAAGCCTCCTCTTCATTCCCCTGGGCAATTTCACCTACTGCCTTCCTCTTTGGTGCCATGTATCACATTAATTTATTTTTCTAATTTTTTTCCAGAATTTCATTTTTCATGTATATGTGGCAATGTATTTTATTTTTAAACTTTTAATTTTTAATTGTTGTGGGTACAGAGTAGGTATATATATTCAGAGGATACATGAGATGTTTTGATACAGACATCACATAATTTATGACCATCCATTTAGAAGCCTGTTTTGCTTGCTCACAAAGCTTGGTTTTCTCAGGGCAGGGCTGTGTACACCTACATATCTACATGTCCCTAGAATAATACCTCTAACACAGCCAGTATGCGATGAGTACATGTTGAACAAAGACGTTAATGGATAAGTAAATAGAACCTACATGGCATCAGTCCACATTCGTTTTTTACTTTTCTAAGTTTTTTCCCCTCTGAAATCTGTAAGTGTGCTTAATCTCTGCCTCTGCTTTTTTGTTATTGTTTCTGTTTAGAGGAGTCACAGAGGGATCCTAGTGAAGAGGATTATAACTTTGCCTGTTTTGTGATGCGGAGGTGATGTCATGTTGTTCTACCATTTTATCATTGTTCCTTCTGAGCCTGAGTGTTCTTTCTCTTGAAGATTCAAGTGAACCAGGGAAGGAGAATGACATCAGACTGGGCTTGTGCCTGATAATTCATTTCTGAAGGTGCAATATTAAGTGTCACAGTGTCCAGCTGGTGATATTTTCAGCATAGAAACCTGTTAGACACGGCAGCATTAAGGAGATGGAATGAATTGATTTATTTCTCTTCTGAATTGCTTGGCAGTGCTTCAAGATTGACGCATCAGATTTGCACAATGTGCCACTTTAGGAGATTATTTCTTCCTTCCTTCAGCCAGACAGAAGACTGCAGTAGGTAATGATAGCTTAAACTTGGGAAATGTCCTTCTTCAGAGACAGCGTCACGGACATTTTGGAGAGGATCAGATTACTCTACAGCTGCTTTCCCTGGTGGACCTGAGGAGGCACACCCCTGAGCCAGGACTTTAAGGGAGAGGGTAGAACAACCTAGAAGCTCAGAAGGTCACTCCAACTATTATCTTCCCTTCTGTGACTTATTGACATACACTTTGATATCAAGGCACTGATGCTGATAACGTGAGAGAAAGGAATAGATTAATTATGGGATGAGGAGTATTTTAAATGCTAAAGGCTTTGTCTAAAATAATTCACATTTTTCCATCCAGTGGTTCCTCTCTTTGAATCCTGTTAGAATGACAGTAGATCTTTTAATTCTTTCCCCACTTTAGGCATGACTTTGAAGAACCTGAAGATGTGAAAATGAAATGGATACTGTGCTCCTTTTGGCTAGGATTGGGGAGGGCCCACTAACTGATCTCTACTACCCAGCCCCTTTCAACATCAAAGCTACTTTTTTTTTTTTTTTGAGACAAAGTCTGGCCCTGTCGCCAGGCTGGAGTGCAGTGGTGCAGTCTCAGCTCACTGCAACCTCTGCCTCCTGGATTCAAGGGATTCCCCTGCCTCAGCCTCCCGAGCAGCTGGGACTACAGGTGCATGCCACCATGCCTGGCTAATTTTTTGTATTTTAGTAGAGACGGGATTTCACTTTGTTGGCCAGGATGGTCTCAATCCAAAGCTACTTTTAGCAGGATTGAACTCTGAGGTCATCCAGTGGCCAGTTGTGATGCTGTCACTTTTAAAACTGGAATGAGTTACTGTTCGGATGGTGGCTTTGGTCTGAGGCCTGTGATTCCTGTTTTGCCATTTCTTGGCTGTGTGTTTGAGGACCTCTTAATCCCTAGCCTCCTCATTTGTAAAATAATCCTTCCCATGGACCTTGTGCATTTCATGGAAATGCAGTAGTATGGGGTCTGGAAGATTCTTTGTAGGCATTCTACCTTTCCCTATGTGTTCCAAGTGACCCTCATCTGGTGCATTCTTCATTTGATTAAAGCAAGGAAGGAAGCTTTAGCAGAGGGCTGTTATCTCTTGATTGGCCGCTGCCATCCCCTGACCCACCGTCTTCCCTTTTATGCACAGTGATGGCAGAGACAGCAACAGACAGCTTGCCCAAACACACTAAGCTGAATTAAAGCACCACCCAAGTAGAGGTCTATTCTATTAAGAAGGGATCATCCAGAAATTGAGGTCACTATAACACAAGGGAAAGATTCAAGGATCCCAAAGTGTCTGCTAGGAAGTGGCCAATGAGGGCTTCAAAGAGTGTTTAAGTTTTAGTCCATCCCCAAATACAGTTCTTCCTTGGACAAAAACATCTCAGCCATGCTCTGGCTGAATTGGGAGGTGACAGCTGCCTAGCTTTGCGCTTCCTACCTGATATGTTAACTCACGCACCATTATACTGTGGTTGGGAAGTATGGTGGATGGTAGATGGAAGACGAGAATGGGAGTGAGATATTTACACAGTTCTGAATTTTGGGGGTGAGGGCTGTGCATTCTTCCTGTCAAAGTTGTATTAATATCAGTAGCATAATAATGATTAAAAGCATACTCTTTGGAGTTAGACTTCCTGGCTTAGAATTGTGACTATACTAGTTAATCAGTTGTCTCTTTTGGCAAATTATTTGACTTTTTTCATATCAGTTTTCCAAGCTGTAAAATGAAAATAGTAATAGTATTTAACTCATTGTTTTAAGTTAAATGAAATAATACGTATGAAGTGCTTAGAATAATCTCTGACAAATAGTGTCCACTCACGAAATGCTGTTTGTTCTAGCTGCTGTAGTAGCATATCTCTCGTATCCTTGGGCAAGAGACTTTGGCTTTTGAATTTACTTATCTAAGATCCTCTAAGACAGCTCTGATACAATTTCTTCCCAGCCAGCATTCCTGCAATCCCAAAGACCCCCCCTTTTCCATATTTTTTTTTGTCCTTGGAGACTTCTAAGGTTTAAAGTTATATGTATGTTCTTTCCTTAGCAATCAATACCCATTACATATGTCTCACAATTACAACTTTTCCTGGAGACAGATGTTAATGGATTCTGTCCAGCCCACTAGACCCTCACTTCCCTATACATCAGCTCTTGAGTTTCCTAAAAGCCTGAACTTCAATTAGAAAGTGATCAGGAAGCTTCTCAAAAAGCCTAGGAATCTAATCAATATTTCTCACACAATGGTGATGATTAGTAGAGGACATCAGTTGTCATCAACAGTCCACCACAATGTCAGATAAGTAACACAGGATGCAGGCTTCTGACATTCACCATCCATTATACATCCCCTGGGAGGTGGGAGCACTTCAGGTTTCCATGGCAGCAGTCGGCCAAGCTAATTTGATGGCCTTCAAAAAAAAAAGGAACAGATAATATATAATTAAACAACAACAAAAACTAGACACCCACTCGCAGTAGTTTTAAGGACCCTGGGTTTTTTGGGGTTTATCCAAATGCCAATGTCAAGAAGATTGGGCTTCATAACTGAGAGTAAAGAAGATTTATCCTTCCAGTCTAAAATCTCCATTCAAAGCTTTCTAGCTGAGAACCCAGTTCCCCTTTCGTTTTAGGGATATGGTTCCTGTTTGCCTATTTCCATCCACAACTCTGCCAGAGACGAAAGCAGTGTTTGAAACAATTCACCAAGATTTCCATCTGGAATCATCAAGAATGGAATTGATCAAATTCCTTAAGAAATTTACTTAAAGTCATGATTTTGACAGCCTAGTGCTACCTGGAAAAGGGACAGCAGCAGCCTGGAGCAGTTTTCTAGCTAACAAGAATTTTGTTAGCTATGTGGCCACCTAGTGGCTCTTCCATGGATGTCGCTGATGCATTGTCAGGTACACAGACAATTGCCCACTAATAAAGAAGTTATTATCTTTCTTGGAATATGACTTCTTAATTTTAGCATATACGATGTGAGTTTCTGAATTCTAGAATCATCCGGCAGGACAGATACTTTGAGAAAAAGGCAGAATAGCTGTGGGGAGATGGCTGATATTTGAGAATAATTGCTGGTATATTGGGAATGCTGATGATAGGTCATCCGTCAGTGAAGGTTTTGTTTTGTGTTGTCATTGGTGTGTTCCTGGCAGAACTGATGTAAATATGTGCATTGAGATTCCTTGGCACAACAGCATTTTGATAATATCTTATAGCAAGTGTGGATTCCAATTTATTGTTTGGAGTGTTTTAAAAAGTGGCTGGGCTGGACTTAAACTGCACAATCGATTTCCCCCATCCTCTCCCTTAACTCCCTTCCTGAAGTGTACAGCCACGGACATCTCTGCTTGAAGCGTATAGCCACGGACATCTCTGCTCAGGTTTTAATTCTCACTTTTATATGTTATCTTGTTTTTCTATGGGTTGCCCTGGGGTTGGCAGGTTATAGGGGTCAGTAATTTGGACAGAGGTTTTGCTTAAACCCCGGGGGCCTGTAAAACTTCAGCCCTCAGGCCACTGATCTCTGTGTGGGTTGGGAGTGTAATCAAAGCCCATCAGCTTTCAGTCCTCTCTTGGATTTTACTCTCCGTGGTGCTCTCTCGGGTACCCACTTCTGTGCATGTCGCAGGGGTGAGTGGAGAGCTTGGCAACCCTTCCATGCTTCTCTCATTCTCAGAACACCGCCCAACTGTGACCCTAATTCCATCCCTGGCTAGTCCACTCCTCACCTCAGCTGCCTCACCTTAGCTGTGCCTCCAGTCCCAGGATAGCCAAGAAACATCTTTGTCCTATTTGTTTTCCATAGGTTTTAGCATTTTTGCTTATAAATATTTTGGATTTCTCCTCCCCAACCCAAATCCAGCCTATGGAAGGCCATTTAAAAATGTAAATACAAAATTAGATAAATGGTGTTGAAAAGGGCAGTACATATTATGGGCTCTAAAGGGCAAGATCATTTGCTTCCATATAAATCTGTGTCTGTTCAGAGCAGAGGGGCATGACCCAACTGCAAGGACAACCCCATACCCTAAAACACAGCATCTCAAAACACAACAAACTCAAGTTGAGTTTGGGCAAGTGCCAGCTATGTCCATGTATGGGGCAGGGACTCCCGATGTCCATTCCTGGGAAATCACGGCCAGTAACTGGCTCCACAGTCATGGCAGAACTGGGCTGACAAGGGGTCAACAAGTAACGAGGAGCTGTGACGTTTGATTCTGCTCTGTAGACATTGGAAGGAGAGGCTTCCTAACAGCACTTAAAAGGAATAGAAAGTCCTAAGGCCTGGGGTCTACATATGGACAAACTTGGAGAACGTGACCTAAAATTGAAAAGGGGCCTAACTGTCAGAGGCTTCTGGGGTTGTTGGAAGGAAAAGGAAGCAAATTAGAAAGCTAAAGAGATCTGAACAGGAAGCAACGAGGTGGGAGAACGGAGGGGGTACAAGACATGTTTATTATTGGAGAGAGAAGAACTTGGAAAAAATTCACCAGAAAGTAGCAGCTAGTTAAATATGGAGCCCAAGACAGAAGCAATGGGGAGAGGTGATGTTGTCTGAAAGTGATATGGAGGAAATACAAAAATAATGAATCAGAAAGGTGATCCTTTTTATAAAGGAAATACGATATCATCAAAATGTGCTTTGTTCATTCACATATGCAGTGTTCAGGAGAATATGAAGATGTGGTTGTTCCTTAATTTTGGACATCAGAGGCTTATTGTTTGCTTTAATGAGGCCAGCATATATCAGATGTGGAGTTTCTGGGTTTTTTTTTTTCCCTCAAATTTACATAAAACGTTTAAATTAGTTTCTTTGGCTTTGAGTACACATTTGTCAACACCCTTTCTTAAAGTGGCGGCTTTGATTAGAACAGCAGACGCCGAAGGAAAGCTCCTGTGGTATCCAGTGCTGAGTCACCGCTGTGCTGTGCTGCAGGCAGGCTCCGCTCCAGGAGAAAAACAAGTCAGCAGAGCAACAACAATGTCAACAAGGACAACAGCCTTTCTTCCTTCTTTTGTAGCCTTTATTTATTTCATCGAGTCAGAATATTTTTATTTAGAACTTGAAAACTTTATTTCAGTAAATGGAAAAAAAATAATGCATGTAGCTTTAACAGTTCACAAGAAGAAAATAGAGGACACAAAAGAACACCTTGAGAGGCATCTGTGTAAGAAGCAGCTGAAATCATTCCCAGGGTAATCCCCCATCCCATAACAAACGGATAGGGAGAGGGCAGAGACAGCACAGAAATGGCACATTGTCAAATTGCACAGGACAAAGACCTTAGAAACCCTTCATAGGAGTTGTGAGTATGTCCTCTCACTTGGAGTAAATTTTCTGAAATTCTTGTAACCCTCTGATTTCTCTGTCAGCTTCTTAAGGAATTCTAGAAAGGCAAACCTAGGAATTTAGAATTGCCAGGAGCATTCTGTGTTTTCCTTTCCCACCACCATTATTTTAAGGACTATCCTGCAGTTCTGTCCACTATTCTTCTGCCTCTTTCACTTTTAATTACCTAGAATCCGTGCCGCTCTGCCCTGCCTTCTTTGGCATTTCTGCAGGACTTTCATTTAAACCAGAATTAGTGCTAATGATGTCATGTTCAAGTTTTAAAACGTACTTTTATGTTTCCAAAAAAGTAACTTTTTATATGCAATGTTTTCTTCTTAGACTGTAAGTTATCATCCTTAAAGTTTGGATTCTTAAAAGAAAGCAGAGTAACATTTTGTAGGAAAATACTACAGCAAGGTTACGAATTTTTATATTGTGCTAAAGAGCATTTGAAAGACCACAAGACATTTTTTTTCTGCAGCATATGTTTATGATAGAGGGTGTGAATTCTACCGGTAAATATTAACAGAAATAAGTTGTTTCTCTTAAACATTGTCTGTCTGGATAAAGAACGTTTGAAACACTACCAAAAATGTGAGTAGCAGATATCTAGGTAAGGTTGTAAAGACGTTGCATCCAGAATCCCCAGCCTAAGCTTGCACGGCCATTTTGGATATCCAACTTCAAGCTCTAAATAGAAACAGATGGTTAAAAATAGATTGTTTCCTATGAAATCTGTGAACCATGTATTTCCATTACTCATTTATATCTACTAATTAGAATAACCTTTCTGTGTTCTGTAGTCCTACATTTATTCATGCTTTTATAGATCTCCCTAGCCATTGCTAATTAAGCAGTTATAAAATAAATAGGCCTATTATGAAAGAAAGAAAATAATTTTGTTTTCCATTATGGGATGCCAAACAGTTTGCTGGCACTAAGGAGTGTCTTCACTCTCTACTCTCTGTGGGACAGGTTTGTCATTGTGGAGTGGAAAGATCATTAGAAAATGCCCTGCTTTTCGGTGGAGGTGGGCGGTGTATCTTATTACACCTCATAAGAACGCTTTGTGGAAGGAATCTTCATACTAATCCAGTGCCTAGTGCACTGTAAAAACTCAGCAGAAATAAAGGAGGAAGAAATGAAAACAAACTCAAAATGTACTGAAGCCATGCTCATTTTCTTTCCCTTTGACATAAATCACAATTTTTGGATAAATTTTCTAATATAGACATACTAAGTCAAATGTGAAATCAACCCTTCCATTTATTGATTTGATAAGTGAAAAATCTAAAAAAGGAATCATGAAGGAAACTGTTCCTTTTCTGTGATTCCCAACATTACGAAGTCTTTTAACATACTTGAAGAAAACCTGTGGGTATGTATACTCTGACCAACAAAAGTCTGAAAGAATAGTGCTGCTTTCGTTATTCCTAACCTGTATTGAGACTGTGGCACTGTTGAATTCTGGATTGCTCCTTTGGTCCGGTTAGAAAGTTTTGATTAAAACATCCTTAGCAGAATTATATATTAGAACTTTAAGCATATCAGCAAAAAAAAAAAAAAATTCTAACCTTCCTAATCTGTTGTGATAAGTACAGAGGATGTCCCCAGTAAATCAATGAGTTGGTAAAGAACACAAAACTATGCCAGCATTTGAAAAATAAAAAAGGGAGGTACTATCTGTCAGGGTAACCTACCACTTGGCACTTTGATTGGGATCTGCGATTCCTCTTGAATCTTTACTTGCAGGTTTCTATAATAAATAAATTATGTTGTATCATGTGCCACATCAGATGTTACACGCATGGGCATCCACACACAGACATGCATGTGCACACATACACATGAGCACATACACACGCAGGCCACCTCTGCTTGCTCCATGAAAAATCCAAGACAGTTTGTAAATTGCTTAAGACAGTTTGTAAATTCCTATGGGATTGAGGGAGAGGAGGATAGATGGTGTTGGTTAAGCAAAGTTGTATCAGAAACCATTATTGGTTGTAAAATCTGTGAATCTTCCCTAGAATATATTAGGTAAGAGATTTTCAAACACTTTTAAAGTATTAGCACTTTCATTCCGATAACATCTCTGTTGGAATCTCAGTAAAATTGATTTTAAACATGGACTGCCCGGGTTCAAGGAAGAATTCATTCATACAACTCCCCCAGCTGTCTGCCACTTTCTGTAATCCTTTTGTGTGATCTGAGGATTCTCTGCAACCACAGATTAGAAACTAATCAACTAATCACAGCGTTTTAGTCGTCCATAAAGAAAGCTTAATGAGAATGGCTGCTTTTAAAAATACAAAGTTGAAAATCTGTGTGTATTCAGCGCCCAGTTCTGAGTAAGAGGTGCTCTACTGAGTAACCTTGAGGATGTAGAGATAGAGATTCTAGTCATTTGGGCAATTCCTAGAAATCCTGTAGTGGTTCTATTTTGTGTGTGTGTGTGTGTGTGTGTGTGTGTGTGTGTGTGCTTTGACTCAGTCTCTAATGCATGTGTGTGCTAATATGTGCTAATATTTTGTTTCTCCCTTATAAATAAAGATGCAGGGATTACACAGCTTCATCTAACTGAGGGTTCCAGGGGAGAGCCCTCTGGCTGATCAAGGACTCACTGAAAACCATTGCTGTGTTTTACCTTTTAGAACAGGGGCCAGGACTAGAGTGAGGTGAGTGAAGCATTGGTCTCAGGGGCAGAATTTAAGGGGAGAAAACTAATTCAGTAATTAAGATAAATTTTGTGCTAATGTGTTAGTTTAAAATATCAAAATTAATTTGCAAGAAAATGCATGTATCATGGTGAACAAAATGCCAACATTTTAAACAAAAACTTGGGTCTGCCCTAGGACTTGCCTGGCTCACTTCACTCTCCTCACCCTAACCCCCACCCTGTTAAGAAGTAGGTCTCTATGCCAGAGTGTCAGAGTGTCCCATTTCTACCTCCGATCAGAGAGCTATCGATGTTATATTATTGGTCCTTTTCAAGGAACCAACAAATGATTAAGTTTCATGAAAATTATTATTGGAAAGGACATAGCCCACCACCAAGAGGAAGGGGAGGGGAACGTACCAGTGTGATGTAGTGGGGACTTGAAAAACTAGTGGGCAGGCTTTCCAAGGATTCTGGAGTTCTCTGCTAGTAAGAAGAGATACTATTAACCTGCAATTCCTAGTAAATATACCAATACTGAAAGACCCAGACATAATATTCTTGTGTAGATTGTTATCCTACAACATATGAGTCTATCTCAGGGCCTGTCTATAAGACAAATTTACATATGAGAAGAGTGGGAATTTATACATTGTGATATGAATATGATGAGGCAGGTCTGCTAGCCACCAAATCTTACTATCGCTAATTGACTGTATGCCTGAAATTCCCTAACCAGCCACATTCCTTTGGGCCTTGAATGTCTTTGAGAAACTCCACAATTTCCTATTAAAATACAAAAATTCCTAAATTAAGTTTCCCTCTTTAAAGTGCATTCTGTTAACTCCCCAGTAAATATTAATACAACTAGAAAGCATGGTCCAATGGAAGCAGGATCTGTGAGAGGACCTGGATGCCAGAGCAGGGAGAGAAAAAACAAACAAACAAAAAACAAACATCATTAACGTAATAGGTAAAAGACGCCAAAGACGGACCTCCCCCAAACCCCAGGTTTGCTGAGGACTGGTCTTTGATGGATAACTGTGTCAAATAAGCATCAGTTAAATCATTATTGTTTATAATACTTCATGCCAAAAAATACAAAAACCCTAAATGTGATGTTTGAGGATCCAACTCTCCTATCTCTGTTAATATCATGGTGTATATACCATCAACAGTAAATTGAATTTATTCACATATTCAACAGATATTTATTCATCTTCTCTTCTAGGTGCCCCTCATTTAACCAAAAAACCAAAAGCCCTTAAAGGAAGCTTAGGATCTATAATCATAACAAATATGTCCTACGCTCTATGGTTATTCATCATTGAGCAGTACTCAGCCTACCTTTCCTGACTCATCTCTCTGGAAGTCCACCTATTTTAACGTATTAATTTAAGGAAAATGTAATTAGGAAAGTAACTGCAACAGCACATGAGGCATCGTAGATTAAAATAACACATATTAAGTGCTAAGTGTATACCAATCACTGTGCTAAGTATATTTACATACAATTTCTCATTTAAACCTCAAGACAAATGAATGAGAATTACATTAGCATCATGCGGTTTCTTTCCTGAAAATCTCAGTGTAAACTTAAAAAAAATCACACGTTGTTATTTTGTCCATTCTAATGGACAATTAAGACTTGGTTTTACCTTCTTGGAATCACATCTGGCATAATAAAGAGTATAAATGGATAAAAATGATAACTAACATATATAACCAGAGAAAGATTCACTATCTCTATATGCCAGTGAAATTCATCAGAGGCATTTCCACTAAAATGTCATATATGTGTTCTGGGGGATAGAGTGGGGGTATGCTCTGCAATATTGTGCAGTAAAAATCACAAGGCTTATGGCATGCCTAAAGCCGTGGCAAAGCATTCGAAACCTCTGGAACTACGTAACCAGACCACCCCACCAACCAAAAATATCCTGATTTTAAAATACTGGCAATATAATATTTTTATTGGCACTTGCATCTAGCAAGAGTCAGTTAATTATTAGCCTTAAAATTTGGGCCTTTCGATCCCTTCTTCATGACTTAAATCCTAATGGGCAGTTTCATCATTTTAAAGAGATAATCTTTTCAAAAATGATGCTTTCTTCATCAGCTATTTTTTTTTTTAAAGCTAATGCCTTTGTAGTTTCTTGATCTTTCCTTACAGGTTTTGTCTTGATTGTTGTTGATATTGTTGTTTTTTGAGACAGGGTATCACTATGTAGCCCAGGTTGGAATGCAGTGGCATGATCATAGCTCACTGCAGTCTGGATCTCCTGGGCTCCAGAGGTTCTTGGTGCCTCAGTCTCCCGTGTAGCTAGGGACTACAGGTGTGCACCATTATGTTTGGCTGTTTTTCTTTTTTTATATAGACAAAGGCTTGACATATTACTCAGCCTGGTCTAGAACTCCTGGCCTCAAATTACCCTCTTGCCTTGGCCTCTCAAAGTGCTAGAATTGTAGCTGTGAGCCACTGTGCCTGGCCACTCAGTTTTTTTATTTTATTTATTTTATTTTATTTTATTTTATTTTATTTTATTTTATTTTTGTACTTGAAGTTCAGGGATACATGTGTAGAACGTGCAGGTTTATTACATAGGTATACACGTGGCATGGTGGTTTGCTGCACCCATCAACTTGTCACCTACATTAGGTATTTCTCCTAATGCTATCCCTCCCCTTGTTCCCCATCCCCCGACAGGCCTCAGTGTGTGATGTTTTCCTCACTGGGTCCATGTGTTCTCATTGCTCAACTCCCACTTATGAGTGAGAACATGCGGTGTTTGGTTTTCTGTTCTTGTGATAGTTTGCTGCAAATGATGGTTTCCAGCTTCATCCATGTCCCTGCAAAGGACATGAACTCATCCTTTTTTATGGCTGCATAGTATTCCATGGTATATATATGCCACATTTTCTTTATCCAGTCTATCATTGATGGACATTTGGGGTGGTTCCAAGTCTTTGCTATTGTGAATAGTGCTGCGGTAAACGTACGTGTGCATGTGTCTTTATAGTAGAATGATTTACAATCCTTTGGGTATATACCCAGTAATGGGATTGCTGGGTCAAATGGTATTTCTAGTTCTAGATCCTTGAGAAATTGCCACACTGTCTTCCACAATGGTTGAACTAATTTACACTCCCTCCAACAATGTAAAAGTGTTCCTATTTCTCTCCATTCTCTCTAGCATCTGTTGTTACCTGACTTTTTAATGATCACCATTCTAACAGTTTTTTAAGTGAGCTGAATGTATTGGAAATTATCGCTGTTGCTACAATTATTGAACAAGCTGTGATTTGCAGGGACTTCTGCAGGATTTTCAACATTTTTCTTAGATCTTCATATATTGCTTACATTCCTAGTTTACTGAATTTTCTCAGGAATAGACATAATTTTTTCAAATAATTTATCTGCCTCTATTGATATGATCATATGATTTTACACTTTCACTGATAATACAGTAAGTTAGCCTCATTGCTTTTTTGAATGTTAAAGTTTCTTTGCATTATTGCAGTAATACTTGATCATGATTCATTATCCTCTATATATGATCATGATGCATTATCATTCATCATGAGATTCAGTTGGCTAACATCTAATAATAATTCATGCACCTATATTTGTTAGTGTATTAGTTAGTAGTGCTTTTTCTTCTTGTAATGACTTTTATAGGTAGGCATCAGAGAAATATTGGCCTCATAAAATAAATTGGGAATTTTCCCCCTCTTTCCAATTATCTGGAAAGTTTATGTAGAATTAGTGTTATGCATTCATGAATTTTTAAATAGAATTCACCAGTAGAGCCATATGGGTCAAATATTTTTTTGTTTGTGGAAAGGTTTTTACTACAAATTTAACTTGAGCTATTCAGGTTATCTGTTTTTCATGAGTAAGCTTTAGTAATGTTTATCTTTCAAAAATTTCCATTTCATTGCACTGTCAAAACTATTAAAATAAGGTTTTTCATAATATTTTCTAATTATCAACTTAATATTTATAGTATCTTCATTGATGTTGCCTTTCTGATTCTTGATGTTAATAATATGTACTAACTAGTTAGACTGGCTGGAGGCTTATAAAATTTATTAATCTTCTCAAAATACATTTTCTCTGTTATTTTTCTGTTTTCTATTTCATTAGTGATCAATCTGATATTTACTTTTTCTTTTTTTCTGCATATATTGGGCTTCATTTTCTTTATTTTCTCTAGTTTCTTAAAGTAAAAGCTGAGGTCATTGATCTTTTATTTTTCTTCTTTTCAAACAGAAGCAGATAAGCGCTATACATTTTCCTCTACTGATTTTACTACACCTGCATGTTTTGGCACGTGGTATTTAATTTTCATTCAGGTTAAAACACTTTCTAATTTCCCTTTTGATTATTCCTTTGAAAGTTGAGTTCCTTAGAATTCATTATCTAATTTTCAACTGAGAATTTTTCTAATTAGTGATATCTTTCCATTACTTACTTCTATTGTAATTTAATTCTGAGAATATATTTTGTGTGGCTACAATTCTTTTCTTTCTTGTTTTTTAGTCTTTATATTTTTAGTGGAGAGGGAGTTTCCCATGTTGGCCAGGCTCATCTCAAATTCAGGTGATCTGCCTGTCTCGGCCTCCAGAAGTGTGAGGATTACAGACGTGAGCCACTGCGCCCAGCTCAGTTCTTTTAAGTTTGTTAAAACTTGCTTTATGGCCCATCATGTGGTTTATGCTTGTAAATTTTTCCAATAGTGCACAAATTAGTATGTTATTAAACCAATATATTCTGCTCTGATATAGTATCTTGGTTATTGTTCCATATCTGTTTTGAATCCTGCCCTCTTTCCTTTCCCTACATGTAGATTCAAAGCTTCATGTGTGTGGAACCATGTTAAATTGCTCCTCTGCACTTCCCATGTCACTTAGCTTAGGACGGGTTCTACTTTAAACACATTCAGCTACTTAAAAAAAAAAAATCAATAAATTAACTGTTGCAAATGGAAGTTTCTTACATTTAGGAAATGAATTTCTGGCAGGATTGGCTCAGTCCTTATCTGCTGCTCATCACCAAAGTATCCTTTGTTCTCCACTCCCAGGGTTTCTGTAGGTGGGCTGTCAAGAAGGAAATTGAACAACTAATTTATTAGATATAGGGCTATTCAGGTTATTTATTTCTTCATGAGTAAGCTTTAGTAATTTTTATATTTCAAAAATTTCCATTTCATTACAATGTTAAATATATTGAAATAATGCTTTTTTATATTGTCTAATTATCAACTTAATACTTGTACAATCTTCAGTGATGTCACCTGATTCTTGATGTGGGAAGAATCAGAAATTATGGGATAAACAAACTATGGGATACATTTATGGCTAAAATTAAATCATCTACAAGATTTTTAAAATACTAATGCTCAAGTCATACCCAATAACAATTAAATCACAATGTCTTCAACCCACATCAGTATTTTTTGAAAGACCTGTTGGTGATTTCAATGTGCACAAGTTTGGGAATCATTGATATTAGCATCTGGATATGAGCAAGTACATAAAAGCTTGAGTTACTACTATTCTTACCTGATCTTCAGTAAGAAGCTTATACTTCCCCCCATTGAATATCCTCTATAACCACAAAGCTTACATATTCTCAGTAACAATTCCCTTCTTCAACACATAGAAAAATGTAAATGTACCTCTGAACTTGCTTCAACTTGATACATTTTCGGTAACGAACTAATAGTATAAGAACTCCGATACCGACAATAACCAGGACAAGCACAACAACCAAGATGGTGATATCTGCAACATGAAGAAACATGGGCTTCATCGAGGGTATCAGTTGTAAAACAGTGGAATATTAACATTTAATGGAGCTGTTACAATGCTCCTTATTCCTTTCTATAGAACTTCAATTCTCCTTTCCTCTCAATTATTTTTATGTAAAGTAAAAAGCCCAAACATTATACAAATTATCATTTGTATTTGCAACTGACACTCCACCCAATATTCCGTTATATTTAAGGGAACCACAATCATCAGGAAGAGTTTTGATTGTCAGTTAATAACTATAGAAAAGCCCTTGTGTGTTGAGGGTTTGTGGGATACCTAAGAAAATTTAATTTAGCTAGAAGAGACTACATTGGCTGTAAAAGGGAATTGCTGTAAAAGGTAATTGCAGTAAAATCAATTTGGGTATTCATGCACAATAATATGAAGACCATACAAATCCATATCAAAACACAGCAAATAAGTAGCAGACTTGAAAAATAAGAAAAACTTTTTTCGCTGGGTAGGCTTTTGATATATGAAAGATTTTGTTTTAGGATGCTCACTGGTAACATGTAAGGTTTCTTCACAGGCTACAGGTGCCTGTCCTTCCTCACAGTGGCACTGGAGTCCGTGGCCATCCACCTGGAAGAGCAGTCAATGATATATTCTCAAATGACTGATATAAGTTGTGTTCTGCAACTCACTTACTTTAGTGCTACCTCTACATCAAACATACATGCACACAAGCACAAGCGCGAACTTTTTATTCGTTTATTAAACTGTGTAACAAAATCAATGATGTATAAAAATAAGTAAACAAAATACAAGAAGCAGCCATCTTTGAAAACGGCCTGTGAATAAGAGAATGATACTGACAAATTCAAAGGCAGATGAACAAGACAGCATGATTTATCTTTCCAGGTAAATATATGATATATATGATAAATATGGTAACCTGATATGTATGTGTGTGTGTGTGTGTGATGTGTGATGTGTGTGTGTGTGTGTGTGTGTGTGTGTGTATTACTATATAAGTGTTACTGATTAACCCAGCTTATGAGCGATGTTAGGCACTAACTGTTAGTAATTGTTGGTATTAGTGTTAATATATTATTTTGTAAAAAATATACAATGTTTGCTGATTTTCTCAAAAGCTTAACTTGACATTGGTGTAATTTAACTATAAGATATGTTGCAATAGATTCAACTTTAAACATCAGATTTAAACTTTATACATACATGAATCACTGAATTTCTAGATAACCAGTACAATAATGAAAGCATTACTTGTAATACTGGCTGTATCTGTGTATAATAATATGTGATTTTGCTCCTTGGATAAATTTTGTTGATAACACATGAAAAAATGAATCCCAAATATATATTTGATTTAGAAAGCAGCAAAAATACATATATACATACATATACATGCACATATAGGCTGGGGAATAAAGTAAATATATGGCTGATAAGACATTAATTTTGAAAGCAGTCATATCTTACAGGATTTTCATTGCACTGAGAGGGGCAATTGGTTGAGATATAGACCTTTTCCATGTTTAGACATTCACCATTGTTGCACACCTAGAAATGAAGTAACCAAGCATGAATTAAAATGACTTACAATTGATGTGAAATTGTAATTTCATGTAATGCATGTGAAGTGCACAATTTTGCATGTAATTTACATATGAAAAATTTCAATTTACATGATTTAATTATAAGTTATGTAATTTTTCCTACTGTAAAATTCCACATGTAGTATTTTCTGTGGATAGAGAAATCCTCTATAGATGATTGGGGTGTGTACTATACATGCAAAGAAATATTTTAAACTCATTAGTTATTAAAATGTTTATGTTCTGAGTAATTACTTCAGCGTTAATCTGTCAAAGATTCTACAACTGTAATTGCAACAGTTTCTTTTGTTTCAATGAAGTTTTTCTTTTGGTTTAGCAATGTATGTTTATTATACCACAATTGATGGTCATTTTATTAATATCAATTAATCTTATTTGTGTTTAATATTTTTGCTTTAAATTTTCCTTTCTCTTGGTAAATTTGATCACTAAAATATTATTGGTTTTGTTATTTTTGGTCTTTGCGTGATTCATCCTTACTCATCTATTTAATTTTTAAATGTTATTTTACATTTTATTTATAATTAAACATTCATTTATTGCCACCAGTTCAAAGATTATATTTACATTTTCTGTAGGGAGAACTTAATACATCTATATTTATTGGAATAAGTGATATATATATATATACTCTTAGTCCTTTCATTTTATTTACCTGATTTCCAACATTAGACATTGTGGCTTACCTTTTACTATATTTATCACTTTTATTCAGCTATTGTTTTCTCTAATTTGAAAGCTATATATGCTAATTTCTAAAGATTAATTTGATTTACATTAATATATTTGAATCTAAATAATTCTATCATTTTCAAGAAAAAATCAACATTAACTCCTCCTTTTGCAAGATAAGAAATTTATCATGTTTTTACTTCTTTCCTCTTTCTCTCAATTCAAGTTTTTGATTGAGTAAATCAGATACTACATTGTCAAAATTATTTATTATTCCTGAGATTTTTTACATCATTGTAATAAAAATATTATAATTAATAACTAGAATTTACTCAAAAGTCTTATGGAGTTTGTTGCTTGCAATCATTTCTTTAATATCCTATCTCCTTATTTTACCTTCTAAATTTAAATTTATTTCTCTCTTGGCTGGAATACGTTCTTGACTATTTTTCTTTTCAAAAAATAGGTGCAGTCTATATATTACAATATATTTTATTAGTTATAATATGTGTGAGAGTATCATTGCATTGCTTTTCTGTCTGAATAAAAACTTGGCTGTAAATATAGTTTTAGGGTCCCAACAATTATGTTCCCCAAACCTCTGTAGATGTTGCTCCATTGTCTTCTGGATACTTGTTGCAGAGAAGTATTATGGTAACCTGATATTTCTTTCTGTAGCAAATTAATGACCTTTTCTCTTTTGTGCTTATGGCATGTATTCTTTATTTTTGACATTCAAGGCATGAGGGTAAGTAAAAGCCTTCATCTCTTTCTATAAATTTTTCCT
Source organism: Homo sapiens (assembly GCF_000001405.40). Classification (NCBI taxonomy): domain Eukaryota; kingdom Metazoa; phylum Chordata; class Mammalia; order Primates; family Hominidae; genus Homo; species Homo sapiens. Next base: position 24,497,720 of record NC_000008.11, on the reverse strand, counting down.
GGTACTAAGTGAATTTTTTCATACATTCTTCAGATTAGGGACATATTGTGATTATTTCATTAACTATATTTTCACCTCTCTTCTGTGTTTTTAATTTAGACTTCATATTAAATCTGTAATGAATTTTTTAGAACTCTATTTCCTGGTTTTATTTATTTTCTTTGAGTTTTAACATTCCTTTATGTTATTGTGTTAAGAAGTTTAGCTTCTAACTTACTGATTTTTTTTGTAATATCCAATTCAGTGGTTTACTGGCCACATTACATATAAACCAGTAATCATGGTTTGTACTTTGAAGGCAATGCTCTTTGATCTCAAATTATACTTTTTTATATAGGTTTAATATGTTTTAAAATTTCATTCAAAAAATTTTTCTTGATAAAGGAGGAAATCTTTCAACATTGTATTAGTTCGTTTTCATGCTGCTGATAAAGACATACATGAGACTGGGCAATTTACAAAAGAAAGAGGTTTAATTGAACTTACAGTTCCACGTGGCTGGGGAAGTCTCACAATCTTGGCAGAAAGCAAGGAGGAGCAAGTCACATCTTACATGGATGGCAGCAGGCAAAGAGAGAGCTTGTGCAGGAAAATCCCCCCTTATAATAACCATCAGATCTCATGAGACTTACTCAGTATCAGGAGAACAGCATGGGAAGGACCTGCTCTCATGATTCACTTACCTCCCAGTGGGTCCCTCCCACAAATGTGGGAATTCAAGATGAGATTTGGGTGGAGACACAGCCAAACCACATCATTCCGTCCCTGGCCCCTCCCAAATCTCATGTCCTCACATTTTAAAACCAATCATGCCTTCCCAACAGTCCCCCAGAGTCTTAACTCATTTCAGCATTAACTCAAAAGTCCACAGTCCAAAGTCTCATTCAGTACAAGGCAAGTCCCTTCCACCTAAAATCCTGTAAAATCAAAAAGCAAGTTACTTACTTTCTGGACACAATGGGGGTACAGGCATTGGATAAATACAGCCATTCCAAATGGGAGAAATTGGCCAGAACAAAGGGGCTAATAGGCCCCATGTAAGTCTGAATCCAGCAGGGCAGTCAAATCTTAAAGCTCCAAAATGATCTCCTTTGATTCCATGTCTCACATCCAGATCACACTGATGCAAGAGGTGGGTTCCCATAGTCTTGAGCAGCTCTGCCTCTGTGGTTTTGCAGGATATAGCCTCCCTTCTGGCTGCTTCCATGGGCTGACATTGAGTGTTTGCAGCTTTTCCAGGTGCACAGTGCAAGCTGTGGGTGGATCTACCATTCCAGGGTCTGGAGGACATTGGCCCTCTTCTTACAGCTCCACTAGGCAATGCCTCAGCAAGGACTCTGTGTGGGGGATCCGACCCTACATTTCTCATCTACACTGCCCTAGCAGAGATTCTCCATGAGGGCCCCGCCCCTGCAGCAAACTTTTACCTGGGCATCCAGGCATTTCCATACATCTTCTGAAATCTACGCTGAGGTTCCCAAACCTCAATTCTTGACTTCTGTGCACCTGCAGTCTCAGCACCACATGAAGGCTGCCAAGGCCTGGGGCTTCCACCCTCTGAAGCAACAGCCCAAGCTGTACCTTGGAGCCTTTTAGTCCCAGCTGGAGTGGCTGGGACTCAGGGCACCAAGTCCCTAAACTGCACACAGCACGGGGACCCTGGGCCTGGCCCACTAAACCATTTTCTCCTAGGCCTATGGGCCTGTGATAGGAGGGGCTGCTATGAAGACCTGTGACATGCTCTGGAGACATTTTCCCCATTGTCTTTGGGATTAACATTTGGCATCTCATTACTTATGCAGACATCCGCAGCCAGCTTCAATTTCTCCTCAGAAAATGGGTTTTTCTTTTCTATCACATTGTCAGGCTGCAAATTTTTTGAACTTTTATGCTCTGCTTCCCTTATAAAACTGAATGCATTTAACAGCACCCAAGTCACCTATTGAATGCTTTGCTGCTTAGAAATTTCTTCCACCAGATACCCTAAATCATCTCTCTTCAGTTCACAGTTCCACAAATCTCTAGAGCAGGGGCAAAATGCTACCAGTCTCTTTGCTAAAACATAACAAGAGTCATCTTTGCTCCTGTTTCACCTTACATTCACCTTTACTTGAAATGGCAACTGAGATTGAATAATTTTTATTTTTTTCTTTACATTCATTGATTCTTTCTTCTGTTCCCTCCATTCTTCTGTTGAACTCATTCACTGAATATTTTTATTCCAGTATTGTAATTTTTCCGTTCTAAAATTTCCATTTGGCTCTTATATTTTATACGTCTTTTCTGGAAGTTTGTTATTTTGCTGAGACCTTCTATTTTTTTCATTTATTTCAAGCGTGTGCATAATTGTTCACTGAAGCATTTTTGTAAAGGCTGCTTTAAATTCCTTGTCAGGTAATTCAACATATGTGTCACCTTGTTGTTGCATCTAGAGATTGTCTTTTGTCATTTCAATTGAGATTTCCCTGGTTCTTTGTTTGAAGAGTGGCTCATTTGTATTCTGGATACTCTGGGGACTATGAGCTATAGGATCTTATTCAAATCTGTTGTTTTAGCAGATCTTCTCTAAAACCATTCCTGTTATGGAAGAGAATCACTGCTTCACTCACGCCAGCTGGGGTGGAAACCCAGCCTCCTCACATACTTTCATGACACTGGGGTTGGAAGAATTCATCACCACTGAGCTGTGGTGAATGTCCTGACTCCCCATAAGCCTCCACTGAAACCCTGTCTGGAGCCAGGGCATCTGTTAGAGCTGGAAGAAAATGGAAGTCTAGGCTTCCCACTTGATCCTTGCTGATGCAGGAGGAGTCAGACCATAGAATTTTTCCCTGCTGTTTGGTTGGAGTGGGGCAATTATTACCAAAATGTTTTCCATCTCGTTAGCCTACTCCTTTTCTTGTCCTTTGGTTTTAGAGAAGCCCTGCTAAAACAACAGATTTGAATAAGGTCCCACATAGCTCATAGTCTAAAAATAGCATATCAATGCCAAAAAGAGATTTTTTTTTCACTCACATCATTGTGATACCTACATAGACTGGCATTAACTATGCATGAATTTCCTCATTAGAATTTGGCTGAAGAACTGGCACCACTGTGATGGATGTACTTCTGCCCTAAGCCTTCTCTTGAAGGAATAAGCTCTCTATGCGGAGTACGTGGTCACAGTGTACTTGGGAGATGGAGATGGATTCCTTCACAACTGCCTTTCTAACAGCCCCTTTCTTCAGTCCTTGCCACTCTTAAAGAAGGAAGCACTTTGTATCTCAGGCTGGTTTTTCGTATCTGAGGTGAATAGCAAATCTTTTGGTATTTTCTTCAACCTCAGGCTTCACACTTAGTCTTGTTGAATACCTTTGAATTTTTTAGCTTGTGGTTAGCATACATACCTTAATTTTCACAAACATAGCTTTCTTAGCATGTTGATATTCATTTAATGATTTTAACAGGAAGTAGGATAGTTAAATATATAGACTCAAAATGTAAGTCGCTATTAAATATTTAGTTCTAGTTCTTTTTTTTACATTCTGAACTTTGGTTTTCCAATGTATTTCTCTATCACACTGTACAAATGTCACTGTAATATTTTTGGTGATAGTGTAGAGAGAGAAGGGAAGACATATCACATAGAGAACCTATTCAGTTTCAAATAGCTGATTTTAGGGGTAAAATATCATGTGTTTTCCATATATTCTTTATGAGCCAGCTATTGTTTAGAGTATGCATTCTAATGTTGTCATCTTGCCATAAAAAACTCTTTCCAATTTGGACCCATTCTGTCTTCTCTTCAATTTCATCTTTTGCCATTTAACCCAAAGGTCAAGCCACTCTGAAATTGCTGGTCATCTGAATTATGCCATACACTTTGTACCTTTACATATTGTGCAGGCATTTTTTGCTAAAATGTCTTCTCCCATTTCCTGTGTGTTAAAATGTTCAAGTCAAAGCTGAAATGTTACTCATTTAAGATGCCATTTCATCTTCTCTGAGCAAAGTCAGCCACTTTTCCTTTAGACATCAATATACATTGGTCACACCACTAAGAAAGCAATTTTTTGAACTGTAATCATGTAATTTTTACTGTATGAAATTCTCATGTATGCTTACCTTTAGTGTACAGTCAGTGGCACCATAGTATATGGCTAGTAAATATGAGTGAATGAATAAAATAAATGAAGATGTAAGGCTACTTTATACTCACATTAATTAGAAAAATCCATGTCTATAATCCATGTCTAATTAGATATCTGCTGTAAGTTTTACTAATTAAGCACATCTGTAACAATTATGGGTCATTTGGCATGACTAAAATTAGGCAAAATGGATGTTTATTACAGTGTTATTGCTACTCTGCTCCTCATTAAAAAAATACTTGTCAATATTTTTTCCTTTTCCATATCTAGACCTCTTTGGAAGCAATTACAGTATCCAGTAATGTTTTTAAAGGATTGAACTAAGAAGTTTTAATAAAACAAAGGGCTTTTGTCTTACCATTCCCTCTCCACATTTTGTTCCTGACGCCACCAGGCCAATGTCTGTAGAATCATGGTATAAAAAAATAGTTTTGCATTTGACAGTAGCATTCTTCTGGGGATCCTTAAGGTGATAAGTCTTGTCTTCTCCAAGGAGAGAGGAAAGCTCCCCTCCAGTGCAGTAGATCTTTCCACATCTGACATCTCTGAAGGAAAGGCAGAATATTCAAACTTGGAACTAGAAATACAACTTTTGAGACTAGGCTGGCAATGGAGCCTCCCGGTCACTCTTTTTCTAGATCCAGGTTTCTTGCCAAGTTAAGGAGGCTGTAATGGGCAGAGAAAACCACTGAGCAAAGTCTTGGCCCTGGGAACTGAGATGAGTCCGTAAAAAATGTAAAATGATCATATTTCCTTTGGATTTCCCTGTGAACCTCACAAGTCAATACTGGCTTAAGTTTACAGGGGAATATTTTTTTATTAGTAATTTGAATTAGCATAATTTTAATCAGGACACCAAGATTTCCTTCTTATTTCCCTCTTCTCCCGGTCTCAGTAAAAAGAGATTAACAGGTCTGGGGACAGGAGCCATTCTGATTTTGACAAAGTGCTGTAAGAAGGCAAATTACTTTTTTTCCACAGGGCACTTACTTCTCCTCACAGGGAAGAAATCTGTTTTCCTTGTTTTTGCAGTATCCAAATTTATTTCCTTTTGTATTCATCTTGTAGCAGATATCATGACTCTCTATTGCCTCTGGGGTAAAAAATGGTATAAAAGTAAAACAATAAAGCATGACTATCATGAATCATAAAAGACCTTATTTTTCTAATGTAATTAAACTTTCAGAATCATGTCATAGTGAAGTAGAATGGAATAAATTATTTAAAAACTATCCTATTGCCTCAGGAGAATATTTTAGGCTGGAGATATAAAACAGTAACAAATATACATAGCTCATATACTGAGATAGTTAATATTAGACGTAAGATCAACTAATATGACAGGTAATATCCAGAGAAATGCTAAGCAATATCTTGGAATAATGCCACAAATGACATTATATCTGATCTTGACCCAATTCCTACAGGGCAATAACAGAGAAATAGAGGCCACCATCTGTGTGAATACTTCACTGTGATTATCTCTCACCATCATCAAATAGTTCAGAGCACTGATCCTCACGAGTTGGACATTTCCCCATGAAACAGTAGCCTTCTGAGTTCTTGCAAGGAAATCCATTGACCCTGAACTGGTCCTTAGGACAGGCAGGCGAGTGGCCAGTGCACATCTCAGGAAAATCACATTCATCTTTCGCCGGTCTGCATATGGACCCTGCTTTTTTTATCTGTTGAGGAAAAACAAAGAGACTAAATCCTGGATACATTTAGGTAGGTAAGGTTTCGTAAGTAGACAGAAAGTTGACCCATTCATCCAAAAAAGGTTTTAAGGATGGATCATAGCTTCCTTCTCCATTCCATCAAGAATCATTGTCATTTGTCAATGTGTTGGCACTCATGTAATTTTAAGAATGACAAAATGATGTTTTTGAAGTTTGGTATTACAGCAGCCTTAGGGAGAGTTGGGATGTACATCAAATGAAGAAACGGGCAGGTGTTCTCATTTATCTTGTCTTTTCTTTGTCCCAAGGGATCCAGTACATACCCTGCCTACCCCCTACCCACCTCGAATTGGGAACCCCTGCTTATAATGAGGAAATCTCCAGTCCCAATAAATCAGATTCCTGCATATGAACTGGAGAAAAATACCCTTGCTTTCACTGCTAGAGGGAACTGCATAGAGATATTCTCTCATTCAGCCATTCAATAAGAATTTAATTACGCTGGGTTCTGGATGAATTTGAAGATGCATAAGATATGTTTGTTTTCTTTGTGAATTCACAATAAAGTTGAGTGAAAGAAGTGTCAGTAAACTCTTGGACAGAGCCATTGGGGTTTCTGGTTGTCTTCCTCGGGAACGTTTCTCCACTTACTAGCCACTGCCACTTTCCAATGCTAATATAACCCCTTTCCCTTTTAGCTCTCCCTTGGGATTTCAACTATCCTCCTAGATGAGGTTAAACAGATTGGTGATTATTTACAAAGGAGCAAGAATAGAGCTGGTCATGTGACTTCCCTCCTAAACCTCCAATTGCTACTTGATGTTTCTCCACTACCCCAGGCCATAGCACAGCCCAATGCTCAGATGTTGGAGCATCTCACAAGAATCTCTGTTGGGTACTTGCAAGCCTAGCTTCATTTTGGAGTCAGTGGTGCAGGGCTGTCCAGTGGTTAGATAACTCTTGGATCCTACATATTCTTAAACTGAAAAAAAAAAACCTTCTCCTGGCACATGACCTTACCTGACAAGATTCACAGCATTCTCCTTCTGCACAAGTAAATCCTGGCTTCAGTACACATGTGTGTGCATCACAGCAAGGATTAGTACACTCCTGGCAATAACCACAAAAGAGAGATGAGAAATTGGTATGTACTCTGACTCCTGTTTGAAGAATTAATTAGTTGTGCTTCTGTGGATTCTGATAGAGTTAAATAGTGATGCATGATTGTTGGCTGTGGTACATACATAAAGATTACTGTTTAGAACGGGTATTTGGGACTTTAACTATTTCTCCTTCTCTCGTGCTGTTTGGTACATTACGGGTAATGGATTCTCATTGACAGAATTAGAGAGTCCAACATTTATAATCTTCAGTTATCCTAATTATCTCCATTTCCTTGAAGGGTCATACTGCTTCCCTGTACTGAAGTGTGATGTGAGACTATTCAACTGCTGAAGATCTGATTTTACCTTTTGCTCAAGCTGTCCATTATTTCAGGCTGACTTTTATTTTTTAATGTATCATTAAATAACATCAAAATGGTAACTTATGCCCTATTTTCTCAAACAAAATAAAAACTCAAAGAAAATGGAGTGTGGCCGGATAAGGTACCTCATGTGTTAGAATGAATCTATGGAACCATTCCAAAGAATGCATATGGACAGGAGGATCATTTTCCAAAATTAAGAGCCTCTTTGCGTTTAACCTGAGACATTTGAAGACATTCTTATAACCTTTGGACAGGTTACTGTCCCCAGTCTGATTATGGAGTCTCTAACTGCTGTCCTACTAGACCTCCTGGTATTGTGCATTATCTAGACTGTAGATACTAAAATTGTGGTCCTCGGGCCAGCAACATCAGTGTAACCTTGAAGCTAGGTAGGTGTACAGAATCTCAGAACCACTCCATACTTACTGAATCTGAGTTCACATTTTAACAATGTCCCCTGGTGATTCATCTGCACTTATTAATTTCAGAGGCAGTTGTCTAGAAGACATATCTATGTGATAAGCTCTTGAAAGAAATAGCTTCTATGATAGGGAAAAGCATATTAAGAATTACTTTAAAAATTGCCTCAAGGGCTTTTCCTAAATGTTCCAGAGACCACAACTACAATAAATACATGAAACATTTGAAGGTTTCTGCTCTATTAAGAAAGAGTTTTCTATTAACAGGAACTGTCCAGCTGTGATACAGGCTAGCCTCATAAGTTAATAAATAAAACTTGATTGAGTAAGAGATTTTGTAGAGCAGATTCTGACTCTGCATGAGACATCAGACTTAAGGACACTTATGGGCCCTTGTCACAAGCAGAACCAATTATATATTAACAAGGAAAGCTGATGCTGCTGATCTCCAGCAAGGTCATTACACATGTTTCATGACTTGATAAGAAGCCCTGGAATGAGGCTGCACCAATAATTTGTTTTATAAAATCAAAATAAAAATGGAAAGCAAAATTTTTAAAAGTTTTACAAGGAACACCACGGTTGGTTTGATTAATGGCCACATCCCTGCCTAGGTTCTACCTGATCATAAATTTTGCAATTTAAAGATAGCTTCATTTGCAAATACCTGAGCAGGGCCACAGTCACACTCTTCACCCTCATCCAACTTCTTGTTTCCACAAAATTGGAAATCATGAAAATTGTAAGGAAATGGAATGTTGAGCATGCATGTTGGCTTATAATCCTTCAAGTACTGGTGGTATTGGTTTTGGCTGCATTTACTGAATTTCAGTGCAGGAATGCTAGAGATAGAATGAGGTAAAAATAAAGATTAATCATATCAATGCATAGTGGTACAGTGGCTGTGAGCATTTTATGAAGCATTTGAAAAGAACAAATGTAAATGTTTACTGTTAGAGCAGGGAAGTAACTGGGTCCTTTATTATAGAAAATATCTTTTCAAAACACAGCAAACACATGCTATGTTAGTGAAAATATCTTGGTTATAGATCCTCCAGCAAATCCTTCCTGAAGCCCACCTTACAGACTGGTTGTCTGTGTTTACTGCTTCCACATCCTCTTTAATTTGGTCCTCTTGAAATAACCTATGTATTTGTTTATCATCCCTACTAGATTACAAGCATCTCAAAGCAATAATTGTATCATGTGTGATTTTAAAAAAATAAACATTAGTTAACACAGTACCTGGCACAAAGTGGTTCTCTATAAATTTATTAAGACAAACAGTTTATTTAATAATATACACATCCATAGGAATGTAATATACTTCTTAACCTGAAATTTATCTCCCTTCCATCTTCCTTTTCTTCTGACTTCCTTAACATTATTATTGACATAATAGTTCAATACAGTAGGTCTTTAGAGTCTTGATCACATTAGACTGAGATACTAGGACTCTGTAAAATACTACTAATTATGTAAATAATAATGTAAAACTAAATATTAATTACTGTGTTCTTATTCTGTGCCAGCCATCACATTTAGTTGTGTTAGTCACTTTACTCCATTTAATCAATGTGTGGAAGCATTGATCACCACGAAACTTTTCTTACTATATACAATGCTTTATGTATACCTGCTCCGAAGGGATTCAAAGATGTGCAAAACTTAGGACCTGACTGCTTGGTAATTCACAGTACAATGGGGAAGGCTGGATATTCATTTATTCTGTAACTGTTTATGGAGTGTTTAATATGTGTTTGGGACTTTTCTAGTACAGTGGTGTTATAACAGTGACCCCAAAAGACAAAACCCTCTGACCTTGTGGGACTAGCTTATATTCCAGCAGAAGAGTACAGTTATAAATAAGCTGAATGCATGAAACAGAGAATATGCTAGATAGTAATAAGTACTAAAGAGAAGACAAAAAACAAATGGAGTGGGAGTTGAAATGCCAGGATGTATGTATGATCTAGATCAGGTGGCCAGGGAAAACATCGGTGGGAATAACATTTGAGTAAAGATGTGAAGGAAGACATTATAGCTTATAGAAAAGATGACAAAACAAGGCATGTAGAGTCTATTTGTCCCCTAATTGCCTTGGTAGCAATTGGTACTAATTGTTCATGGTGTACTTTTGCAGTGTACCCAGAAAGTTTTGGGATTTCTCTCACGGTATCACTAGAGAGAGACACTACCAGTTGGCAAGATTTAGCCCCAGAAAGAAAACTGCCACGCCTAGTTATGGAATAGACTTTTTAGGAAATTCCATAGCTTTACAACATATCCTACAATAATGGATTTTGACTCAAAATCCACTTTTGAAACATATTTTTTTCTTTTCTTTTTTTTTCTTTTTTTTTTTGAGATGGAGTTTTGCTCTTGTTGCCCAGGCTAGAGTGCAGTGGCATGATCTCGGCTCACGGCAACCTCCGCCTCCCGAATTCAAGCAATTCTCCTCCCAAGTAGCTGGGATTACACGCATGTGCCACCAGCCTGGCTAATTTTGTATTTTTAGTAGAGATGGGGTTTCTCCATGTTGGCCAGGCTGGTCTCGAACTCCTGACCTCAGGTGATCCACCTGCCTCGGCCTCCCAAAGTGCTGGGATTACAGGCATAAGCCACCATGCCCAGCCCACTTCTGAATTATGTAAGTGTATTCTGTACATTGTTCGAATCTCACCTTCCATCACTGTCCATCACGCATTTTCCTGAAGGACAGGTGCATGGGAACTCGTCATGCTGCATCCCAAGGTTATGCCCCAGTTGATGTGCCATTCTGTTTGCAATTATGTTTGTGTCAGGTAAAAGATCCTGATGATAAAACAATTGCATTAGAAATTTTCAAAAGTTAGCATACTGTAGTACATAGTGCTTCAAACTAGTGGTTGAAAGACCTGGCTTCTAGCTCCTAGTTAACTGGTATCTATTTAAAAAGGCATGGACTCAGTTACTTCTCTCCTCTGTACCTCAGTTTCCTTAATTGTATAAGAAACCCAAGAAAGTGACTTTTTAAGTATCTCTAGCTCTAACATTTGAAATTCTTTCTTTGTGGCATGGTGATAGTCATTGTTCAATTTATAGAAGCTCATTCTTATAAATAGTTAAAAACTATGAACTAATGTTATTATGATTTTTACCTCTTCAAAATTCATATGTCGAAGGTATAAAACTAACTTCAAGGTGATGACACTAGGAGGTGAAGTCTTTGGAAGGTGAGTAAGTCATGGGGGCAGAGCCCTCATAAGTGGGATTAATGCCCTTATAAAAGAGGTTTGAATGAGATCCATGCCCCTTCTACCGGGTCAGGACACAGCAAGAAGGTGTCAACTGTGAGCCAGACAGGGCTTCACCAGACACCGAATCTGCTAAGGACTTAATCTTGGATTTCCTAGCCTCCGAGAAATAACTTTCTATTGTTTCTTACCCATTCATTTGTGATATTTTGTTACAGCAGCTAGAATGAGCTAAGATAAATATCCTACACAATATAATAAGTAATATTGATTGTCCTCTTTGTACTAGATATCCAAATTCTATACAAATAAAAATATGAGGTTCTTGTTTTCAGCTTATAGTCTCACATTGCACAACAATGCTATACAATCTTAAAGACGAAGTTTCTATTATGGGAAAAACTTAAATGTCAGATATATCAAATCCATGCAAGAATTGGTTAACTTGGCTCATAGTTCCATTATATGCTTTAATTTCTATGTTAATACAGAATTAATTTCCAAAAAGAGGTGGGCTATCAGATTACTATAAAGCTAATAAAACATACCTAATTTGGTCATCTCATCTTACTCATATAAAGTTTAAAATGTGTCCTGGAGTGATTATAATAGCATAATCTAAGTAGCGTGTATCATAGTATGAGTAGCAATAATCTAACAGCATATATCAGATGAAATTGACTCTATGATCCAAAACTTATGTTACTGAAATACCATAGGAAAAGCTATACACACAAAATAACTATATAATAAGTAAGTCATGTGGTCATTTAAATAAGTACTAGCTTTGAAATTTTTTATCTTAATACCAGACAAGGCACAGCAACAATTAGGCGCGACATAAAGAAAATAAATAGAAACCTTCGTGTTTTCAAGCATCTCTCAGATGGGGTTACTTGGACAACATTTACTAGAAGCTTAGAGACTTTGGAAAGGATCACATAAAAAAAAGGGAGTCAACAGTTTTTAGGTCTTATGCTTTCTAAAAATGAATTGAAAGGTTGTCTTGATATGATATAGGAAGTGGTTTATGTGCCTTATTATCAGCACTAGAACAATTATCCTCACTTATTAAATGAGCCATCAACCTTTATGTGCATTATTTGTCCTTATAAGTAGCTATATTTCATATGCAAAAGAGCTTTACTAATCATTGCATGCTGATCTGTGGTATACTATCCGTTTAAACTCTAAACAAAATGGGTTTACCTTCAATATTTATCTATAATTTTTCAATAAAACATTTTTATTCATTTAATAAAGGAAGCATAACAGTCTGTTCATGACATATCTTAGTGAGTATATATGACAAAATGCATACATAGTCTCTTTCCATGGAACCCAGGACATTACAACAATTTTATTCAAACATTATTAAGTAATATAAATAAAACACAGCCCACCTTAATGATACTGGTGGAATAATAGGGCAGGCACATACCCCCTGGATAAGAAATTCCTTGCACATGTGAGTAGAGCCACTTCCCACTATGAAAAAGATGCAAAAATAGTCTTCAATCTGAGTTAGTAGTTTAATTAACACAAAGATCAAATTGCAGTGAACCCCAGCAATGCCAATGCTTTTGCATGTGAAAATGCCTTCTTATTTCTGGAGTTTTGGAATTGAGGCTGACCTTAGTTGATATTGAGCTCATCTTTAACCTGTGGGATATTAGAGGCATTGAAAAAGCCAGTGCACTTGGGAGGCCGAGGCAGGTGGATCACGAGGTCAAGAGATCGAGACCATCCTGGCCATTGTGGTGAAACCCCATCTCTACTGAAAATACAAAAATTAGCTGGGCATGGTGGTGCACACCTGTAGTCCCAGGTACTTGGGAGGCTGAGGTAGGAGAATCACCTGAACCCGAGAGGCGGAGGTTGCAGTGAACTGAGATCATGCTACTGCTCTCCAGGACACAGAGCGAGGCTCCACCTCAATTAAAAAAAAAAAAAAAAAAAAAAGCCAGTGCAATCTTACACTGAAATTGTAGAAAGGTATAAAACAAAAAACAAAAAAATACAAATCAAAAAATACAATTGAAATCCCATTTTACTTTAGTCTACTCTGCCCTCAGCTTTGGATAAAACCACTTACAAGACCAGAAATTAATGAAATGTAAAATGTAAAAGTGTTTAGAAGGAAAAACAAAGTAACACAATGAATGGACTTAACACCATGATTGATTAGCTACAATTGAAAAATGTTAAGACTTTTAATCAACCATAGAAACTCAGGTAGGATTTGATAGCTATAATAAAACACTTAAATGAGTTGTCAGATAAAATGAGAACTGTTCCTTGGATTACTTGAAAAGACAAATGTAGATATTTATATTATAGGAATCCAAATTTGATTTGATTTCAGGAATATTATTTAGAGTTGAACCACTTTAAAAAGAGCCATTAGGGGCTAAAGGGTCATACCTGGAATGTAATAGAACTCAAAGACAAGATAGGTGGTCAGATTAGATGACCTCTTTCAGTCTTTACCTTTTTTGATTAAGATACACTCCATTTTTCTCTTTATTATTGAAATGTTTCTCTTCCTACATATTAGGCATCAGTATTTGACTATGCTTCTTGGAGAGACAGAATTCTGGTCTTTTTAAACTCTGGGGGTATTGAGAAAACCACATGTATGGAGGGGAAGCGCCAGGACAAGAATAATCTTGAGTGTCCTCTCATGGTTGCATGAAATCAAGTAACACATGATAATGCCATATATACTGTCTTGCCACTTCTACATCTAAGTGAATACAGAAGGGCAGGTACCCAAGAAACTTAACACATAAGAAGTCCCAAATATGATGCTCAATTGGCTATTTAGTAGCATTTCACCCCATCTCCTCACTTGCAGACATCCTATTGATATGAGAAGCTACTGGTTAGAATCGGAGGTGTTCTAAAGTAGTTAAAAGTTTTCTACTTACACCCATTCAAATACTTTTGGTTTTATTTATTAAGTATTAAAAAATACATGTATAAAGAGAGGGCAAAGGAGTTAATCTTGCCCACTCTGAAGTTTATGGCGATGTTTTACCACGCTCCATTCCCCATGATTTTGGGGCATGCTAATGCATGAATATTCAAGTACAAGCCAGGCACAACTATGCCTCTGGCGATATATGCTATGGGCCATCCCAGATATAGAAAACAGGAATTATGTTACTTTGGAGGTCTGATGCACTCTCATTAATCTGCCAAAGGACTGAATCTGACTTCTGACTACAGGTATTGGAAGCTTCAGGTTTTTGAGTTCGGACTGAAAGTCAACGTCTAAATAATAATAGAAGATTAGCACGCTGGGTTTGCAGACCTTAGGAGAAATACCGATATTATGGGTATATAAAGTAGGAAGAGTGAGCACTATTTTAATACAGTAGCTTTAAGGGCTTCAGAAGAGATTCTAAAAGATGGCATCGCTCCAAAGGACTTCTTCCACAATTTAGCATTCTTTAGGATAACAGGACTGTGCTAAATATTAGGTTGTATTACATTCAGTTCCATAATTACTTATCCTTTTCCTCTGGGCTAAGTACTGCGCTAGGTATCTTGAATAACAAAAATGATAAAAATGGTCCCCTTTTTAAAGAAATTAAAGATTGAGTGGTCTAGACAAAGTCACGCTTTTACTTAGGAATATTAAAGCTCTGACAGGTTTCACTTATCAGATTAGTTGTTTGTTCAATTGTATAGTAGAGAAGATGGTATTGAAGGGCTGGCCACCAGGTAGGCAGATTTTGATGAGGGGAAATGTTCAGAGAGTGAGGTGCTTTCCCAGAAAGGCAGATTTTGGAAGAATATTGGAACGGTACAACATGGGAGGGCGAGAGGAGTTAGCACTGGATGCTGATAAAAAATGTAACATGGATTCTAAAAGCACTTTGCTTACCTAATGGCATTTTTAAGTCTACCAAGGAATATGAATATATCAGATTTTTTCTTTTCTAGTATTAATATTAGAAAGAAAGATTATTAAATAGTCCACTTGAAAACTTTCTATTTATTTATTTATTGAGACAGGGTCTCATTCTGTCACTCAGGCTGGAGTGCAGTGGCACAACCACAGCTCATGTTATCCTTAACCTCCTGGATTCAAGAGATCCTCCAGCCTCAGCTTCCCAAGTAGCTGGGACCATGGGTGCTTGCCCCCATGCTCAGCTAATTTTTAAATTTTTTGTACAGATGGGGTCTTGCTATGTTGCCTGGGGCTGGTCTTGAACTCCTAGGCTAAAACAATCCTTCTACTTTGGTCTCCTAAAATGTTGGGATTAAAGATATATGCTACGGTTCCTTGCTTGGAAATTTTCTGTGTAGCTACAAATAACATTTTGTCCCTGTGTGCTACCCAAAAGTCAAATGCTTAAAAAATGTTTTTTTTCTGTTAATTTTTTTTTGTTTTCTTTTGTAATAATCCACCAAAGGTATGCAAGAAAATAGAGCAATCACCAACCTGAGTAATACAACATGATCAAAATCCTTCCGTGTTTTAAGGATCTTTTCTTGCCAAAATGAAAAACGCAATAAGGTAGTTTCTATATTTGAATATAGTTCTATTTTATCTTCATGTGTCCATATTTCAATGCCAACCAACGTCACATGGATGTTTAAGGTTTTATAAATCTGTTCAAAGAAGAAATCATTTTTCACAAAGTCAAGTTGCTGGAAACAGTCTTCAATATTACTATATTCCTTTACATTTCCCCAAAAAACAATAATTTGAACTTGTGAGGTACATTAGTAAACAGTGCAAGCCTCATGTTGCAAACAGATATATCAAAATGGGACAGAATGCATTGCCCAGAATACCTGGTGAATTTTCTGGGCAATGGTGAAATTTGATCAGAAAGATCTGCCTCCTCGAACTATCATAAGTCTTACAGGCACTGTCTCAGGATGTGCTGGAAGAATGTATTAAAGTTCTGAATTTAGAACTGGCCTAAAAGCATAAATTTACTAACAGTGGCAGGCGGTGTGAGTGCTCCTTATGCACCTTCATACTTCAGGCCAAGTGTTCATTCTGTGGCAGGTTAGAAAGTTGGTATTGGTTTTCAAAAACTTAACTGCTGTGTTTGATCTTTATGTTTGAATTTTGTAACTACCTTTTTATTTAATCTGAGAAATGTCATTAGGGGTTGCTCTAAGCAGGCAGAAATAGTTGTAGCCTATAAACCTCACACCTATTTCTACCTGCTCTGTAAACACCTGGGTGATAGGTACTTTTATGCCAGGACAAAAGAAGTTAGAGTTTATGCAGTTATTATGGGAATTTTGAGAGAAAGGACTATGTGTTGTATCAGTTTTATATTCTACAATAGTCAGTACAAGTAGGTTGAAAGGAAGTGAATGATAAACTATCAACACTGAATGAACAGAAATGGAAAGATCATTCATACAATGTTACTAGGCAATGTAACTAGTCAATAAGAAGTGTAATAATTATATCATTCCTATAACAATAAACTTCTGTTAATATTCTACTTTTCTTAACCTACATGATATGAATATACTCAATTCCATGTGTCAGTAGAGGCCAAAGAAGTCATTTCATAATCATGGGAATTAGGTGCCTTTTAAACTCTCCCGAAGTTAGACATGTAGTCAAACTCTGACTTCAAATCTACCCTGGAGCCTGTGATATGCATCCTTATTCCTCTTGGCCCTGAATTGTTTGTTTGTTTGTTTGTTTGTTTGTTTGTTTTTGAGACAGGGTCTCATTCTGTCACCCAGCCTGGAGTGCAGTGGTGCAATCATAGCTCATTGCAAAGTTGAACTCCTGCGCTCAAAGGATCCTCCCACCTCAGCTTCCTGAGTAGTTGGAACTACAGGCACACACCACTGTGCCTTGCTATTTTATTTATTTATTTCTTTTTGTTGTTGTTGTTGTTGTTGGGACGATGTCTCAGTTTGTTGCCCAGTCTAGTCTTGAACTCCTGGGCTCAGTGATTCTCCTGCCTTGACCTTCCAAAGTGTTGGGATTACAAGCATGAGTCACCACACCAGGATCTTGACCCTAATCTTAATGTATGGTAAACTTTAGAAATCAAGTACTACATAGCAATAATTATTTTAACGTGGGATTTTCAGACCCTCTCTATTCACAAATGGGCTTTACGTTTACAAAACTACACACAAGTGCAAACGGAAATATTATTTGTCCTTCTGATGATATTTTCTTCTCATAAGAACATATAAAATAAAAGCCATGCTTTATCTGCTAAATTCTTGGATAGTTTTGGATACACACATTTGGAATGTTGTGGAGAGTTGAACTGCTCTTTATAGTAGGGAAACAACTATGGAATCTCTGAGTTAAAAGGGGTGAAGACATAATAAAAGTCAAAATAAGAAAGGACCCAGTGAAATAACGTGAGTATGGGCTCTGTGAAGGATAAAGGGCCAGTAAGAAGGGATACAATGGCCAGGCACACGGGCTTTTAGACTTTGTTAGCTTAAATTGTTTGTTTTATAATGTGCTATGTAACCTCCCAATCTAAACTACAAATCTTCAGTAAAAGTTCAGCAATATGCAACAATTTTGTATGTATGCTTACTTGAAGATGAGAAACCAAGGAGAGAGTTTGAGTCTTGACTTGGTGTCAATGCTAGGGAAGTGATAAAAGACATAATTGCAAGATACAAGGCAAGGCAGAAAACAGAAGTGACTATGAGATGTAATCATTGCACTCCACACTGTTCCTTCCTCCCTCTTACAAAAAGGCATGGGGGAAATTTTCAATTTCCACGGACATAAATTGAAACAGTTGGGAGAAGTTCTGCTTCTGCCTACAAAGTACAAAGTTAGAAAGAATGTTGCCTCTATCCTGACAAAAAGGACAAGCCAGAGAATCTAGAAAATCATATATTTTTTTCTGTATCCACCACAGAACTGAGGCCATAGGGCCAACAAGTGTGCCTGAACCCTAAGAAAAGACAGTCTCCTTCAAGGAGAAATGGTGCCAGAGCACCTTCCTTGTGGCAGATAATGAGAAAGAAAGATGTTGAGCACCTTTTTAATGGGTAGAAAGAACTGACCAAATATCATTGATGAACTGCTTCAGGCCAAGTGTGGGAGAGAAGGAGAATGCAGAGCCCTATGGAGATCCAGACACAGGGATCTCAGACCCACACACAGATTGATCTCCATGGGCCTCCATGGACGCCAACAACCACAGTGGGAGACAGAGAGGGAGACTCAAGATGGCTCCCTCAGTGGAGTGGGCCTGAAGAAGGGGAGAATTGCTGTTTTGCAAAAAATTATAAAATCTACCGAACTCTTTCCCTCAAGGAACAAAAGCTTTAAACTGCCAAGGGAGCTATAGTAAATTTTTCCCCCAGAACCCAAATTAAAATGTATTACAGCTGAAGAAAAGGAAAACAAAACAAAACAAAACAAAACAAAAATAGCCTTCTACTCCTGGAGGACAGGTGGGAAACTGTCCTGAATCCAGACCATTCAAGATCTCCTACCAATGGAGAGGAAAATGAACACTGAGAAATACTCACCCAATGACCCATGGACAGGGCTTCCCTAAGACTGAGGTTAAATCAGGATGATAGAACATGCTCTGGACCCCATAACTAGGCTAGAAGGCACTGAGGAACAAACAACACGCCACTACTGAAGAAGCAGTGAGAATGTGAAGGGAGGTGCTGGCTCTCAATAAACGTGCTGAGGTGCTGGCTCTCAATAAAAGCCTAAAGTCGAGAAAGGAACAGAAATATGGAGAAAAACTCCCCAACAATTCAGGACCCACCCTAAGCACAAAGTAACACTAGATGAATATGCAGTTGATAGTGCACTTCAGGTAGCAGTAGCAACAAAATCAGCTAATTTCTGACCAGATTAATCCAATTCCGCATGTTAATGACCTAGCAAAAGAGGAAGTGTACCATTTCAGGCATAAATATTATTTTCTTAGACTCTACTATCCTATACATACTGTCTACTATCCAATAAAACATTAAAGAACATACAAAAGAGCAAGAAAAGACAACCCACTGTTGGAGAGAAAAGAGTTGACAAAACTAAACTCGTAGATGACCCACATGTTGAAATTGTCTAACAGGAAATTTAAATTAGTTATCCATAATATGTTGAAGGCTCTAATGGAAAACATGGATGTGGTTTGCAGAATTTGAAGATGGCCCCCAAGGATTCCTGTTCCTGGACAGTAACACACTGTGGAATGACCTCCCTTTCAACGTGGGCAGGACTGTGACTATGATGAATTTCACTAGTATATTTAGGTTATGAAACAGAACAAAGATAAAGGGAGCTTACAGCTTTTCAGATGTAATTAAGGTACCCAAATCAGAGGATTCTGAGTTGAATAACAGTGAACTTACTGTGGGTAGACCTAACTTAATCTTTTAAAACAAGTCTAGTAATTTGAAGCAGCAGCATTTCTCCTGCTGGCCCAAAGAAGAAACCTGCCATGTTGTGAAAGGGTCCGAGAGAGCACTGTGTGGCAAGAAATTGTCAGGGCCCCCAGTAACTGAGATGGCCCCAGCAGACTGCCAGCAAGAATTTGAGGACTTCAATCCTGTAACTGCATGAAATAAATTCTGCCAACAACAACAAGCTGAGATCCCCAGGCCTGATTTCCTCATTCTGAGATCCTGAGCAGAGAATCCAGTTATGTTGTACCCAGACTTCCTGCCTACAAAAATTGTGAGATAGTTAATGAGTATTGTTCTAAGATGCTAGGTTTGTGGTAACTTGTTATGCAGTAATAAAAAAATGAATATAGTGAAAAACAAGCTTGAAAAGATGAGGGAATTTCAGCAGAGAGGTGGAAACTATAAGAGAGAGTGAGTGAAATTAGCTGAGTACATATATGGTAGTAGTGACAAAGAATACCATTGATGAGTACATCAGTAGGCTAGACATGGGTGAGGAAAGAATCTTGTTGGCCCAACAAAAATTAGCCAAATGGAAACACAAAGAGTTAAGAGTGAAAACCACATAGGGGAAGGTCCAAAGCTGTGGGAAAATCACAGGATCTAATATGCATATAATTGAAATATGAGAAAGAGAAGAGAGATAACAAGGCAGAAGAAATATTTCAATTTCTTTGAAATATTTGAATGATCAATAATTTTTAAAAATAGTATAAAACAGCAAATCACAGATCCCAGAAGTTCAGAGAATCCAACACTGTAAATACCACACACACACACACACACACACACTGATGAGGGTATGCCCAAGGGACACATAGACCAGCTAAAATATTGCCCAATGGACAAAACTGAAACAGTTTGAGCAACAAAATAAAGTAGTGTTAGGTTGTAACTCAAAGTACAAAATAAATATCCATGAGTCCATACTGATATAAATAAATTATTAAATACATATTAATGGAAGAAAAGAGATACATCTCTTGCATAGAAAAATTTCAACTAATTTATGTAGATGCTCCATTGTCAAGGAGGAAGAGCATAATTTCCACTGAAGTGTGAGCCGTGCATAGTAACTTTCTTTCAAAGAATATATTATTGTGAGGAAGCATACACTTTCCATATGACCCAGTATTCCTACTTCTTCGTTATTTACAAAAAATAAATGAAATTCTATAATTGCACATACAACTATATACAAATATTTAAAGCCATTGTATTTACAATAGCCAAAAACTACAAACAGATTAAATGTCCCTCAACTGGTGAATTAGTAACCATTGGCCTAGAGGGGCCTTCCTTACAGCTTTTTCTTATGGGGTCTCTTTATCCTAGTAATAGGGCTGAGGTGTCTTAGAATGAGTCGGCAAAAAAAATGTGTTGCCATTCACAATTTGTTTTTTTAAAGGGTTATATACCTCATTCTAATTTAGACAAATTAAGCATTTTAATATATTTTACTGAAACAGTTACTCCACTTTCTATGCCAAACCATGGACAACAAATTATAACTTAAGACTTTTTGTTATACAACGTCACAGAGCAGTGATTTAAAGTAGTGTGATTTGGTTTACAGTGATTGATTTTCATATTCTTTGTACATTGGTTCATAAATTTTGTGATTAGAGACCAAATTTTGAAACTTATTTCAATATTAAATGTCACTTACATCGAAAATTGAAAATTCAGAGCTGTGGTTTGTTGTTATTATTTTTTCCCGTGGATTTTTGCTTATTAGTCTTTGTGCTTTGTACTCCCTTAATATCAGGTAACTACAATAGTCCAGCAGAGAACTGCGCTGAAAGGTTCTTTGCATTCGTATTATTGGCTTGATTCAAAAACTGTATCAAATCTTACCATGTTGACAAAATTGACCATTCCCCAAATTCGGTTCCTTAGTTTATTGTGAGGATGACCATTTCTGCGATACTGGAAATATAAATATCATATTAATATTCATTAATAATAGGAGTTGCATAAAAGCTCAACAAAATACTTCATTCATCAGCTATTACAAAGAAAAAAATCATTGGCCTAATGAAGAAAGAGAACTCCTTTCATTCAGCTAAAAACTAGACAACTTAAATACATTTTTGATATAAAATAACTAAATACAGCCCTCCTAAAGACATTCTTAGGTGTAGTATTACTTCAAGCTTTTCTTTCTAACTCTGTTTCCTTTTCACATTACATTGTACTACATTGCATTAATTTATTAAACCAACTGATTAGTGTTCTTTAGAGTCCATTTTTATCACATTGATGAAACAAACCTATTAAAGCTACAAAGCAATCTATATGGCGAAGAACAGCAACTTTATTAGTCCTTCTGTGTCCTTGGTGTTCACAAAATAAGGAATATGTAATTTAAAAACCCACTGGAGCTGGAGAAGTGCTGAAGAGGGACAGGAAACTGTAGCTACCCCTTCCCTCCAGGAAATAGCTACGAGGGCAAACCAGACTTTTCATGTCCAGTCTACTCTGACTTTTGTTGTCTCCTTATAACTGCATTCCCTTTTTGTACTATCGGGATCTTGTATCAATTATCAATTTAGACCTGATCAAATGTACTTAATAATAACATAAGGTGTCCTGTAGGGATAAATGCAAATGGTCAAACTTCTTTCATAATAAAAATAAGAAATTAACCTGCCTTTCCTGAATCCCGCAAGTATCTGCTTGTTACCATGCCATTGCTGTCCTGTTACCTTAAAGATCAAAATACTGCTAAGATATAGCATTAGAATCTCTTCAATCTTCATCTTCCACGTATTCAACCTACTACACTCTGATTATAACTGCCACTATTCCATTGAAACTATTCTTAATAACCCACAAATATTCTCTTAATTATCAAATACATTGTGAACATATTTTCCTTTCTGGTCATCTTCTCCACATTTAATGTTGACTATTTTCTGTTTCAAGAAATTTCTTCTTGGTTTCTATTACCCCGGACACTCCTACTATTTTATTGTGCATTCCCATTATCCCTTAAATGCTGGATGACAAATGTGTTTCACAACAGGATTTCCATTGATTGATTGATAAAAATTACCCAAAATTCACTGCCTAAAATTCACTGTGGAGAATATTCTGAAGCTATTTTAGGGATCACAAAGATTAGATGCTTTATCAATCAGTGAGTTTCAATCAGAGGGGAGGGAGGAGGAATGGTTAGGTATGAGCTTTGCACTTTTATTGCCAAATCTTTATTTAATGATGGGTGTTTCCCAGGATTCAGACATTTGTGTTCTGCTCTTCTTTTTCAACTTGCTAGCTGTCAGTGTTTCATCCATATCCTCACTTCACTTTCCTGCTGAGAATTCCTCATTATTGTGGAGATATATAAACTTCTCAACAGGTTTCCAAAGACTGCCTTTGGTTTCCTTATTTTATCTGACTGCAATGCTCAAATTTTCTATCCTTCTCTTGCTTTCTTGCTCTTTTTGTTGTTGTTGTTCCTTGAGACAAGGTCTTGCTCTGTCACCCAGGCTGGAGTGCAGTGGCGTGAACATGGCTCATTGCAGCCTCGACCTCCTGGGCTCAAGTGATCCTCTTGTCTCAGCCTCCCATGTAGTTGGGATTGCAGGTGTACACCACCACACCCAGCTATTTTTTTTCTTTTCTTTTTGTCATGATGAGGTCTTGCTGTGTTGCCCAGGCTGGTCTCAAACTCCTGGTCTCAAGCAGTCCTCCCACCTCGGCTTCTCAAAGTGCTGGGTTTACAGGTGTGAGCCACTGCACCTGACCTCTGCTGCTTTTTTTATTTGGCTATCATATATATCATTAATACTCAGAACCTAGCATATTGAATGCTCATTAACTATTTGTCTAATGAAAATGGATGATTTACCTTAGGAACTTCTCTAAATAAAGAAAACCTTAAATATTTTAAGATACTATTAAAGCAGCATGAGCAAGAGCTATACACTAAAGCCCAGTTTAATGCAACTAAAATCACACCAAGCAACCCTTCACCTAGTATATGAGTAAAAATTTTAATAACCTATTCTTGGTCTTTAATAACACATATATTATTATTAAGAGCAAAGTGTCTCAGCATTCTTTATAAAATTTCTCAGCAACATGCCAGTGTAAGCCTATCTGTTTAGTGCTTAGAACTTACTAATTTTGATTTAAAATTTTGTTCATAGGTTAATTATAGTTTCTTCTATCTTTAATGTGTAAAAACTGTTACATCTTTTCAATTAAGATGGGTCTTACCTTTTTTATTACATTGGCTGGGAATTTCAGTAAAAATGTTGAAAGAAATCTGGTGACAATGAACAAATGTACCTTATTCCCAATTTTGGAGGAAAACTGCCAACATTTTATTAATAAGTTTAATGTTTATACTGAATAGGAGTTTGGTAAATATACTTTATTTTCTTCCACTTTTTATATCCTAAGAGTTTTATTATGAATGAGTGTTGAATTATATGTATGTGTATACATACACAAATATATACTATATATATAAATTTGAGATATTTGAAATTATCACTTTTTAAAAATCTATTCATGTCAAAGCAAAGCAATATTCACATTACCGGAGGAAACCGTCACTCTCATGTAAATTTTTATGGATATATCTTGGCTTGGGTTTGCAAATATTTTTTGGACATTTGAAATTGCATTTATAAGGGACATTAGCTTATAATTTTACTTTCTCATAAGATCATGTCTAGATCTGTTACCAATATTATCAGTTGTCATAGATTGTTACTGTAATGACTCAAGGAATCACTCTTACAGGTATCTATATCTTTTTATAAGTTTCCTCCAATGTTGATTCTAGTCTTGGACATATGACTTACTTTGCTTGAGACATGAAAACATGTACAAACAGAAGGTTGAAAAGTTCTTGCACATTGCAGCCTCACCTCTCTTTTGGTGCTTTGATGCCCAGCTATGATGCAAGAAAGCACAACTAGCTAGCCTATTGGAGATACATGGCCAGCTGAAACCCAATATCACGTACCAGGCAAATGACTGAGGCCATCTTAGACTAGCCAGCCATTGGACACAATAGATTACTGCAGCTGCATGAGTCATTGATTACCCACCAGGTTTTGAGTAGTTGATTACACAGTGGTAGATAAATAATACAAAGGTTATAATAAACTTATAAAATGTGGGGTTTTTTCCTCTTTTCCTATTCTGTGGAACAGTTTGTAAAAGATAAGGTTATTTATCTTTGTTAAACAAAGGTTGTTTGTTTATAAAAAACTTTGGTAAAATTTGCCACTAAACGAATCTGAGGCTCCTGGTGTCTTTATTTGCTGATAGGTTGTGGACTACTTATGTAATTTTTCAAATCTGCTGTAAATCTTTTTGGGGTTTCCTATTGTTGAGTCAGCTTGATAGCATTTTACTACATCTGTTTATAAATTTATTGGCACATAGTTCTTCATATATTTTTAATAAAGTGTAACTTTTATTTATATTTTGTCTTCTAATTTTACATATATTTCTATATTTTTTAATCAGCATTGTCAGAAGCTTGTCTATTTCATTAATGTTTTCAAAGAATTAGTACTTGGCTCTGTTGAACTACTCCATTGTGGTATTTTTTGTTTTGCTTGGTGGTTTTATTGATTTTTCTCATTGCTAAAATTACTTTCTTCTTTATACCTTCTTTGGATTTATATTGTTTTGTTTTCTAATCTCTCTAGTTGGACTCTTAGTCCATTTATTTTCTTTCTTTTTTCTTAATAAAACTGTTTAAATTGACAAATGTCTTTCTAAATACTGGTATGCTACCTGTATCTAATAAATTTTACTTTACTATTTTTTATGGTCAGTTATAAATAGTCCATAATTTCAGATTTGATTTTTTAGACAATTAATATTTGGAAATATATTGTACTTTCAGTTTCCAAACCAATAGTCTTTTAGTGGTTTAATTTAACAATTTCTGTTATAACTTCTAATTGGGTTGTGGTAAAAAAGAAAACAGTGATCTTATGATATCTCTTTGCTATTTCTATGTATTTTCTTTGTGGCCAGATACCCACTTAATTTTTTCAAATATGTTATTTGTACATGAAAAAAATACATATTCTTTTTTTTTAAATGCAAGGTAGTATATCAGTTGGTTAAATGAAACTTGCATTTATGTGGTTCAAATCTTGTCCATTTTTGCTGAAGCTTTTCCTCTTGACCTTACATTTTCTGATGGAGAGGAGCTAAAAAATACCCTACTTTTCTGGCAAACCTGTTTTTTTTTTTTTTTTGTTATCTTTTTATACTTTGTTGTTAGGTATTTTCATATTTTGTATCCTTTTGGTGCTCTTTTTCTGATTAATTCCCCAATTTATCTCAAATAACTTTTTAAATCATAAATTCTCTTTTATATACTATTAAAATCATAAGATATATTTTTGGAGAGAAGAAACTAGTTTTGAGATTTTTTAGGTCTCTTGAGAAGTTTAGGTATATTTCTTATAAATGTCATAATGTCCTTTTCCTATATTCAATTTGAGACTTTCTAACTTCTAACAGGCAGATGTAATTGTTATATTTACTCTAATTTCTGACACATTTGGAATTACCTTCACATATTTTTTTCTGTTTTTGTATTTACTATTCTGTGTGTATGTATATATGTAATATAGTTATACATTGCTTGACAATGGGAATATATTCTGAGAAATGAATTCTTAGGTGATTTCTTCTTTGTGCAAACATCATAAAGCATACGTACACAAACCTAAATGTTATAACCTACAACACAGTTAAACCATATGGTATAGCCTATTGTTCCTAGGCTGCAAACCTGTAGAGCATGTTACTATACTGAATATTGTAGGCAATTGTAACATAATGCTTTTTGTGTATGCAAACATAGAAAAAGTACAATAAAAAATGGTATAAATGACAAAAAAAAAAAACCTGGTACACTTCCTTAGGGAACTTACCATGAATGGAGCTTGTAGGCCTGGAGGTTTCTCTGGACGAGTCAAAGAATGAATGGTGAGTGAACATAAAGGCCTAGGACATTACTGTACCCTACGGTGGACTTTGTAAACACTCTATACTTGGCTACACTATATTTACACAAGTATATTTTTATTTATTGAATAATAAATTAACCTTAGCGTACTGTAACATTTTTACTTTATAAACTTTAAAAATTTTTAAACTTTTGATTTTTTTAGACATCAGTTTAAAATCAAACACATTCTATAGCTGTACAAAAATATTTTTTCTTTATATCTCTATTCTGTAAGCTTTTTTCTGTTTTTTAATTTATTTTTACTTTTCAAACTTTTTTTGTTAAAAGCTAAGACAAAAACCACACACATTAGCCTAAACCTACACAAAATCAGGACCATCACTATCATTGTCTTCACCTCCATATCTTGTCCCACTGAAGGTCTTTAGGGGCAATTACATACATACAGCTGCCGCCTCCTCTGATAACAATGCCTTCTTCTGGAATATGTCCTGAAAGACTCACCTAAGCTATTTTACAGTTAACTTTTTAAATATATCAATAAGAGTACACTATAAAATAACAACAAAAAGTATAATATAGTGAATACATAAACCAGTAACATAGTTGTTTTTTATTATTATCAAGCATTGTGTACCGTACATAATTGTATGTGCTATACTTTCATACAACTGGCAATGCAGTAGGTTTGTTTACACCAGCATCACCACAGACACATGAGTGAAGCACTGTGCTGTAACGTTATGATGGCTACGATGTCACTAGGCTATAGGAATTTTTCTGCTTTGTTATCATCTAATGGAACCACTTTCATATATGTGGTCTATTGTTGACCAAAACATTGTTATGTGGTGCATGACTGTAGGTGTATGTGTGCAAGTGTGTATTTTCTTTGAGGCTTTCTGTTGGATTGGTCTTTTTTTTTTTATTTTCAAATCCACCTATTTCCCTCTACCCTTTTGGGATATTTACATTCTAATTGCTAGGTTCATAGTGATTACAATTAAAGTTTTAATACTCACACTTTACTTATGAAGTGTAAAATTGTGACTACCTTTACATTCCTAATCTAAAATTCCATAGAACATTTTAAGTATGATTTCTTTCTCCGAATATATTATCCTTGCCTGATACTTTAGTACTCAATTTAAATTTTATAACATTTTTCATTAGCTGTTTGAACTTACTTTCTAGAAACTGTATCTTCTGTTGTTTAAAACGTATGCTCTGTTTGTGATTTACTTATAGTCAATCTGCCTCTTTCTTACAGTTGATTTTAAAAGATTTTTTCTTTGTCTTTGATATTCAGAAATTTTTCTACCATGTTATCTGATTTGCTTATTCCTTTCCTTCTGGAAAATTCTCAAGAATTGTCTCTCATTTGTCATCTGTCATCCAATCATTCCCATTCACTCTTTATAAGCTTTATATTCTGAATTAATGTCTCTTATGTTCTCTTTTACAGTTTCCAACTTTTTATTTCTCTGGAGAAATGGTGGTTTCTCTATATCCTCCATTCTCTAGTTCACTAATTCTTTCTTCACATGTGTCTAATCTTCTGTTTAATTTTTTCAAGGGTATATACGTTTTCCTTTTATAAATGTTAAAACAGGTAGTTTTTCAAGTATGCCTGTTGTTTTGTCCAGTCTTTTCTAGTCATTTCAGTGTCATTTTAATTCATTTTTACATCTTTAATAACTTTAAAACATTTAGTGTCACAGCACAGTCTGAAATATCATTGGATGATTTACAGTTCCAGGTGAGCTTATTTTCCTTTTTTTTAAGTTGATTGACTCTTCCTCATGTGGTTCATTTTATCTTGGATTATTGAAGAGTCACTTTAGGGCATTTTTGACTTGACTTCCAGCAGTTTAGCGGTTCTCTAATAAGTTTTTATATTAAAAAATTTGCTTGGCAGTGCTGCATCTGAAGAAATATATAATATCATGTCCCACATCTGTGCATAACACAGACAGGAGATTTGTTTTCCCATGTGTAACATTTTACCTGCTCATGGCTATAGGCAGACAGAAAATTTCCCTTATCTCTTGCAGTTTCTGTGGAGCGTTTCTAGTTCCCTTTTCTGAGATGGGCAGCCCTTTATGGCTCTGAGAATAATGCAGAGGTCTCATTTCCAAATTTCAGTATTGTGCTTCTCAGGGGTTTACATTCAATTACATTACAATTGCCTCTTTTTGTATTCTGTATAGCGGGGTCACCAAGCCTTTAAATTTTACTCACTGTTCTGATAGAGATTTTCTTCTTCATTTTTAGTACTTGGAGATTTTCCACTTTTTCTTTTGAGCTTAACAACAGGTTGCTAAAATATTTTCAACTTTTTGTATGTCATTCAGCATTTCCATATGTTCTTAATGGGGAGGGGTGTTCTATTTTGGGTCAGTCTGCTATTGTGGCAAAGGACCCCATAATCTCTTATGTATGTCTGTTTTGGGAAGCTAAAAATAGGACTTTGAGCCTAGAATAGAACTCTGATTAGAATACCTTTCTCTCTATGCTAGAATGATAACTACAAGTTCCAAAAGGAAGAATAAAGAGAGAAATGTTCTATTGAAAACTTACCACAGTATCATCAGCAACAATGAACAATTCAACATACTTTTCATCATGGATGCCCTGTAAAGTTAGGGAAAATTCAGTTGAAGTATAGTTAACACTTTCTATCTTAACCCTTTAAGTTGGAAAAAAAATCCTAGTATTTTCAAGGTAAGAAATGTTGATATTGATACAAAATGGGGAGGCATATGAATATATAAAAATTGTACGAATTTATCTAAATGAGATCTATACGATTAAACATGGGGTCCTATACATCGGATTTTAGTATTTTCTATTTGTTCTTTTTTTTCTTTTCTTTTTTTTAAATTTAATTTTATTTTTTAATTTCCGAGGTACATGTGCAGGATATGTGGGTTTGTTACATGGGTGAGCATGTGCCACGGTGGTTTGCTGCACCTATCAACCCCATCACCTAGGTATTAAGCCTAGCATGCATTAGCTCTTTTTCCTAATGCTTTGTTTAGGCTTTCAGGTCAAATAAGAGTTGTAAATAATCATAAACACATACTTTAACATTCAGGTTTTTTTTTTTTCATTTACTGAGTAAGTGTTTCATTAGTAAGCTCACGTGAAAAACATCCATCTGTAACTGAGAGTTAAAACATAGTGTGGACCAACAGGACTGACTGCATTTCTTGTACTCCTTCCCCTGCTTCCCAACTTTCTAATTTTCAGTAGTCTCAATTCCAAGCAAACATGTACAAATTTTGCTAATCATAGATCTTTTTTTTAAATTTATTTTTATTTATTTTTCTTTTGAGACAGGGTCTCACTCTGTCGCCCAGAGTCGAGTGCAGTGGTGCAATCTTGGCTCACCGCAACCTTCCACCTCCTGGGTTCAAGGTATTCTTCTGCCTCAGCCTCCCAAGTAGCTGGGATTACAGGCGCACACCACTACTGCCTGGCCAAATTTTGTATTTTTAATAGAGATAGGGTTTCACCATGTTGGTCAGGCTGGTCTCGAATTCTGACCTCAGATGATCGGCCCGCCTCAGCCTCCCAAAGTGTTGGGATTACAGGCATGAGCCACCATGCCTGGCCAATCTTTTATGTCTATAAAACACCAATACCAGGAAATTCTTCTAAGTATTCAGCTTTCAGTGTGCATGCGCTGAGGTATGTACATATTCTCTGAGGACAAAACAGAGGTAAATTGTTCAAAGATTTGGCTAAATCTTTTTCTATGGACTAAGTAATCATTTATTTGTTGATTTATTCAATCAGGAAACATCCATTAGGCATACAGTATGTGTCAGACACTATACAAATCATGGACATACGAAGAAGAAAAACAACCAAGTAGCTTACAGACTAACATCCACTGGGAATTTAAGGGGATATGGATTAGTTGTATAGAAAAGCCTAAAGCTCCAAGGACTACTTTTATACAACCATCCCACCAAAAACTGAACTTGTTTTATCCTTAATCATCCTTAACCATTAAAACATTTGAATGATAAAAAGGGGAGAACATAGCTTGTCATCAATAACTCTGCAAAAAAAAATGGCAGGGAAGAAAAGGAAAGACACTATCTCTAGATTAGGTTTTAGGACATTGAAAATTTCATGATTTCCAACTACTCATAGCCCCAATGTTATCAATCTATACATAGAATTGTAGAATCATCCTTTCTTGAAACTGATTAAACAAACTCTATGAAATAAACACTTTTTACATAGACAAGAAAAAATTTTCCAATTTCAAATATCAGATGAAGTGCCAGACTGAAAGTAGCACATATATTTCAGTAACTGGACTCATACTTTATCCCTAGACATCATCAAGAAAATAAAAGGTGTTTCATTTGGGGTAAAGATAATAATAAAGTACTCACTTTTATTTTGGAGTCTTCTTCAGATTCATTATCCCCTGGAACAGTTTTTCTGGTAAAATTAAGCTCTGTACAGGAATAATTGGCACCATACGGCACCCTCAGGTTATATTTGAACACCAAATGTTCTCCCTCATCTGAGTATTTCACTGGTTCAATGAGGTATCTTTGGTCGTTTATTCTGAAGAATCCCCTGTAGAAATTGGGAACACAATTTGTATTCAAGGCCTATAATTACTCTATTTCATTGTATTGACTTTGCCTTTTCAAGAAAGAGAAACCACAAAGCCAGTGCTTCATGAACAGGTAGGAGAGTGCTTTCAGTGGTAAGGAAATGTGATGATATGAGGCCTTTGACTGAATCAATACTTTTTTCTAAGAGTCAACTTACTAGATTTTCAGAAGTTTCACAGTCCAATATCTGCTTTGAGTACAGGTAGTGTAGCAAGTCCCACTGGTGGTTGTGGACCGCTGTCAAGTCTTAAGAGTTATTGCAAAAATTATGTGAGTTTCTATGTCTATCATGACATGGAATATATATGAAAGTAAATATATGAAAGTAAAAATACTAATATGTGGTAACTGTGTCATTAAAGGGGTTCTCATTCTTGAAAACACTAAGAACTAGTCAAGCAAATTTCCCGTAATTAAAGACAGAACTTCCTTGTTCTTTTCCTCTTTACCTCTCCACATCATCTTTCTTTGTCCATGAGCCTATGATCTATAGAGAACTATAGGCTTTACTTCTGAATTTTTACTTTCAAGAGGCTGCAAACACAGCTCAATTTAGTAAAAAGCTAAAAGAGTCAAGCCTTACGGCATAATGGGAATTCACAAAACTAGCCTTCAAAAGACCTGGGTTTCAGGCTCAATTTTACCACTAGCAAATGGAATATTCAGGAGAAAGCTTCTAATTTCAGTCAGTATCCTGATCTATAAAATGAGAGCCCAGACTAAATGATTTTCAGTAATCTTCCAAATATGAATCCCTTATTCATATACTGCAAAGCTTGTCTTGTTCAGGACTATGCATTAGGCATCTCTTTGTCAAAATGTAAATCATAGGCTACAGCTGAAACTGCTAAAAATGCACAGCAGCTTTTTTCTCATTAATTTTTCTATATACCAGGAGTGATAAAACAAAATCAACAAAGTTAACTTCTTTGAAAATCCATAGGAAAACTCATAAAGGAAAAAGAAAGATATTCTGCATTACCTTAGACCATTACACGTACTGATACTGGCAGCTGAATCATATTCGTGTACTATGGATCCTTGGTAAAAACAATGATCCTAAAATAGAAGAAGACTCTATTACTATATGTATAAATATTGATTTTATATAGATACTAATATCTAAATATTTTCTGTTCAGAATATATCAATGTTTTATTTTGACAAATTGCATTGATATTTGTTCTGCATTCATTCATTAAATTCTTTCATTTGGAAATATTTGAGCCTGCTTCAGAGACATTTTACCTTAATTATGTGATTATGTTGTGTAAAGCAAAGTATAGATTCTTCCTCTACAAATTTAATAGTCTGTTAATGACGACAGTAGTTTTAGAATTGTGACCTTTTCCTTAGAAATATTACTTTTTAATCCACCCTAAAATTTTTACGAAACTAGCCTTTCTCTCCAGCCTCTCTGTTTCAATCAAGTTGGTGTCTTTATTACTCCCTACTTGATGCTCTGCCCATGGTAGTCCAATCAGGTAATTATTTTTCCCATCATTTCCATGTGTTAAAATCCTCCCTATGGATGACACTTTCTGTGGTCTTCCAGGGACCTCACACCCTCACAAATAACCCACCCCCTGCATAAAAGAATGTTACCCAGTTTTCCTCTTGTCCTGTTTTGAAGATTGCATGAAGACTTAGCTCTCATAGAAGTTGACATTTGCTGCTGGGCATGGTAGATTACGCCTGTCATCTCAGCACTTTGGGAGGCCAAGGCGGGTGGATCACAAGGTCAAGAGATCGAGACCATCCTGGCCAACATGGTGAAACCCCGCCTCTACTAAAAATACAAAAATTAGCTGGGCACGGTGGCGTGCGCCTGTAGTCACAGCTACTTGGATGGCTGAGGCAGGAGAATCGCTTGAACCTGGGAGGCGGAGGTTGCAGTGAGCTGAGATTGTGCCGCTGCGCTCCAGCCTGGAGAGATCGAGACCATCCTGGCCAACATGGTGAAACCCCGCCTCTACTAAAAATACAAAAATTAGCTGGGCACGGTGGCATGCGCCTGTAGTCACAGCTACTTGGATGGCTGAGGCAGGAGAATCGCTTGAACCTGGGAGGCGGAGGTTGCAGTGAGCTGAGATTGCACCACTGCGCTCCAGCCTGGCAACAGAGTGAGGCTCTGTTTCAAAACAAAACAAAACAAAGTTCACCATTGCTTTAAATGGAGGAAATACTTTTTTAAATGTATAGGTTTGGTAAAAGTAATGTTCTTGGTAGAAGGTTACAGAGGACATGTTCTGGAAAAAAGCAATGGGGATGTAAAAATAAAATCTGTATCTAGATTTTATTAAAATTAATGGAATAATAATAATAAATGAACAAAAATTCATTTGAGGATTGAAGAAAAGACCTCAACATTGGTGCGTCAGAAAAACCGGGCAAGGGGATGAGAATCACATAAGGATCAATTAATGGAGATTTTAAAGTTGTTTCATAGCTTCAGATTTTATCCGTTTAGCTTGATCACAGCCTCATAAGGTGCCTTATATTTTTGGTGTCCTGCTTTACCCTCTCCTAGACTTAACACCATATTGAGTGTACAGAAATCAGTTTAGGAAAAGCAAAGCTATATTAGCAGTCATTGATTTGCTTGTTAGGCAGTAAGAGGTTAGGGTCCACACAATCGTATTTTTATACTATAATTTTTCAGTGAGAGTAATCAATTCAGAGCTTATTTCTGATGTAGTACTTTCTGAAACAGCTTGTACAGCTAGAACAGGGTTTCAAAATCACATCAGGAAATACTGCTTTTAGAGAAGAGACACAGTAAAGTTCCATAAGATACCATGATCTGAGGATGCCTGGTGAACGCTTCTCCTTTCATGGAGTAGAATGTTTCACTGTAATTTGAGCCTAGGAACTCCCTGAAAAAGAGGGCAGACAGGTGGTGAGATTTGTTCGTTCTAAAAACCTGACAGATAAAACCTATAATGTGATGGAGAAGTGTCCAGTTTGCTTCCAAATCTCAGCAAGATCCTCTTCCGCTAGAAATAGTAAAGCAAAATCAAGCCCACTCATATGAAGAGCCTTTCTACTTAAATATCATGGTTCATAAAGACTGTAGAGAAGCTAGAAAATAGATTCTGGCAGTTTTAGCAAAGCAGTATTTTTAAAATAGCTTGGAGAAAATGTTATCTAAGCAAAAATCAGAGATCAAAATTAATGCAAAAAACATGCATTAATAAATGTGATGAATATGTCTTATATTCATCACATCATAAGATATATGTGGCGAGTACGTCTTAATATATAGTAACCTAACAGCTACATATTTAGATAAAAGTAATATGTATTAATTATAATAAATTCACACTACCCATGCTGTATTTGGAATTGAGCCCAATCTCTCTCCCCCATGGCAAGACCCTACCATTGCAGTGGTCTCTATATCTATAGTGATGGGCCTGAATAAAGCCTGCCTTACAGTGCTTTAACAACTGTCACTGAATAATTTTTTCTTGAACATCTTTTTGGACTACCCATGGCCACTTCTTGATCCCAACCTGAACATAAGAATCTTCTAGAAGTTCTTCAAAACTCAGTGCAAAACACACATCCTGACTCCATCAAGCAGATTTTGAGATCCCTTCATAAGGTGTATTTCACACTTCAAAAGATATTCATTTTCATGTTTGCTACATAATAAAAATGTAGCAAACTTTTTCTGTACAGGTGAAGACAATAAGCATTCGAGGCTATATTGGCCATATATGTGGCTGCTATTACATGTTCTTTGTTTCATTTTTTGTTACTGTTGCTGCTGTTTTTACTCCAAATATTCCAAATTTTGAACATTACTCTTAGATTAAGGGGTATACATTAATAGAAAACATGCCCAATTTGGTGTACCAATTATCATTTGTTCACCCATGATGTATTTCATGTCAGTCTTCAAAGGTTACCTGTGAACTACCATAGGAAAAGGACTTTTCATTTTTATTTATTTGTGTCTTCCAGTTTTTAAGATAGTATTTGGAATATTAGGAGTGGTCAAAAAAATAAATGGTGAACTAATGTTTAAAATGAACTAAATATAGCATTTCATTCCTCCTATGGCTGAATAAGCTACTACTAGACAGACATTCCATGTATAAATATTTAGTTCTGGATAATACATAAAAAGAAAGTACCTCAAGGATCTAGGTACCGAGCAAAAGCAGGCAGACTCTGAAGGGATGTCAGCATCCTTTGGGAAAGGGAAGGAGGCTCAGGGGAGAAGGCACAGCATGAGAGGTGAAGAAGGCACAGCATAAGATGAAGTTTCCAGTTTTACAGCATTTAGCTTGAGGTCAGGCTGAAGTCTGCCTTATAGAGGACGGATAAAACTCTGCTAGAAAACCACAGTTGTTCTTATTTGAAAAGCCATATAACAGAGTTTGGAGTAATCACAGTAACAGGAATGTACACAGTAATCATGGAAAAAAATGAGAGAGCGGGGAGAATCCTCAGTTCTGTAAACAAACTCAGTCTCAAATTCAGAATTTTCCCTGAACTATGACATGTGAAGGATAGATTAAAAGTAGCCATGCTAAGAATAAAACAACTGAACTAAAATTTGATGCCACCCAAAAGACAGAATTTGCCGTTTAAGTCCAACAAAGTTAATCTCCAAATAAAATGAAAATATGAGAACTCTTCAGCAGAACGTAACAGAATTTGGAGTCCATTTCACACAACATTCAGATTGTTCAGTTCATAATTCAAATTTACACAATGAAGAAACATGAAACATTGAACTATCGTCAAGAGAAAAGATGATCAGCAGAGGCTTATCTCAAGTTAATCTAGAAGTTGAAATTACAGATAAGACTTTTAAAGCAGCTACTATAACTATGCTTAGCAAAGTAAAAGAAAGTTATTTGCAATGCATGCAAAAATGTAGAACTGTGGCAGATAAATGGAATTATATTTTTTAAAAACAAATTGAAAATGTTATAGCTAAAAACTACCTAGATAAGTTTTACTTGATATCCTTAAAATAAGAACAAAACTGATAAAAGAGTTGACAAACTCAATGAGAGATTAATAGAAATTACCTAACCTGAAAAAGAGACAGAAAAAAAAGAGCTTCAGAGCTATGTAGATTACATCAAAAGACTAACATACTGATTAAGTGGAGTGCTGGAAAGTGGAGAAAGGGTATCAGAAAAAAAAATGGAAAAGTAGTAGCAAAAAATGAACCCAATTTGGAGAAAGACATGAATTATAATTTCAAGAAGTTCAGAAAACATCAAACAGCATTTACGAGAAGAAAGTCACACCTTTGCACATCACTGTCGGATTGCAGAGTATCAGAAATAAAGACAAAATCTCAAAACCAGCAAGAGAAAGACAACACGACACATACTGGGGAACAGAAATTTGTACAACCATTAACATTCCATTAGAGACTATGTGAGCCAGAAGAGGAGAACATCATCAGTCATCATCTTTTCTTAAAAAAATACAGAAAACCGGCTGGGCGTAGTGGCTCAGCCTGTAATCCGAACACTTTGGGAGGCTGAGGCGGGTGGATCACGAGATCAGGAGATCGAGACCATCCTGGCTAACATGGTGAAACCCCGTCTCCACTAAAAATACCAAAAATTAGCTGGGCGTGGTGGCGGGTGCCTGTAGTCCCAGCTACTCAGGAGACTGAGGCAGGAGAATGGCGTGAACCCAGAAGGTGGAGCATACAGAAAATTGGCGAACCCAGAATTTTATATGCAGCAAAAATAGCCTTCAAGAAGGAAGACAAAGACTTACAGATAAAATAAAACTGAAGTGAATTTTTGCCACAGATCTATGCTACAAAAATTGGTAAAAGTTCTTTAGTCTCAATGAAATTGTAACACATGAAAAAAACTGAACCTGTAACAAAAAGGGAGAGATAAGAAGTGATAAATGAATAAACTAAAACATATTTTCACATAAGATACATATAAATGTTTAAAGCCAAATTATAGTCATGCATCATGGGATATATATATATATATATACACACACACACACACATACATACATATATATACACACATATATATGTGTATATGTATATATATATGGCAACTTTTCACAAATAAGGAGTGTCTGTAAATGAACTTATTGCAATGTTTTTACATTTCACATAAAATGACATGACATTAACTATAACTTAATGATTAATTGTAAATATATGCTGCAATCTCTAAAATGAAAATTAAATCTAATGTAGAGAGTCATTGTTACAAAGTTAAGAGATTAATAAGAAGCCAGCAGGGAAAGTGAAAAATAAAGTAAGCCAAAGATCAAAGGAAAAAGGATAGTAACAGAGGAGATAAACATAAAAGAAATAATTCCAACCATGCCAATCATAACATTTAATGTAATGTTAATAGGAACGGTAACATTAACATTAAATGTTAACCTATTAAAAAATAATAACATTAACATTCAATGTTAATGTTAACATTCCTATTAAAAATCAGAGATTATTAGAAGGCATTAAAAATCAGGACCAAACTAATTTCCATCTTACAAAAGATACATCTTAAATGTAAAGACACAGATATGTTGAAAGGAAATGAATAAAAGAATAGTATCTTATTTATATAGTAAACATAAGGCTGGAATAGCTGTGTTAATATCAGATAACAAACTGCAAAATACACAAATGATTGGCCCAAAGATACATTTTAAAAAAATCAAACAAATCCAAACATTGGTAATTAAATAACATGCTCTAAAATAATTCATGACTCAAAGAAGAAATCCCAGAAGAAATCAAATATTTTGAAATGAATGATAATAAAAAAAATCAAGACTTTTGAGATGTATCTAAATGAAGACTTGAGAGAAATGCTATGACTTCAATATTTTAAATACTTAGAAAATATTAAATATTTCTATAACCAGAGAAAAATAAACACTCAATAAGAATAATAAAGAAAATAATACAAACGATAAAAGACATCAGTGAAATAAATAGACAACCAATTACAATTATTCACAAAGCTAAAGAAAAATCAGGTCAGGTATGATGGCTCACTCTTGTAATCCTGACACTTTGGGAGGCCAAGGCAGGAGAATTGCTTGAGGCCTGGAGTTCGAGGCCAGCCTGGGCAACAAGGCGAAAACCCATCTTTACAAAAAGGTTTTTAAAAAACTAGCCAGGCATGGTGGCACATGGCTTCAGTCTCAGATACTCAGGAGGATGAGGTGGGAGGATGCCTAGAGACTGGGAGGTTGAGGCTGCAATAGCCATGATTGCACCACTGCACTCCAGCCTGGGAAATACAGTAGGACTCTGTCTCAAAAACAAAAACAAAAAATAAAAATAAATAAATAAATAAAAGGTCGACAATTGATAGCCCCTTTTAGATTGATCATATAAGAAGAACCCAAATTACCAATAATAGAAATTTAAAAAGAGTTATCACTAAATAAATTATTACATTTTTAAAAATTATAAGATAATATTATGAAACACTTTATGCCAAAAAAGGGGGCAACTTAAGTGAAATAGACATTTTTTTTTGAAAACTGTAATTTAAAACTGATGCATGATAAAATAGAAACTTTGAATAACCCCTTATAAGTAAACTTGAATTGGTTATAAAACCTCTTTCCTACACATACACACAAATATGCTCAAGGCACATGCAGTTTCCTTTGTAAATTCTGTCAAACACTTTGAAAATAACTTTTTTAAGAAAATACAGGAGAGAATATTTCCCAACTCAGAAGCACAACATAATCTATCATCAAAATTTGACAAATCTATTGCAAAAACTAAAAACACAGAATAGCCATCAGTAACATAATTTCAAAAACCCTTAATAAGATATTGGCAAATTAAATAAAATAATTTATTATAAAATAATATATAAGGTATAATGAACAAAAATCAGTGTACACTGCCATATCGACATTTCAATGGATTCAGACAGAATACTTGCAAAAAACTTTTCAAGGAACTTTAATTTGATAAAGTATATCAATGACAAATCTACAGGTACTGTCATATTAATCATTTAATACTGAACACTTTCCCTTTAAGATCAGGAAAAGTGTAAGGCTGCCCTCACTCATTCCAGTAAAATTGTAATGAAGGTCCTAGCCATTGTCATAAAATAAAGTATAAAAATAAAAGAAAGAATAATCAGAGAGGAAGACAAAACTATCAGTATTTTCAGATGACAAGATGGTAAATTTCCTAGAAGATTTCTAAGTACTCTACAAAACAATCAATAAATTCATTTACTAATGCTTCTCAAATCCAAAGCCTAAATAAAATAATCCATTTTGCTTTTATATTGTAGACACAAATCATAGAAAAATGAAATAATAAAGACAATTCAGCTTATATAACCACCAGAAATAGTAAATATAAAGAAATAAATTTAACAAGACAGGTGAGAGCTCCACATTGAAAACTTTAAAAGATGTTGATAAACATTAAAGTAGATGAGTTATAACGTGAATACTCAACACTGCTGAGATGTCAGTTCTCTCCAAACTTATCTATAGAGTCAGTAAGTTAAAATGAAATTCAGTAAAATTGCAGCGGGCCTTTTAATAGAAATTGCCAGGGTGACTCTAAGTTTTATATAGAAATGCAAAGGACCTAGAATAAATAAACAATTCTGATTAGAAGAGTTACACATTGTGCCTTCAAAGTATACTAAAAAGCTGCAGTAATCAAGGCAGTTTGGCCATGGCTTACAGACTGTAAATAGATGAATAAGATAGAATAGAGAGCCAAGAAATAGTCATTTGATTTTGGCCGAAGGTGCCAAAGTAATCCAATAGCACCAGAAAGACAATTCATCAAAATGGACTGGAATAATTGCCTATAAATAGGGAAAAACAAGAATATTGACTTCTCCAGCAAATTACACACACACACACACACACACACACACTCACACACATATGCACATACACAAATTTAAGGTCATAACAGACCAAAACTAAAAGCTAAAACTATGAAGAGCTTAGAAGCAAACATACAATATATTTGTGATTTGCAGTTAGGCAATTTTTCTTAGGTCCTAGAAAATGATGACCATAAAGAAAGAAACTGATAAATTAAAATTTATTTAAAATTATAAATTTTTACTTGTTAAAAGACACAATTTTTAGAAATGAATTAAAAGGTCACAGACAGGAACAAACATAACAAGAACTATATTTGACTAAGGGCTGGTCTCCAAATTATACAGTGGCTCATGCCTGTAATCCTATCACTATGGGAGGCCAAGGCGGGTGGATTGCCTGAGCTTAGGAGTTCAAGACCAGCCTGCCCAACACGGTGAAACCCCATCTCTACTAAAATACAAAAAATTTGCCAGTCATGGTGGTGGATGCCTGCAGTCCCAGCTACTGGGGAGGCTGAGGCACAAGAATCATTTGAGCCCAGGAGGCAGAGGTTGCAGTGAGCCAAGATCGTGCCACTCTACTCCAGCCTAGATGACAGAGTGAGGAAAAAAAAATCTCCTCGAACTCAATAATAACAGGACAAACAATCCAATAAAAATGGGTAAATATTTAAAGATTAAAAAGATATACAAATGATCAAATAAGCACATAAAGTTTTCAACAGGAAACATAACATTTAATAATAGTTAAATATTACAACTAGTATAGCTAAAATTTTTTAAAGTGACAGTATAAAATGATGAGGAATACATACAGCAGGTAGTATTCTCATACATTGCTGGTAGTTACTAAAATTTGACAAACACCTTGGAAAAGAATCTGTCAGATTTCTATAAATCTAAACATATACATATCCTGTGACTCAGGAATATCACTCCTTGGTGTTTACCAAAGAGAAATGAAAACATATGTTTATAAAAAGGCTGTACATGAACACTCATAGAAGCTTTACTAATGATAGCCAAACACTGAAAACAGCCCACATGTCTATCAATAGGAGAGTGGATGAACGAACTGCAGTATATTTATTCAACAGAATACTGCAAGAAAATAAAGAAAGCAAACCTCTGATAAATGCAGCAGCATGAATGAATCTCAATATCAGTATGCTAAATTTTAAAAGTCTTACACAAAAGAGTACATGTAGTGTGATTCTTGTGTTAAAAATTTCCAGAATGGACAAATGTAATCTACGGCAAAAAAAAAAAAAAAAAATTCCCAGGACAGATTTTTAGAGGAGGTGACTCAGGAGAAGCATGAAGAACTTTTCTGAGTGTTAGTTCTGTATTTTTATAGGAGTTTTATAGATATGTGCATTTGCCAGAGCTCAATGGATGGACCCAGCAATTCCACTTGTGGGTGTTTACGTAAAAGATTTGGAATCACTATGTGGGAAAGATGTCTCCTCCCCCATATTCATTGCAACACTATTCACAATAGCCAAATTATGGAATCAACCTAGGCGTCCATCGACAGATGAATAGATAAAGAGAATATGGTAAAGATACACAATGGAATAATGTTCGGCCTTAAAATAGAGGAAAATTCTGTCATTTATGACAACATGTGTGGAATTGGAGAACATTATGCCAAATGAAAAAAGCCAGGCACAGGAAGACAAATACTGCATAATCTCATTTATATGTGGAATCTAGAAAAATTGAACTCATAGAAGCAGAGAATAAAATGGTGGTCACCAGTGACTGGAGCTGTAGGAAAAATGTGGAGATGATGGTCAAAGGGTACAAAGCCCAAGTTACATGGGATGAGTAAGTTAGTTTGAGTTTTACTGGGATCTGTTGCACCGCATGGTGAATTTACTTAATAATAGTGAGAGTAAATAATCTTAGAGAGTAAATTTCAAGTGTTTGCACCACAAAAAAAAAAATAAGTAGTTGAGGTGATAGATATGTTAATTAGCTTGATTTAATTATTACACATTGTATTCATGAATCATAACATCACTTTGGCCCCATAAATATATACAATCATAGTTTGTCAAATTACAATAAGTGAATACATGCATGCATACATACATACATACATAAAATTCAACAAATATGTAGATGGACATTTAAAATTTGTGCATTTCATTTTATGAAAATGTTATACAAAGAAAAAATTCAGTGTAAACCTATATTAGGCTGGGTGCAGTGGTGCATGCCTGTAATCCTAGCACTTTGGGAGGCCAAGGCAGGAGGACTGCTTGAACCTAAGAGTTTCAGACCAGCCTGGATAACAGGGTGAAACACCATCTCTGCAAACAATACAATTAGCTGGGTGTGGTGGCATGTGCCTGTAGTTCCAGCTAGTTGAGAGGCTGAGGTGGGAGGATCACCTGAGCCCAGGAGGTTGAGATCAAGGCTACAGTGAGCCATGACTGTGCCACTGCACTCTAGCCTGGGTGACAGAGTGAGGCTGTGTCTCAAAACAAACAAAAACAAATACTAAACTCTAATGCTAACCTTGTTCATGTATTGAGGGGAAAGTAAACTGATGTCTGTAATATAATTTAAAATGCATAAAAATAACATGGAGGATGAATGGATTGATGGATGAATGGATAGATGAGAAAGATGATATAAAACAGAAATAGTAAAATATTAGTGAATATGTGTAACTTAATGGATCTATGGGTATATGTATATGTTAGCGGGTATATGGATTTTTTTCAATTCTGCTCTGTGTGTTAAAATTTTATCATAGTAAACTTTTTGGGAACATTAACTAGATGCAACAGGTAAATAGAATATAATTATTTTGTGGTTGTTTTGAAATAGCATATATAAAATATATAATAAACTGCTTGGTTGTATAGTAGATTCTAAATTAATATTTCTGGTGACTCATACGCACATACAAATAAAACTCTTCATCTATTAATAGATTTATTATAGCGAACAGAAAATTGACCCAATCAACGTTTCCACAGAATGAATGTACAATCTGATTTAACATTGTTGTCCTAGAAAGATTCATCGCTATTTCTCAACATGAGTTTATAAAATAAGTATTTATTATTATTAAAACCAAGCTGAGGGGGAGGGCAGCCAAGATGGACGAATAGGAACAGCTCCGGTCTACAGCTCCCAGCGTGAGCGATGCAGAAGACGGGTGATTTCTGCATTTCCATCTGAGGTACCGGGTTCATCTCACTAGGGAGTGCCAGACAGTGGGCGCAGGACAGTGGGTGCAGCGCACCGTGCACGAGCAGAAGCAGGGCGAGGCATTGCCTCACCCCGGGAAGCGCAAGGGATCAGGGAGTTCCCTTTCCTAGTCAAAGAAAGGGGTGACAGATGGCACCTGCAAAATCGGGTCACTCCCACCCTAATACTGCACTTTTCCGACGGGCTTAAAAAATGGCGCACCAGGAGATTATATCCCGCACCTGGCTCGGAGGGTCTTACGCCCATGGAGTCTTGCTGATTGCTAGCACAGCAGTCTGAGATCAAACTGCAAGGCGGCAGCGAGGCTGGGGGAGGGGCGCCCGCCATTGCCCAGGCTTGCTTAGGTAAACAAAGCAGCCAGGAAGCTCGAACTGGGTGGAGCCCACCACAGCTCAAGGAGACCGGCCTGCCTCTGTAGGCTCCACCTCTGGGGGCAGGGCACAGACAAACAAAAAGACAGCAGTAACCTCTGCAGACTTAAATGTCCCTGTCTGACAGCTTTAAAGAGAGCAGTGGTTCTCCCAGCATGCAGCTGGAGATCTGAGAATGGGCAGACTGCCTCCTCGAGTGGGTCCCTGACCCCTGACCCCTGAGCAGCCTAACTGGGAGGCACCCCCCAGTAGGGGCAGACTGACATCTCACACAGCCGGGTACTCCTCTGAGACAAAACTTCCAGAGGAATGATCAGACAGCAGCATTCGCGGTTCACAAAAGTCCGCTGTTCTGCAGCCACTGCTGCGGATACCCAGGCAAACAGGTCTGGAGTGGACCTCTAGCAAACACCAACAGACCTGCAGCTGAGGGTCCTGTCTGTTAGAAGGAAAACTAACAAACAGAAAGGACATCCACACCAAAAACCCATCTGTACATCACCATCATCAGAGACCAAAAGTAGATAAAACCACAAAGATGGAGAAAAAACAGAGCAGAAAAACTGGAAACTCTATAAAGGAGAGCGCCTCTCCTCCTCCAAAGGAACGCAGTTCCTCACCAGCAACGGAATAAAGCTGAATGGAGAATGACTTTGACGAGGTGAGAGAAGAAGGCTTCAGACGATCAAACTACTCCGAGCTACAGGAGGAAATTCAAACCAAAGGCAAAGAAGTTAAAAACTTTGAAAAAAATTTAGATGAGTGTACAACTAGAATAACCAATACAGAGAAGTGCTTAAAGGAGCTGATGGAGCTGAAAGCCAAGGCTCGAGAACTACGTGAAGAATGCAGAAGCCTCAGGAGCCGATGTGATCAATTGGAAGAAAGGGTATCAGTGATGGAAGATGAAATGAATGAAATGAAGCGAGAAGGGAAGTTTAGAGAAAAAAGAATAAAAAGAAATGAGCAAAGCCTCCAAGAAATATGGGACTATGTGAAAAGACCAAATCTACGTCTGATTGGTGTACCTGAAACTGATGGGGAGAATGGAACCAAGTTGGAAAACACTCTGCAAGATATTATCCAGGAGAACTTCCCCAATCTAGCAAGGCAGGCCAACATTCAGATTCAGGAAATACAGAGAATGCCACAAAGATACTCCTCGAGAAGAGCAACTCCAACACACATAATTGTCAGATTCACCAAAGTTGAAATGAAGGAAAAAATGTTAAGGGCAGCCAGAGAGAAAGGTCGGGTTACCCTCAAAGGGAAGCCCATCAGACTAACAGCAGATCTCTCGGCAGAAACCCTACAAGCCAGAAGAGAGTGGGG
Organism: Homo sapiens; assembly: GCF_000001405.40. NCBI lineage: Eukaryota > Metazoa > Chordata > Mammalia > Primates > Hominidae > Homo > Homo sapiens. The sequence continues at coordinate 24,452,977 of NC_000008.11, read as the reverse complement.
GCCAATATTCAACATTCTTAAAGAAAAGAATTTTCAACCCAGAATTTCATATCCAGCCAAACTAAGCTTCATAAGTGAAGGAGAAATAAAATCCTTTACAGACAAGCAAATGCTGAGAGATTTTGTCACCACCAGGCCTGCCCTACAAGAGCTCCTGAAGGAAGCACGAAACATGGAAAGGAACAACTGGTACCAGCCACTGCAAAATCATGCCAAATTGTAAAGACCATCGAGGCTAGGAAGAAACTGCATCAACTAACCAGCAAAATAACCAGCTAACATCATAATGACAGGATCAAATTCACACATAACAATATTAACTTTAAATGTAAATGGACTAAATGCTCCAATTAAAAGACACAGACTGGCAAATTGGATAAAGAGTCAAGACCCATCAGTGTGCTGTATTCAGGAAACCCATCTCACGTGCAGAGACACACATAGGCTCAAAATAAAAGGATAGAGGAAGATCTACCAAACAAACGGAAAACAAAAAAAGGCAGGGGTTGCAATCCTAGTCTCTGATAAAACAGACTGTAAACCAACAAAGATCAAAAGAGACAAAGAAGGCCATTACATAATGGTAAAGGGATCAATTCAACAAGAAGAGCTAACTATCCTAAATATATATGCACCCAATACAGGAGCACCCAGATTCGTAAAGCAAGTCCTGAGTGACCTGCAAAGAGACTTAGACTCCCACACAATAATAATGGGAGACTTTAACACCCCACTGTCAACATTAGACAGATCAACGAGACAGAAAGTTAACAAGGATACCCAGGAATTGAACTCAGCTCTGCACCAAGTGGACCTAACAGACATCTACAGAACTCTCCACCCCAAATCAACAGAATATACATTTTTTTCAGCACCACACCACACCTATTCCAAAATTGACCACATAGTTGGAAGTAAAGCTCTCCTCAGCAAATGTAAAAGAACAGAAATTGCAACAAACTGTCTCTCAGACCACAGTGCAATCAAACTAGAACTCAGGATTAAGAAACTCACTCAAAACCGCTCAACTACATGGAAACTGAACAACCTGCTCCTGAATGACTACTGGGTACATAATGAAATGAAGGCAGAAATAAAGATGTTCTTTGAAACCAACGAGAACAAAGACACAACATACCAGAATCTCTGGGACGCATTCAAAGCAGTGTGTAGAGGGAAATTTATAGCACTAAATGCCCACAAGAGAAAGCAGGAAAGATCCAAAATTGACACCCTAACATCACAATTAAAAGAACTAGAAAAGCAAGAGCAAACACAGTCAAAAGCTAGCAGAAGGCAAGAAATAACTAAAATCAGAGCAGAACTGAAGGAAATAGAGACACAAAAAACCCTTCAAAAAATTAATGAATCCAGGAGCTGGTTTTTTGAAAGGATCAACAAAATTGTTAGACCACTAGCAAGACTAATAAAGAAGAAACGAGAGAAGAATCAAATAGACGCAATAAAAAATGATAAAGGGGTTATCACCACCGATCCCAAAGAAATACAAACTACCATCAGAGAATACTACAAACACCTCTACGCAAATAAACTAGAAAATCTAGAAGAAATGGGTAAATTCCTTGACACATAACCCTCCCAAGACTAAACCAGGAAGAAGTCAAATCTCTGAATAGACCAATAACAGGCTCTGAAATTGTGGCAATAATCAATAGCTTACCAACCAAAAAGAGTCGAGGACCAGATGGATTCACAGCCGAATTCTACCAGAGGTACAAGGAGGAACTGGTACCATTCCTTCTGAAACTATTCCAATCAATAGAAAAAGAGGGAATCCTCCCTAACTCATTTTATGAGGCCAGCATCATTCTGATACCAAAGCCTGGCAGAGACACAACCAAAAAAGAGAATTTTAGACCAATATCCTTGATGAACATTGATGCAAAAATCCTCAATAAAATGCTGGCAAACCGAATCCAGCAGCACATCAAAAAGCTTATCCACCATGATCAAGTGGGCTTCATCCCTGGGATGCAAGGCTGGTTCAATATACGCAAATCAATAAATGTAATCTAGCATATAAACAGAACCAAAGATGAAAACCACATGATTATCTCAATAGATGCAGAAAAGGCCTCTGACAAAATTCAACAACCCTTCATGCTAAAAACTCTCAATACATTAGGTATTGATGGGATGTATCTCAAAATAATAAGAGCTATCCATGACAAACCCACAGCCAATATCATACTGAATGGGCAAAAACTGGAAGCATTCCCTTTGAAAACTGGCACAAGACAGGGATGCCCTCTCTCACCACTCCTATTCAACATAGTGTTGGAAGTTCTGGCCAGGGCAATTAGGCAGGAGAAGGAAATAAAGGGTATTCAATTAGGAAAGAGGAAGTCAAATTGTCCCTGTTTGCAGACTACACGATTGTATATCTAGAAAACCCCATTGTCTCAGCCCAAAATCTCCTTAAGCTGATAAGCAACTTCAGCAAAGTCTCAGGATACAAAATCAATGTACAAAAATCACAAGCATTCTTATACACCAATAACAGACAAACAGAGAGCCAAATCATGAGTGAACTCCCATTCACAAATGCTTCAAAGAGAATAAAATACCTAGGAATCCAACTTACAAGGGACGTGAAGGACCTCTTCAAGGAGAACTACAAACTATTGCTCAGTGAAATAAAAGAGGATACAAAGAAATGGAAGAACATTCCATGCTCATGGGTAGGAAGAATCAATATCGTGAAAATGGCCATACTGCCCAAGGTAACTTACAGATTCAATGCCATCCCCATCAAGCTACCAATGACTTTCTTCACAGAATTGGAAAAAACTACTTTAAAGTTGATATGGAACCAAAAAAGAGCCCGCATCGCCAAGTCAATCCTAAGCCAAAAGAACAAAGCTGGAGGCATCATGCTACCTGACTTCAAACTACACTACAAGGCTACAGTAACCAAAACAGCATGGTACTCATACCAAAACAGAGATATAGATCAATGGAACAAAACAGAGCCCTCAGAAATAAGGCCACATATCTACAACTATCTGGTCTTTGACAAACCTGAGAAAAACAAGCAATGGGGAAAGGATTCCCTATTTAATAAATGGTGCTGGGAAAACTGGCTAGCCATATGTAGAAAGCTGAAACTGGATCTCTTCTTTACACCTTATACAAAAATTAATTCAGGATGGATTAAAGACTTAAACTTTAGACCTAAAGCCATAAAAACCCTAGAAGAAAACCTAGGCATTACCATTCAGGACATAGGCATGGGCAAGGACTTCATGTCTAAAACACCAAAAGCAATGGCAACAAAAGCCAAAATTGACAAATGGGATCTAATTAAACTAAAGAGCTTCTGCACAGCAAAAGAAACTACTATCAGAGTGAACAGGCAACCTACAAAATGGGAGAAAATTTTCGCAACCTGCATATCTGACAAAGGGCTAATATCCAGAATCTACAATGAACTCAAACAAATTTACAAGAAAAAAACAACCCCATCAAAAAGTGGGCTAAGGCCATGAACAGACACTTCTCAAAAGAAGATATTTATGCAGCCAAAAAACACATGAAAAAATGCTCACCGTCACTGGCCATCAGAGAAATGCAAATCAAAACCACAATGAGCTATCATCTCACACCAGTTAGAATGGCAATCATTAAAAAGTCAGGAAACAACAGGTGCTGGAGAGGATGTGGAGAAACAGGAACACTTTTACATTGTTGGTGGGACTGTAAACTAGTTCAACCATTGTGGAAGTCAGTGTGGCAATTCCTCAGGGATCTGGAACTAGAAATACCATTTGACCGAGCCATCCCATTACTGGGTATATACCCAAAGGACTATAAATCATGCTGCTATAAAGACACAGGCACAAGTATGTTTATTGCGGCTCTATTCACAATAGCAAAGACTTGGAACCAACCCACATGTCCAACAATAATAGACTGGATTAAGAAAATGTGGCACATATACACCATGGAATACTATGCAGCCATAAAAAAGGATGAGTTCATGTTCTTTGTAGGGACATGGATGAAATTGGAAATCATCATTCTCAGTAAACTATCGCAAGAACAAAAATGCAAACACCGCATATTCTCACTCACAGGTGGGAATTGAACAATGAGAACACATGGACACAGGAAGGGGAACATCACACACTGGGGACTGTTGTGGGGTTGGGGGAGGGATAGCATTAGGAGATATACCTAATGCTAAATGACGAGTTAATGGGTGCAGCACACCACCATGGCCCATGTAAACTAACCTGCACATTGTGCACATGTACCCTAAAACTTAAAGTATAATAATAATAATAATAATAATAATAAACAAGCTGAATGAAACTTAGAGGGGAAATGTTGAAAAGTGTGGTCATGGAGAGAAAGACAAATAGAAATCTAAATTAATAAGATCAGTTTCTGTTTGTTACTGTATTACAAAAACATCCAATCACATAATATTCACAGATTTAGAGGCTCTGTGGTATGCACTAAATTCATTTACTTTGTAGAACTGAGGGAATGAGGCAGTGTTGCCTATTACAGATGTTGAAATTAGATTAAACTGCTCTCTGTGTGTACAATTCACTAACATGCCACTACAGGCTGATTAGCAGAATTACGCAGTGGCTAATACAATGAAATTGACTCAGAGGCCTAGGCAGCCTGGGGTAATTGTGAAGGTAACTTGGAACTCTTCAGTCAGACCATCTGCATCATCATGTGCTTATGAGTATTGTGACCCTGGACAAGTTATCTTTTCATTGTACCTATAATTCTTCCTCAGCAAAGTGTAAATTAAACAATATCTGTCTCATATACATTTTTCAGGAATTAAAAAGTAACAGAGATAGAAATCTCTCAATAAATCTTTGCTTCTTTCATGCTGAGAAGGTGAAAATATGCAGAGTCTAAATGTATTATCAATATGGTTATGGGATTATGTTTATTATTCGGCACATTTGTCTGGTGACGGATTCAGAATAGAGGGAGGGTTTGGGATTGTGTGTGTGTGTGTGTGTGTGTGTGTGTGTGTGTGTGTGTGTGTGTTTTGTTATTTACTTTTAGCTAATAGACCAAAGTCTCAATTCCCCAGTAGTGTCACTCTTTCTTTCTGCTTAGCATTTGACAGCTCCTCATCCTTTTAATATCTGGGGCTCTGAGACAGAGCTATTTTGTGTAGAAATGGCCCAGTGGAAAAACAATGAAACTTAAACAGCGGCAACAATAGACATTCTTTTGAAGAAAGCCAATGAAGAAAGTTATAGACATTGCAATTACACTATTTGGTTACACAAGATGTCTTGACGAAGCAAATGCGCTACATTTCTTAGTTTACTCTGCAATGGAACTTGATTTGATATCTAGTTTACACAACTTAGAAGTCATTTTAAAAACCATGTTTTTCACATCTCTTTTGTTCCACTGATTCCCAACACAGTAATGTATCAACCCTGTTCTTAGAGTGACTATATGGAGCTCAAAAAACTGCAAGTATTCAAAGTAGGGAGTTATTTAGGAACGGGAGAACAGTGGCATCTGTGATTGTCTTTAAGCTTTTGAGATGTGATTGGCTTACACATGAAGAGCTTTTATTTGAAGAGGAAAAATTCAGATTACGTGCAAATAAAAATTGAGGAATCCTCTTCACTGGCAGTTTTTACGAAAATTGGCTTACCATAATTACTAAAATCTATAAGGTACTGGAATCACAATAGAACTTACCTGGATCTTAGAAGATGAAGGACTAAGGTTTTTCTATTTAGTTTTATTTCATACAACAATTCTTCTTCATACGTTTTCTAAAAAAGAAGAGGCATCACGTGACTTCAACATGGGCTCATTTAGTGTGTTCTGGAGCAAGTAGTGCTTTGGGTGAATGTTCCCTATCTCCAATCCACCCAGCAGTCCTTTCAGCCAAAATGCAAAATACTGATAAAGATGAATTGAAAGAGAGCTAATATTAGAAGGAAGATTTTACAAACCTCATTCTAGTTATATTTTAGAACTAGATTTCTTCTAGTTATATTAGAATAAAATATAAATATAGTTATTCTTTTATATTATAGTTTATATTATTAGTTATATTACAACTATTTATATTATAACATAGCATGTTATAATATAGTTTAATATAATATAATATAGCATATTATATATAGTTTCTAGTTATACAATTAAATGGAAAATGCAGATTCTCTCCTCATCCAAGGATACACCATTTACCATATGTCCATGTAGCAGCTCTATACACAGATATCCTGTTCACGCATTTTTAAAGCGATTTTTATACATACTGTTTTTTCGTCTACTTTGCACTCAATGATAAATCATGACTATTTCCTATTTTAATAAATTTTTTATAGTATGTGTCTTTAGGCAGCTAAGCACAATGTGAGTGAAACTTCATTTATTTAATCTATATTTACTATGAGAAATTTGGTTTGGGGTATTCCCTGTCGTTGGACAGAGCTGCATTTTCAATGACATGAAAAAAAATGTAAAGCTTTTATAACTATTGCCAAACTATCATGAAGAAAGGAAGTGGTCATGTTTAGAACCTCACCATCAATTTATAGCAGTTTCTGTTTCCTTGCCTTCTTACCAATAATAGATATTATGATTAATACAAATATTTTAAACAATGAAATGATGACTTATTGTGATAAATTGTTTTCCTGGATGATCATTCACATCAATATTTTTCCTTTATTTATTTAGTTATTTGTAGTTTTCATATGGATTCTGATTCATGCCCTTTCACCAGTTTCTTTTGTGGTATTTTATTTCTTCATGCTTCTTAAAAATTCTCTATAATTTAAGATTCACAGTTGTTGGTCATACATGTTGCACATTACTTTGAGATGACTGTTCATTCATTTATTCAATGACTACTATTTCAGGCACAGAGATAATATGGAAAATACAATGGTGTAGACGGTGGAGGTCTCTGCCCTCATGGAAGTCCCTGCTTGGCAGAGAAAAACACTGGATAACCAAGCACACATAGTGGAGTGTAATGAGCATCATAATAGGAGAAATGCAAGGACTGTGCCAGGGATATTACAAGGAGAAGTCAGGGGCAGGGAACAGCACATGCCAAGGCTCTGAGCCAGGAAGGAACATGACACATTTGAAGAACAGACAGAGGTTCAATATTACTGGAAAATCAGGTGTAAGTTGAATAGAAATGAAATGACAAAGTGGGAAGGAGTAAATCATGTTCAACCTAGTAAGTCAAAGATTTGGGCCTTATCCTATGAACAAAGAGAAGCAAAATATCTAGGCAGAAACATGCCATAGCAAGCATGGTGTTTTAGTACTTTACTTCTTGTAGATAATGGATTAGCAAAACTCAGTACTATAGCCAGGAAAACCATTTAAGGCTGTTGATGAATGCAGATGATTTGAGCAGAGGAGTAAGCAGTAGATAACTTTAAAAGACATTTACATGCTAGAATCTACAAGCCTCAGTGATAGTCAGATGGAGTAAGAGAGAGTAGTCAAGACTAAGCCCAGATTTCTGATTTGTTTAACTTGTAGAGCTGTGCTACTATAGCAAGGAGGATCTGAAGAGGGTCAGCTATGAGGTTGGGAAGGAGAGTTTTGTGTTTATTCAATGTTAAGTGTGCATTAGTTAAGGTTGTTTTGACTGCAAGTTGAACAATAAAATTACAGCTTTATCATAAAGACACAGAATCCCCACGTGGGAGGCCAAGAAACTAGGGTGGGTACTTAATCAGATAGAAAGGGTTTGGTCACATTTTGCAACATGATGAGTTGTATGTGTAGAGGTGTGTATGTGTGTGTGTCTGCATGTATGTGTACATGCATGTATGGGTGTAATGGTGGCAATGGAACTTTTTTGGAAATTCAGATATGGATTTTATATTAACAAATATTAGAAGATTTTTAATATTGTCAATATTGTTAATAGGATATTTTAAATTGTGTCATTAATACTGTTTTTAATAACAATTTGGTTTTTAATTTTTATTTTGGAATCATTTTAGATTTACAGAAAAGTTGGAAAGATAGTACAGAGTTTCCATATACTCTGCACTCAGGTTTCCCTGTTTATTAGCATCTGACATTACTATAGTCTATTTGTCACAACGAATAAGCCCAGATTCATAAACTACTATTAATTATAGTTATTCAGGTCTTCTTAGTTTTTCCCTGATGTGCTTTAACTCTTTCAGGATCTGATCCCAGATTCCACACTACGTTTAGTTGTCAGGTCTCCTTAGCCTCCTGAAGTCTCACAGTTTCTCAGGTTTTTTCGTTTTTTTGTGTTTTTTTTTTTACGATCTGGACCTTTATGGGGAGTATCTGTCAAGCATTTTGTAGGGCGTCTTACAATTTGTTTTTGTTCTGATATTTTTCTCATGCTTAGACTGATGTTACAGATTTTGAGGTGAGAGCCATAATAGAAAATGCCATTTTATTACACCCTACTAGCCACAGGACTTAGCAAGTGTTAAACCTGATCACGTGGCTGAGGTGGTGTTTTCATCTTTCTCTCTGTAAAATGACTCTTTCCCCCCTTCAGTATGGTACTTCCTGGAAGGAAGTCACAATCTACAACCCACACTTAATGGGTGGGGATTTAGGTTCCACCCCCTGGAGAGGACAGCATCTACATAAATTATTTGATTCCTCTCCCAGAAGAAGTGTCCATTTTTTCAATTTATTTATTTAATTTATTTATTTATTTATTATATATTATTTATTCAGTCATTTATTTATATCAGTATGGGCTCATGATATTTATTTACACTTCATGTCATAATACAAAGCTGTTATTTATTTTGTTCTTCACATTATCCCAGCTTTGGCCATCGGGAGCTCTTTCTGTTGGCTTCTGAATTCTTTTGACAAGACCCCTTCAATGTGGTTTGAATTTTGTTTTGTCTGTTTGAGCATATTCTGGTATACAAGAAGCTTTAGGTTCATTGTTTATATTCCTTGCCCTTATCCAAGCTTATCTGGTATATTCATAATGATATTTTTATTTTATTTTATTTTATTTTATTTTATTTTATTTTTATTTTTTGAGAGAGTCTTGCTCTGTTGCCCAGGCTGGAGCACAGTGGCATGATCTTGGCTCACTGCAACCTCTGCCTCCTGGGTTCAAGCGATTCACCTCAGCCTCCGGAGTAGCTGGGATTACAGGTGCACACCACCATGCCTGGCTAATTTTTGTATTTTTAGTAGAGATGGGGTTTCACCATGTTGGCCAGGCTGGTCTTGAACTCCTGGCCTCACGTGATCTGCCCTCCTCGGCCTCCCAAAGTGCTGGGGTTACAGGCATGAGCCACTGCACCCAGCCATAATGAGATTTTTAACATCAGTCTTGATTAAGTCTTAGGACAGTAGTCGTGAGAAGACGCCACCAGTGTATGCACAGTGGGTGGTAGAAAGCTGGTGAAAGCCCCCTTAGCTGAGTACCAATCTTCAGCCAAGACAAAGTCTGAGAAAGTGAGAATAGAGTCGCATATTAAAGAGAATCGTTGAACAAAATAGTTACATATTACTTCCAAACGGGAGGAGACGGAGAGTTGCTTTTTATTTTAATCATCTCAAGCCATAGGAAACAGATCTCAGTGGGACTGTTTAGAAAAGTGAAGTGTATCTAATTTATGACTGAGAAACCTAACAAGTGAGAACTTGAAAAACTGGCTGCTCTAATGGTGGACAGAAGAAATTCATTGGGAAGGGTTTGGATTTCCATAGTACGTTTGGGCAACGTGCCTGTCAGTATTCTCTATGAGCCCAATTAAAACCTAAGGCTTAAAAATCAAGTGCCTAATGATAAATACCTAAGGACATTCATCTAATGTCTTTTATAACAGTGGAAATTGAAAACATCTTAATTTTCAAGCCTGTTCCCTCTTACATATATTATCTATTTTCTATAATAAGCATTCGTTACTTTTGAAAGTAATCTTTCAAGTTTTTATTTAATTGTTAATATCTGAATAAATACCCTTCTGAGCAACAGACCAAGCAGGCCTTTGAGTTCCTCTGAAAGTTGCACATCTTTGCTGCAGACTCTATAAACAAAAACCTTGCATACCAGACCTCTGGGAAAGTAACATGCTCAAGATGACATTCACCAGGCACCGGCTCAGAACAAATGAGGTTGTTATAAGTCAGCCTGAAAGCTGTTGGTGGAACTCCATAAACTGGAAAATTTAGAATGGTATTCCCTAAACCCAGGCTTTACTCTTTTCTGTTTTCTAACCCATTGAGGGGTTGCTTATTCCCAAGCACATGGTGTATGCCGAATGGGAGTCCTTAGAAAAATTGAAACTCCTCTCTCCCTATTTGCTTCTGGTTGGAGCTAGAGACAACTGTCTACATGCCTGTGAAAGCAACAAATCTTATTTACTAAATCAAAACTTGTACCAGTATGTCATCATCATGGGTGTGTCCAGTATCTCGCTTCTGTATCAGAGGAAGCTTTTTAGGACGAACCAGTTGTTGACCCTCTACTCCAAGGATGAACTTTTCTACGAGGAAACATAAGAGGAAAAAATCCGTCTGACATTAACATTCGTCTACAGCGGCTGAAAAACAGAATTGTTCTAATACAGTTCATTTGCCCCCAGTTAGCAGCCATGGACAGCAACACTATGAAATGTTATTCCCACTTTACTGGCAAGGAAATTGACACTGATATTTACAAATCAGGAGAATATAAGGAAACTTGGAAAGGAGCCAAAGAAATCAGTGTCCCTCCATTTCCTCCATATTTTCGCCATGTTCTGCAGCTGTAATTTTATTTTTTGTTTCATTTATTTATTTTTTTGAGACAGAGTCTCGCTCTGTCAGCCAGGCTGGAGTGTAGTGGCGTGATCTCGGCTCACTGCAACCTCCGCCTCCCCGGTTCAAGCGATTCTTCCACCTCAGCCTCCCAAGTAGCTGGGATTACAAGTGCACACCACCATGCCTGGCTAATTTTTGTATTTTTAGTAGAGACGGGGTTTCACCATGTTGGCCAGGCTAGTCTCAAACTCCTGACCTCAGGTGATCCACCTGCCTCAGCCTCCCAAAGTGCTGGGATTACAGGCATGAGCCACCATGTCTGGCCTGCAGTTGTCGTTTTGTTATCCTCATGCCAACCTCTGGATTTTGTCTCCTGTCAAAGCCTGCACTGTTGTCCTGTTTGAATGTAAATTACTGAATTTGGTCTTCCAGGGATGTTTGCATTTAAAGTCTTACCTTTCGTAGTTAAGTATAAGACCTTTACCTGTTAAAGAATTTTGGGTAGCCCTGCATCAGTGCCAACCATAATCTTCTATTCATGTCCTATCACCTTGATAGTCATCTGTGAGATGAGCCCTGCTTAATTAAGGTGTGATACTTAAAGAGCAATAAAAAGGAGAGGGCATGGGGTTTCTGGAATATGCTCTGATTTGAATCAAGCCTTTACCAATTTATTGTGTGGCCAGCAGTAGCATATTTAATTTCTCTGATCTGTAAATAGTCTCATTTTCCTTATCTGTAAAGTGGAGATATTAATTTCAAATTTTAAACACTTTAACATACAAAGCAGCTAATGGCCAGCACAGTGCCTGCCATGCTGCAGATATGCAGTACTTGTCCACTCCTTTCTCCTCCTCACTGTGGGTCAGAATGTTCAAGAGTGATATGGCATTACACAGATGCATGGAGTCTCATGATTAGCTGTAATCTAGTCGAAGCTCTCAGAAAAATCATCAACGTTTAATGTTTTTATCACTTACAGTTTAAAGTTTGTGACTAAAGAGACACAACCTCACAGCATAATAAGAAAGTCCTGATAAAAAGAGCAAGACATACCTTTAACCTGAGGAATGAGTAAAATCATCAAGAATATACACCCGGGAAGCATTCTGAGTGATTCTGGTAGAGGAGAGCAGAAGTGCTTGAGAAAAGGAGTTCACCTTTCTTCCTCCTCACTTCCACTGCAGGGATGAAGCACCTCACAGATAGGTGGGCAGTTTTGATCCACAACAAGGAAGTGTTCCTTGAGGGAGTTACACAACTTGCTAGGTGCTTGAGGCTAAAACCTGGAGGTTGAACATCATGTTCTAATTAAAGACAACTACCGAGGTGGTGGTGGTGAAGGTTGGCTGGACATAGATTCCTACGTCATGTCTAATATAAATTTGATTCCAGATATCTGAAAACTTCAAAAGTGGAAAAAAATCAAGAATGTCTTAGGAAAAAAATGTTGAAAAATATTTATATATGCTTTGGTTGAAGATGGTTAAATTCTTTCTATGCAGAGTATGCCATATAAAAACTAAAAGGAACATTTGTTAAATGAGAAATATTGAAAATTTATATGGCATAAATCACATATTAAAATTAAAATATCCAAACTACAGAAATGTATGTAATAAATAAATAAAAGGTGGGAGTAAGTGTCCATATAATATAGAGCCCTTTCAAAGCAATACAAAAAAGAATACCAATGGACAGATGTGCAAAGGGCCTCGACAATTCCATCTGTATGTCTGTGTTCTCTTGTTATGTTAGTAGAGTTATCCCATGGCCAATAGAATCCTTTTATCTTCATTTGGGATTCTATTTCTCACCCGCATCTATATGTCTCTAATATTTCCACAAACTGAACGAATCTATGTCAATTGGAAGCTTCCTTTTGATATTTAGACCCTCTGCTCCAAGGACGACTTTTTCTACAAGGAAACATAAGAGGAAAAATCCATCTGACATTAATATTCATCCATTGTGGTTGAAAAACAGAATTGTCCTCATACAGTTCACTTGCTCCCAGTTAGCAGCCATGTATAGCAGCATTATAAAATATAATCCCCACTTTGCAGGTGGGGAAATTGACACTGATATTTACAAATTGGGAAAACATAAGCAAACTTGGAAAGGAGGCAGAGAAATCGGAGTCCCTTGGCTTAAAACGGGGGTACCATTTTAAGTCAAGTCAAAAGTCTCTCCTTTTTGAAAAATTCTCTCTATTCTATATCTCATATACTCTTACTATCACTTTTTCTCCCATTTCCTTTACAGCTAAATTTCTAACACAGTATTACCTGGACTTCTTGCAATTTTCTTACCTCAAACTTATCCTACCACATCCCAGTTCTAGCATCTGCCTTTATTATTCTACTGAAATGGCCAATATCTCCAGTGATTTTACCATTTCTATATCCAAGAGATATTTTGTTTCCTCATCTCATTTGCCCTTTTAACAATTTTTAGCACTGTTGACCACATCCTTCCCCTTGAAATATACTATTTAGCTCCCTTGCCACAATAGCCTTCTTAACTTCTTCCTGGTTCAGTGGCAACTTGTAGGTATATCCTTTTCTATGTAGCATTTAAATTTTTGAGTTCCTTGAGGTATTTATTAAACACCCTCTTTTCCTCCGATTATGCTTGTTCCAAAGCCATCTCATCTTCAGTTATGGTTTAATTATTGCTATGCTATGCCTCACATTTTATATTTCTAGCCATTTGGGCAACAGATCTTTACAGCAAAGTTTCTACTTAATGTCTTCATTGGGAAGGATCAAAGTCCTTGTAAAATCAATATGTACAAGACTTAAAATACATTTCCCCCCAGTTTGTCCTCTGTCTTGGCCAGCAGTGCCTCATCCCTTTAGCATTGCAATTCTGAAAGTCAGTATCATCAATGACATCCCTTATAATCAGTCCACCACTAAGTTTTTTTTTTTTGCCTCCATTATAGTCCAAGACATTCTTTGGTTACATTGCAACAAGTGTGATTATTTATTTATTTTTTATTTCTGAGATGCAGTGTCGCTCTGTCACCTAGGGTGGAGTGCAGTGGTGCAATCTTGGCTCACTGCAACCTCTGCCTCCTGGGTTTAAGCAATTCTCCTGTCTCAGCTTTCTGAGTAGCTGAGACTACAAGTGTGTGCCACCATGCTGAGCTAATTTTTGTATTTTTAGTAAAGATAGGGTTTCACCATGTTGGCCAGGCTGGTCTCAAACTCCTAACCTCAAGTGATCCACCTGCCTCAGCCTCCCAAAATGCTGGGATTACAGGTGTGAGTCACTGTGCATGACCACAAGTGTAATATTTTTAATAGGTAAACCTGGCCATGTCATGTGCCTGTTAAAAAAAAATGCTTCAATAGTTTTTCACTGGTGTTAGACAAAAGACTCACTTGACTTAAATTGCCTGACACTTATTAACTCTGTGGCTTTGGTTAAGGTATGATACATTTCTGTACTTCTGTTTTCTCATCTATAAAATGGGCATAATAATATAAATCTGATAGGGATGATGTGAAGATTAAATGAATCCGTACTCACAAGCCATCTTTTATTCCCTAGTTAATTCACTCCCCACTTCTCTTAATTATTATATACCCTTTCTTCTTTCCCTAAATCTCGAAATCTCCTCTTCATCACTCTCATCTGACCATCTTGCTTTTCTATTTCACTGGCAAAAAAATAAACCATCATAGGAACTCTCACTTTCTCTCATTATCACATCTACCTTACAATGTGTGCCCATATAGACTCATTCTTTCCTGTTTTTATGCATGCACTGTTCATGCTTCTAGTGTCTATTCCCCAATTAATATGCAGGATTTTATTCCTTCCTGTCCCCTCAATGTCATCACTCCAGCAATTCTTCCCCATCTCTACTATCATCTCTCTCTCTCTCTCTCTCTCTCTCTCTCTATATATATATATATATATATATATATATATAATCATTTTTTCTATCCTTTGAAAAATATTTCTTCTTTTACATCATTCTCCTTTCAAACAGCTACCACCCATTCTTGGATTCTAACAGTAAAATTTCTAAAAAAATAAAAAGTCTACAGTTTGTTTCCAGTTCCTTTCTCCTTATTTGTTCTTGAGATTAGTCCTGTTAGACTTTTTACCCTTTGCTCAACAAGGCGACGTTCAAATGATCTGTACCTTGCTTAATTCAGTGGTCAGTTTTCAGTCCACACTCACTTGATCCTTTAGCAGCATTGGACACAGTGGATTATTTTCATTTTTTGAAAGGAATTGAGTCCCTGGTGCATCATGGATTTCCTCCATGCTTATTCACTGCATCTTCTTAGTCTCCTTTGTTGGTCCTCTTTCTCTCCCCAGTGTGTAAACGCTATAGATTCCCATGGCTTCATTCTTGAGACTTTCCTCTTCTCTGTATACTCATGAGGTGGTTCCCATTCAATCTTTTGATCTTCAATATTATCTATAATATGATGGCTGCCAAATTTATTTATCTAACCTGATCTTTTCTGAATTTCAGACTCATAGAAGCAACTCTCTTTTCAACATCTTCACTTGAAAGACTAATGGATTTCTCAAGCACAAGTACAAAGCCAGATTCTTGCTCTCCCCCTCCAAACCTGGTGTTTCCGTAGTCTTTCCTATCTTAAGATATTGCAACTCCATTCTTTCAGTTGCCCAGGAGTCATCCTTGATTCGTCTCTTTTCTTCACACTTTGCATCCCATTCTTTAGCAAATCCAGTTGTCACTATCCTGAAAAGGCATCAAGGCTCTGACCGTATCTCACCACATTTACTGCTATTTTGCTGATTCTTAGAAAATTTAGACATTATCATCTCTAGCTTAGTTTATTGAAGCTAAACTCTTAATTAGTCTTACTGTTTTTCTCTTGGTCCCTCACAATGTATTATCCACCCATCACCTAGAATGCTCTTATTAACATGCATCACTTTATGTGATTCCTTCTGTCCAAATTTTTCAATAACTTCCATTTTCAGAGTATTAGGCAAAGTTCTGAGAGCCTCCAGGATCTACATGATCTAGCCTGATGTTGTCTGGCTTCATATCTTACTACTCTCCCCCCTCCCTACACTGAGCATATTGCCTAGTGTCCTTGGCATCTATTGAGCATGACAAGCACATTCTGCTTCAAGGGTCTTTGCTCGGTGTTCCTTCTTCCTGGAATGTAACCCTCTCAGTCACACGTCGATGTTTTTCTCTCCTTTCAGGTGTCTATTAAAATACATCATTCTGTGAATCTTCTGTAAGCACCCTATGCAAAATAGACCTGCCCACTCCCACCCTGGCACCTCTAAGCCCTTTTGTGCCTTGTATTAGTCACCATCTAAAATGCTATACATTTACTTGTTTGTTTACTTATTTTTCATAGGCTGACTCCTCTCCTTAAAATGTAGCTCTGTGAGGATAAAAATTGTGTCTGCTTTGTTTACCACCGTATCTTTATTGCCTAGAACAGTAGATTGGCAATAGATTTTTATTGAATGTGTAATGTAATACATTTGCAAACTTCGAAAGATATCTGGTACATAGCAAACACTCAATAAAAGTAAACTATGGGCCTTTTCCTCTTGGAAGTCCCCTCTCTCTCACTAGAGAGAGAGAGCTGTATTCCTTTTTCTTTCTCTTGCCGATTAAACCTCTGCTTCAAAAAAAAGAGCGTAAACTATGATTATTTTAGCTTCTAATGATGAGGAGGTTGTAGAGTACAGTAAATAAAAGTACGCACTAAGTACCACACCATCTGGGTTCAATTCCCAGCACTTACACTTACACTTCCTACCTGTAAACCTTGGACGATATCTGATCTCTCTGTGCTTCAGTTTTTTCATTTCCCAAAATGAGAATAGCAACGTTATCTAACTTGCAGCAATTGTTGTGAGGATTCAGTGAAGTGATTTATGTAAATCACTGAAAAGCAATGCCTCCCATATGTCAATAGATAGATAAGTGTTGATTTTCTAAGAGCTATATAAATGTCGATTTTTGGTATAATTACTTTTATTGATCTAATTGTATCTGCTACTATTTTTTCTCTCTTCTGCTCTCTGAGCTCCAAGTTTTCTGGCGTTCCCCCTTTACTCCAATATGCAATGCTTTCTCCCATTAAAGGACCTCTAGACATACTTTCCTCTTAACCTGTAGTCCTGTCCTCTCCTCCTTGTGGTCAAATTAATTTCTCCATTTACAGTTCTCAGTTCAAGGGTCACTATGTCAAAAAAGTCTTCCCTAACGCCTAAGTCTAGGCCACATTTCTTTGTGAAACAAGATTCTTTTACTTCTGAAAATTTATGTTGGTGTGTCCTACACTTATTACTCTAAATATATGAATATTTGTCTCCTCCAGAAAACCAAAGCTCCATAAAGTAAAAAGTGCAGTTGCTTTGCTTGCTCTAGTACCACAAACCTAACAAGGTCTTGCATATAGACATTGCATTCAATATAAATTTGTTAAATGAATTACTAAATTAATTTGCAAAATATTTTCAGATTAGATCCTTACATATTTTCTTTCCAGAAATTTTGAACCTGTCCTTGAAACAGCTTTAACCCAAATTATCATCTTTACTGGTAGAATTTCTACTACTGTTTCGGGTCAATAGAAGAGATAGTTGAAGTCCAATGGGCCTACTGAGTGTATCTGACCCTTCACCAAACATTCACGCATCAAGTGGAAATTGTCAGCTTTATTCACAGTGACAATTGAAAAGAACATTTTATGTTGGGTGATGGGAAATATGTTGAACTTGCCTCTATTACAGTCAAGATTGTGGAAAATGAAATAAACCAATTTTTAAAATACTAATCATGGAATCTGAGTTATTTATAGTGTCATATTAAAAGATAAGACTTTAAGGCATTTGTCTGATGTCTTTCAGCAACTTACGGTCAAGCCAACTTTCTAGTGAATCTGAAATATTACATATGGCATTATGTATGGTTACCCCAGGTGAAACAACCAAGAACGTTAGGGAAATTCACAGAAAAGTTTTTGTAATTTATTCAAACAACATAATAAGTGGAAAGCAGAGATGAAAAGAAAATTTCTGCCTAGCTCTTTGTTATTTTTATTATACACTGAGGCCTCTCTTTTTTTATGTGGGAGAGGAGAAGCTTTATTCCTTCTCACGATCACTCTATGATATATTTTTTCAATTTGAGGAATATGATCCCTCAATTCTAAACTCTACCAGATCATTAGTACGGGATAGGGGAAAAAATGAAGATTTTATTACTAGCCCATAATGGATTCTCATCTCAGGTCACAGCTTTCCATATTTAAATTAATGATATTATTGAAGTATACAAAGCTTTTTTACAAAAACAATGAACCCTGAAGCATTTCAATATCAAAGGAACTCTGTGGAGTCCAAATGCCAAACAAAAGCAGATTTTAGAGAAGATTAAACAAGTATGAGAATGCGCTGTCCTCTTTTTATTTCTCTGCTGCAAATTAGCAAAGCAATCTCTCATAGCAGGTGCTCCGATAGAGTCCCATCTAGGTTTCCTTGAGTATTGAGGTCGTAGATTCTTGCATTCATTTCTTATTGCCACTGGCATCAGCTCTTTACAAAACAGTCAACCAGGAGTACTTGTCTTGGAGGCCTCACAGCTTTGCACACAGCTGGCCTTTTTCTCCTTTTGATTGCTCTCACAACCCAGATATTCCTTCAGGCTTGCCCTCCTAAGTCTCCTCTCTCTAGTTCCCTCATTCCCACTCCCACTCCCAGCTAGCAACTTGGAGAGCAATCTCATCAACCTTCTTAAGGACTTAAAAGAGTGAACAATAATGGAGGCCTGGGAAGAATGCAGTTGATAAAGAATATATTCTGAGCTGGAAATGAAAAGTTGCCCACTTTGTGGACCCAAAATGCTTACCCTTGTGCCACCTTTGTAAAAAGAAACATGAAGAAAAGCTGCAATACATTCAAGTGAGTGGAGAGACTGAAGAGAATGAATAAAAGTATCTTATTTAAATTATAATTGTAATGGCAAAAAAAGGTTCATATAGAATTACTGGAATAAAAATCAGCATTTTCTATCTGACTTTACAGTAAATATCCTCATAAAGTACTCCAAAGACACATTATTCCAGGAGAATTTGTAATTTTCTTCATAGATTCAGAAGCTCTTTTCAGCTCGGTAATCATGCTTAAGTATTCTGAAAAGAATACCAAATTCTAAATCAGAAGCCCTGTATTCTTCTCTAATTCAGTGAACTTCAGCAAGTCACTTATTTCTGGGGGCCCCTGCACCTTATTTATAAATTGGAATAGTTATGTTTGATCCCCTAGATTGTTTTAACAACAAAATGCTATGTTTCTATCACTATATTGTTCAAATGTTTCCATCTCTTTACTGATCTTTTTCTTCTCTTAGACCTTCTTCATTGTAAGTATAGATTTTAACTTATCATAATAATAAAAAATTGGGGTCATTTTATCACTATCTTATTTTCCATTTCCAACCACAAATTTATCAATTTATATATAGTAAATGTCAAATAATAAATGCAACAAGAGTCAAAAAATTTAACTCAGTCTGCTGCCCAAAGGGTCAACGTTATTCCTAGGGAGTGGCAGGCCCAGGGTAAACAGAGTGTATAACAATTTCACCTCTTAATTATGGTAATCATATTATTTAGCTAGTGACATTGAACAAACTCCTTGGTATTTCCATTAATGATCTTGTTTAATGTACACACTGATCCTAGCATTCTATACAGGATCACTGTGTACATTAAACAAGATAATTAATGAATAGTGCATAACACACGCATAACTCTCAATTTTGTGAAAGGGTTGATGTTTTTCTTACTTTCAATCTGACTGTTTCATAACAGCTTTAAGAATTTTCACTAAGTTCAGTAAGGTCAAAATGGTTTAAATAACACAGGCTTAAAGCCAAGTGGTGACGGGGTATAAAAGTCAGTATAATTAGATTTTTTTTCCCTGTTGAATAAACTAGGCCCAAGGTGATGGCATTCATGCTTCTATTCATAAGTTTCATCTTCTTCCAAAACTGAGTCACAGCTTTGCCTCACTCCTCAATCCTCCAATGGCTCTTCCTTCATCTCTAATAGCTAGTGACTTTGCTTCTAATTTACTGAAAAAAAGAGACAATCAGAAAATCATTTCTACCAACCCCCACTACCACATCTACCCACCTGTCTGTGCTCAGATCCTCTGTCTTACAGTTACTGAGAATGAATGGGCCATGCTTCTATCAAAGGCTGATACATCCAATTCTGCACTAGACTCTCACTCTTCTTCCCTATAAAAGGACATCATGGCGATATGAAAGGAAAATCTTGGGGCCCCAAAATACGAAGCTAAGGGAAAAGTCAAACTGGGAACAGCTCAGGACAAACCTGCCTTCCATTCTATTCAAAGTCATCCCTCTGCTCATTGAGACAGATGCATATTCTGATTGCCTCCTTTGGAAAGGCTTATCAGAAACGCAAAGAATGCAAACATTTTCCTCTTACCTACCTGTGATCTGGAAGTCCCCTCCCTGCTTCGAGTTGTCCCCGCCTTTCTGGATGGAACCAATGTACTTCTTACATATATTTGTTGATGTCTCACGTCTCCCTAAAATGTGTAAAACCAAGCTGTGCCCCAACCACCTTGGGCACATGTCTGCAGGACCTCCTGAGGCTGTGTCATGGGTGTGTGCCCTTAACTTTGGCAAATAAACCTCCTGAAATGATCGAGACTTGTCTCATCATTTTTCTCAATTGACAGCCACAACTCACCCCGCTCTTGCATCCTTTTCCATCTCTGCCCTGGAGCATTTCCACGAGCATATAAACAAGTTGCAATTTCCTTCATCTTTAAAAACTTACAGTAACTCTCTTGATCTCACATCTCCATCCAGCTACCTACAGTTTTCTGATCTCTTTATAATAAAATCCCCTCCAAGAGTTATCTGTAATCATTGTCACTAGTTCTTCTCATCATTCGCTTTTTAGGCTACCCCACAGGTTTTTGCCCCCATTGCTCTGCTGAAACTACTCATCAAGGTCGCCAAGAATCCCCAGATTTTACATTCAGTGGTCTGTTCTCAGCAGTCCTGACTTCATTTGACCTCAAATTCATGTTTGATTTGTTATTGACCATCCGCTGTTTGGACACATTTTCTTTATGTGACTTTCAGCTCAGGTTTTCTTTCTCGTTAGCTGCTCACTTTCTCCCCATGCTCCAGAGACTTAAACATGGGAAGAGCCCCAAAGCTCACTCCTTTTGCTTATTCTCCTTTCTGTCTACACTTATTCTTTTGGAGAATCTCAGTAAATTGCATGTCTTTCAAACTATAGCTGTATGGTTGTCAAATTAATAGAACCCAGAAATATTTCCTTGGCTTTATTTATCTATTTATCATCTTCATTTTGGTCTCTAGTAGGCATTTCAACTTTAATATATACAAAAACCAATGTCGTGATCTTCATCCCCCAAGTTCTTTCTCCATATGTCTTTCTCACCTCAGGTAAATGGCAATGCTGTCAATAAAGCCACTCAAGCCAAAGATGCTGAAGGCACCACTGACACCTTGCTTCCTCTCACACCTCATACGTAATCTGTCAGGAAATCCTGCTGTCTCATCCTCCAGAATACACTCTGAATCTAACCATTTCTCATCTGCACTGCCACCACTCAGCTAATCCATAATCATCTCTCACTGGGATTTCTTCAACACCCTCTTTATTGGCAGTGTCATCGCTTTTGTCCTTGCTTCTCTCCCATAATTCCTTTTAAAATGGACACAATACTATGTCATTCTTTGTTGAAAATCCTCCAATAGCTCCCACTCCACTGTGAGTAGGTGAGTAGAAGCTAAATTCCTTGCAATGATCTCCAAGTCCCCACTTGCTCTGGGGCCTTGTTGTTCATGGGCCTTGTCCCTTACCCATCCCCTGCTCACCTTCTCTGCCCTTCTTGCTGTATGTAACATGCTGTGTTCTTGCTGTAAAATGCCAGCATGTTGTCATCCCAGGGCTCCTTCCTCCTGGCTCTATCCCTCACCACTTTTAGTCCTTTCTTTAAATGTCACCTTTGCAGTAAGACCTTCCCACTTTTCAGAAAATATCAGCACTTGCCACTCTATTTTAGATTTCACTCCCCTAACACACATGCATCTAAACATGCATCCCCCTCCCCACTTGGTGTCTTATCATAGCAGTTCTTAGCACCTGCTCAATGAAGACTTCATTTGTGTATTTCTTCATCTATCCCTCTGTACTAGAATGCAACATAGAATTTCATCTGTTGTTCAGTGCTACACCCTTAAGGTCTAGAATAGTTCCTCACATATAGTAGCCTCTCAATAAATACTTTTAGTGTGAATTGACCATTTTAAGTATTTTGTCCTTATATTACATTTTCTTGCATTTCTTACAATAGCTTACATTTTCTTTCCAAGAACTGAGTGTTATTAACAAATAACCAAGACTCCAGATTCTTCTGGCTTTCTGAAGAGAATTTCCTACTCTCATGAATGCTCAAGTATTAGGAGGCATAGGTTATCATGCCCAGTCACTGTTTGGAAAATGTTTAAAATCAATAACTGAGAAAGAGTAGAGATGTTACTTTTGGCCAACGATCACTTGGTTGGTTGGCCTGCTCAGTTCTTGGTGTTCCTGCTGCTTTTATTGGCATGCCTGTGTGAATTATCCCGTGCAGTTGTCTTTGCTTTCATCTTCCTACAGATTTTGCTGAAAGATAGTTTTCAAGGTTGACTGAACAGAACTCTGAGAGCACCTGTAAAGCCTTTTGCAGCTTAATCATATTTTTGATTCCATGTCACCTTTCTCCTCCAATTTGACAATATGATAAATCATCCTGCGGCATGAGGGGCTCCCTGCCCCATGCCCATCACTTTCCCCAAACCCACACATGTAATATCACATTCTCCAGGAAACCTCTGTTACCCCTCCCTGTCTCCTAATACTCTGCCTCTCTCTGCTCTACAGTCTCCCTGTTGGTGTGTGAGGGTCTTTGAGTGAGTCTTTGATCTTTTCTTTCCTCGTTATTGTGGACTAGTTGTAGTGAGGTGTGAGGTATTCAGTTTGTTTGTTTAGACCTTAATAAAGTGATAAATCTTAATTTGCAAGTCGTCTGCCTATTCCTGCTTCTGAACATTTGCAATGCCAGGAATCATAGGTCACATTCTCATATTATTTTCTACAATTTGTGTAGGCTCTTTGAAGACAGAAACCGTGGCTAACATTCACCTGTCTTCTGCAGGGTCTGAAAACACCAGACCGTGCACCTTGTTGGGACTCAGCGACTAGTACTTTAAGAAGTTAATTGATTTATCATAACTTTATTGCCACACTCAGTTTATAGAATAGATTATAAATATTATAGATTTGATGTGACTGAAAAACCATTACCACTGCAACCTCTATTTTCCTAAAAATATATACTGCTCTGGGTCTCTACAGTTAGCCCAAGGCTGCTGAAAAGCTCCAGAGTTATCTGGAATCAAGAGCTACTCATGAGCCATCGAATACCAGAGCCAAGGCCATAGTGATAGTTGTAACAACCTGAATATCCATAATTGTTTTGTTCTGTTTTGTTTTGTTGTCTTGAAAAGAGAAAATGAATGTGATAGCATCTCTACAGTCTGCTCATTCAAACTCTGTAAGATCGCTTTCACCCACAGTTGTTCCTTTGGGCACAGCTTGATCTCTGTGTGCCTGTACCGGCAGGTCTCCATTAATCATGGGTCAGAGGCTGAGTGTGGCCCTCAAATTTGTGCCACAAGCTCCCTCCTGCTAAGACTGTCCCCTGGCAAGAGAAAGTAAAGGAGTGTATTCTGGCACCCAGAATGCCCTCCTTTGTTCGGAAAGCATGCACTTGAGGCAGGTTTGAATTTAACCCCTCTAGCTAATGATGAAATACAGCTGATATCTTGAGCATTCACTCTGTCAGTCTCAGTCATTTTAACAATGTACGTTAGTTATTGTTTTAGCCATGTTACTAATGAGAAAACTGAGGTTCAAGAGAAAAATTCACCTGCTCTAGGAAAACCAGCAAATGGGGGAGCTTTGTCCTAGCCCAAGTCTCTTAGACAATTAATTTACTGGGTTTCCACTATTCTAACTCTCACTTCTGTGCATCACAGAGAAACCCTTTATCAATGATAGTCTTTAGAAAAACGTTTTTGCTTCTCAAGGTAACCACCACCTGCACAAGTTTTGAAATTAAGGAAACCAGTCTCTTCCATTTTCAAATTCTAACCGCAAATGATGCAAAGGTCAAGGGCATATTTGGAGCCTCTGCCTTGTTCTGTGCCTTGTTGGTGGTCCTGCTGCCTGCTCATGCCAATGGTTGTCCTCAGATAGAAATCTAAGAATTTTTGAATTTTCTTTCATCAAAGTTTCTTCCTTAAAAAACCATGCTCCTTTATCCCTAATTGTTAAGGAGAATTCACGCAAAAGCTATTCTCACTCTCTCCCTATGAAGTCAGGAGGTAGGCTTTTGTTTTCTTTGTTCTCTTTTGTTTCTTTTGATCTATTTTGTTTGTTATTATGGTTTAAGGCCCTCCAACCTTGGCTTCCACCATATTCCTTGCTGGACTTTCTCTGTTGCTTCGCCTAAGTAATACATGCTTGTAGCAATTGAATACTCTTCTAAGAAGATTAAAATAAAAAAAAATGTGGTGGCTCACGCCTGTAATCTCAGCATTTTGGGAGTCCAAGGCAGGCAAATCACAAGGTCAAGAGAGTGAGACCATCCTGGCCAGCATGGTGAAACCCTGTCTCTACTAAAAATACAAAAATTAGCTGGGCGTGATGGTGCATGCCTGTAGTCCCAGCTACTCGGGAGGCTGAGGCAGAAGAATTACTTGAACCCGAAAGGTGGAGGTTGCAGTGAGCCAAAATCGCGCCACTGCACTCCAGCCTGGCGACAGAGCGAGACTCCGTCTCAAAAAAAAAAAAAAAAAAAAAATTAAAAAAATGTTAGATGTTAATGGGAAGATGAAATTTGCCCACAAGTACTCTTTAGTACAGTATTGTTATGAATTGAAACGAAAATGCTTGAAAACAATATAGATGAAGCCAATGCACATATAAACTCTGACACATTCCTAAAACTGGGTGCTCAATGGAGATGTGGTTAGCAATGGAATCGGTTAATGGGTTTGGGGAAGAGGAAAGGCAGTGCATGAGATGAGTCTACTCAGGGATGGTGGAG
This sequence comes from Homo sapiens, assembly GCF_000001405.40. Lineage (NCBI taxonomy): Eukaryota > Metazoa > Chordata > Mammalia > Primates > Hominidae > Homo > Homo sapiens. Next base: position 24,428,020 of record NC_000008.11, on the reverse strand, counting down.
ATGGATCATGAAGAGGTCAGTTTGCTAGGGTAAAAAGATAATTTATCCTGATGGCAATAGCTGCTAAAGATTTTAAATACACACATAAAATTGTTCAACCTGTTTTTTTTTTTTTTTTTTGAATTATAAGGATATCTGGAATAATGGATTGGAATGGGGAAAGAAGCAAATGGTTTTTATTGGGCCAGATTTGATCTTAATTTAGTTTTTTTCTCACACTGATATATTTTATTTTTATCCTTCAGGCTCAGAGATTTTATTCCTGGAGTTTTCTTTTGCTGGAGAAAGGGTACTCAAACTGTATTTAATATAGGATATTAAATGTGATGATTTTCAAGGCATTTTGGAAGATTTTCTCAGTAATTTGGAAGACTGCTGCATGATTTTCTCCAAAATTAAGAAATAAAATGACAGCCATTGTATTTCTTAAGGGGAAAGTATACTGCAATATATGGAACACAACAAGTTTTATAAATAAAGTTTTATTGGAACATAGCCAGGTCTACTTGTCTGTGGCTGTTTTCATGATGCAATAGCAACGTTGTTGCAAGAGAAACCGTATGGCCTGTGAGATCTAAAATATGTACATACTATCTGGCCTTTACAGAAAATGTATATCAACCTCTGGCTTAAGCGATATTTTTTTATGTTAGTGTTATTTTCCATTTTTTTGTAAGCATTTTAAATTTGGGGAGATTTTTGAACCACTCAAAATAAAAATATTCAATAGTATTTATTTAGGGTGACCAGATTCTGGGCCAGGTTTTGGCCCACCAAAAAAAGTAATGCTAAGTAGATTAAACTCCAAGGAAATAAACATGGAGCATAAATAAATCATATTCCTTCTAAAATAGATTTTCTACTAATTATACAACTGCAGTTATAACTCACTATTATATTACAAGAAGGCAGGTGGAGAGAAGGAGGAATCGTTTTCTTAAGGATATACTTCTGGCTTGAAGTAGCTGTTGTCCCCAGAGGTTTACTGCATTACATTTTGCTGACAAGAGCTCTTAAGAAGAACTGAAATGGAAATTAGAAGAACGAAGATGTATAGAAGGCTTCTCAAATAGTAAAAGTAACAGAGCACTGCACATGTACATGCAGATACGTGCATGTGCGAACACATATACACACGTAAATAGAAGAGCAAGAAAAGAAAAAGCAAGAAACAAAGATAATTTGTTTGACCTACTGTGTAACTTAATGCTATATTTTGTTTTAGAAAAAGCCAAGTTTGTCTCTTTAATATCCAACCTCATAATAAAGCTTCTGGGAATTCTTTACCTAGACATTGGGGCACCCCTCTTTGTTGAAATCTTTGTTGAACATGTGTAAAGGACTGTGTCAGTACATGTGACACAGAAGAAGGTAGGCCCCAAAAAGCGGACTTAAAGAAAGGTGCTCATGTGTCCTGGCCTACCGGTTTAGGTCAGGGAGATAATGGTGCAGTAGAAAATCAGCAGAGCTGTGACATTACATCTGAGATTGAACAAAGAGAAAAAGCATTTCTATTATTGACAGTTACTAATATTACCTTCCATTTGCTGAATGCTTACTGTGTCTCACACACAGTGCTAAGCAATCTCTATTAAACCTTCCAAAGATGGCAAAACATAACTATGCTTTATCCAGGGCTTGCCTATCCTATGGGCTCATCTTTAAAATGGAGGATGGGGTGGTAATTTTATAGATAAGTAAACTAATTCTCCTTTTTAAATTCACACAGATAGTAAGTGGCAGAACAAGGATTCCTGAGTCTATGTCCTAAAAATCCAATTGGTTTTCAGGATATCACACTAACTCTATTAAAAGTAAATAACTTTAAAAAAAAATACCAAGTATCTATTTCTTGCCAAGACTTATGATTCAGAGCAGTTAGAAGGTCTCATTTAGGTAATAGGAAAATAGAGTGGTAACTGGCAATATGTACTTCTGAAGAAACACGAACTTAATCAGTACTAGGAATCAATATGTGTCCTAAATATACCTTTTTCTAAAACTAGCTCTAAATCCATTAAGGTTGTTAGACATTGAAGTTCTTTTGTAGCTCTAAAATTCTCTTTTTCTAATAATGAAATCTGACTTCAACCGCATGCTCTGAGAAAAAGTACTTTATCTGAAGACTAAAATTACTGAGAGCACATTTTAGGTCAATCAAATGAATGTTTCCTCCTAATTTACAACAAACTATTTTGATTCTCTAATTCTGTGAAGCTTATTTTAATTTCCTAGATGAAAGTAAAACAGAAACATAAAACGATATAGTCACTTTTTTTAGTAAAAATAATGGATTTTTTTTTTCATTTGTTTTCTACATGTGTACATGCGCAGGCCTACATGTGAATGTGTTTTACCCTGCAGGGAGAATTAATTAACTAGAAAACTAGTTGATCTATGGGGTTTACTAGAAAAGAGAATTTTAAGAACTTTACCTGGTGCTACTTTAACCCATTTTTCTTGTTAATATAGGTTTTATGATCTTACCTTTATATTTCTGTGGAATATGGAGAAAATGTTTTTATGTTTCTGTGGATTAGATAGATTTTAGATATAAAAACTTTCTAAAAGTCTTTACACAATTTACACCTTTAGTGTTGGAAATGGTGTAATAATGAAATACACAGCATAGCAAATTGTAAAAAATAACACTGACCATTTAAAACAGAGGGGAAAAATTAAATAGAAAAATTGGACATGTGAAAAAGTATACTACAGACACAGATTATGGTAGGAACATAAGTAGTTCCTAAGAACTGACTGACTTTTATGATTATTAACTGTATTTTGAAGTCTTGCATAATGATGAATATCTGCTTTTTTTCCTCTCTCTTAAGGCATAGCTTTTGGAAAATACATTCACATTCATTTTCTATGTGGCTGTGTTCTTTCTGAAATTTTTCTATGAATTGATGTGCATTGATGTCAGCATTTCCTATTGAACTTTCCTACCTTCTCTGCCATGCTTCTAGGTTGTTTTGTGAAACGCATTTTCTCATACCCTCATGTACAGACCGCAAATTTGGTAGAAACAATACTGGTGATTGAATATCAACACCGTTGGGTAAGTGTTTGAGATTATGATCAGCACCACTTTATGCTAACAAATATTTAAAATCTACATGAAATGGGGAAAGTCCTTAAGAGATTCAAGTTGTTAAAACAAATTAATCAAGATATAGAAAATCTGAATAGATATAGCCACTAGAAAAATGGAATTTGTAGTTTTAAACCTTCCCACAATGCAAACTCAAGACCCAGATAACTTCCTTGGTGAAATTCATGCCAGCATCTTAAGAATTTTACATGAACTCTTCTAAAATTTTGAGCATGAAAGAAAATATTCACAATTACATTTTGAGATCAGAATTAGCCTATTACCAAAACCATACAAAAATATTTTTTAAAAATAGTTGGCTTATCTCTTATGAAGAGAGCAAGAAAATAGTTAAAAATATAAATAAATGAAATATAGCAATATATGAATGAATAATATAACATGAGCAGGTGGAGTTTATCCTAGAAATACAAGTTTGGAATAACATTCAAAAATAAACCCCTACATTTCATCATTATGAAAGAGAAACTGATACAGAAGCTAGAAATAACTTACTTAGGCAGATAGGAAGGGGAAGAGTTCTTGGTTTTCCTTTTAATAAAAAGCAATCCTCAAATAATATCTTTTTTATTATACTTTTAAGTTCTGGGGTACATGTGCAGAACTTGCAGGTTTGTTTCATAGGTATACACGTGCCATGGTGGTTTGCTACACCCATCAACCTGTCACCTACATTAGGTATTTCTCCTAATGCTATCCCTCCCCCAGGCCCACACCCCGCCACAGGCCCCGGTGCATGACGCTGAGAATGATAGTTTCTAGTTTCATGCATGTCCCTGTAAAGAACATAAACTCATTCTGTTTGATGGCTGCATAGTATTCCATGGGGTGTATGTGCCACATTTTTTTATCCAGTCTGTCATTCATAGGCATTTGGGTTGGTTCCAAGTCTTTTCTATTGTGAGCAGTGCTGAAGTAAACATATGTGTGCATGTGTCTTTATAGTAGAATGATTTATAATCCTTTGGGTATATAACTAGTAATGGGACTGCTGGGTCAAATGGTATTTCTAGTTCTAGATCCTTGAGGAATCGCCACACTGTCTTCCACAATGGTTGAACTAATTTACACTCCCACCAACAGTGTAAAAGCCTTCCTATTTCTGTGCATCCTATCCAGCATCTGTTGTTTCCTGACTTTTTAATGATCACCATTCTAACTGGCATGAGATAGTATCTCATTGTGGTTTTGATTTGCATTTCTCTAATGACCAGTGATGATTAGCCTTTTTTCATATGTTTGTTAGCCGCATAAATGTCTTCTTTTGAGAAGTGTCTGTTCACATCCTTCGCCCACTTTTTGATGGCGTTGTTATTTTCTTGTAAATGTGTTTAAGTTCTTTGTAGATTCTGGATATTAGCCCTTTGTCAGATGGATAGATTGCAAAAATGTTCTCCCATTCTGTAGGTTGCCTGTTCACTCTGATGATAGTTTCTTCTGCTGTGCAGAAGTTCTTTAGTTTAATTAGATCCCATTTGTCAATGTTGGCTTCTGTTACCTTTGCTTTTGGTGTTTTAGTCATGAAATCTTTGCCCATGCCTATGTCCTGAATGGTATTGCCTAGGTTTTCTTCTAGGGTTTTTATGGTTTTAGGTCTTATGTTTAAGTCTTTAATCAATCTTTAGTTAATTTTTGTATAAGGTGTAAGAAAGGGATTTTTTTCAGGTTTCTGCACATGGCTAGCCAGTTTTCCCAACACCATTTATAAAATAGGGAATCCTTTCCCCATTACTTGTTTTTGTCAGGTTTTTCAAAGATCAGATGGTTGTAGATGTGTGGTGTTATTGCTGAGGCCAAAAACCAAACCGCGTCTTCTCCTCCAAATAATGTCTTTTCTAACAAACAGCAGCCTGTAAAATTGAGCTGTAGACATAAAGAAGCAAGCTAGAAGCTTGTATAGGTGAATGCCGGCAACTGTGCCAATAGGAAAAGGCTACCTGGGGGCAGGCCTGTTCAAAATGGAGGTTCCCTCTTCAGTTTTCTTTGTTGCCATGTGTACAGTAAAAAGGCAGGCTGGGTGCGGTGGCTCACGCCTATAATCCCAGTACTCTGGGAGGCCCAGGCAGGCAGATCATCTGAGGTCAGGAGTTCGAGACCAGCCTGGCCTACGTGGTGAAACCCTGTCTCTACTAAAAATACAAAAATTGGCTGGGCGTGGTGGCAAGCGCCTGTAATCCCAGCTACTAGGGAGGCTGAGGCAGGAGAATCAATTCAACCTGGGAGGCTGAGGTTGCAGTGAACCAAGATCACACCACCATACTCCAGCCTGGGCCAAAGCAGGAGACTCTGCGAAAAAAGAAAAAAAAAAAAGGCAACATGGTAATGGACAGGTAGAGACCCCATCTTCATAATAAAAGATTAGGGTAGGATGGTCAGCTTCTTCGTGCTATGTGAGTGGCACACCTGGCCCGACCAATCTTTTCGGCTCTATGTAAATCAGACACTCTCTCCTCAAGCCCATCTATAAAACCCCATGCATTTCACCATAGAACCAGAAGACCCACTCAAGAACCCCTTTTTCTCTGTGAGAGAGAGCTATTCTCTTCTCTTTCTTTCGCCTACCAAACCTCCGCTCTTAAACTCACTTCTTGTGCATCCACATCCTCGATTTCCCTGGTGTGAGAGGATGAATTTTGGGTATTTACCCCAGACAGCAATGCCGCTTCAAAATCATATGACTTACTAAAACAATAAAATCTTTTGATAAAGCTCTAAACCCACTGGTGATAACAGTTCTCAGCAAACTAGAAATGGAGAAATTTCTCAACCTAATAAGGTGCATCCCCATAAAACCTACAGTTAAAATCACACTACATAGCAATGTTGCTCAACTGGGAGTGATTTTTGCCCCTAGGGAACTTTTGACAATGTTTCGAGACAGGTTTGCTTGTCACAGTTAGGGTGGGGGATGATGTTCCACTTGTGTTTAGAGAGTAGAAGCCTGAAGTGCTGCAAAATATTCTATAATACACAAGAGAGCCCCTTGCACAATGAAGAATTATCTAACTCCATATGTCTACCTCCTCCGTGTCAGATTGAGAAAGCTTGCTTTATCGCGAATAAGTGAATGTTTCCCCCATAAGATCAAATACAAGACAAGGATATTCATTCTCAACAATTCTACTTAATATTTTTCTAGAGTACCTAATATTGTGATACAATAAGAAAAAGAATAAAAGGTATACTCATTAGTACACCTTTAGTGAAAATCTCTTTATTTGCAGACAACATGATATTGTATGTAGAAAATCCTAAAGAGTCTAAAAAAAGCTATTTGAACTAATAAATTAGTTCAGCAAGGCCAAAGCATCCAAAACATTGACATAGAGATCAATGGAACAGAATAAGGAGGGCAGAAATGGACTCTCATGTCTACACTCGCTAATTATTTTTGCAAATGTATGAAAGTAATTCAATGAGGGAAGGATACTTTTTTCAATTAATGGTGCTAGAATTACTGGACATAGGTATGGAAAAGATGAACATTAAACCATATCTAACATCTTGCATAAAAATTAGCTGGAAATGCATCATAAATCTAATGTAAGAGCTAAAACAATACAATTCTGGAAGAAAATATAGGAGAAAATCTTAGCAACCAAAGAGATGCAAAGATTTCTTAGTACAGAGAAAATAAGACACAAAAGAAAAAAATTATTTAGACTTCATCAAAAACTTCTTGGAAAGACAACATTAAGAAAATGAACAGGAAAAAACAATAGCCTGGGAATATTTGTGTAGTGTGTCTATCTAACAAAGAACTTGTATCAGGAATATGTAAAGAACTGCAATCATTCAATAATAGAACAAATAACTCATTAAAGACAAGCAAATGATTGCAACACATTTGTGCCAATAAGCATTCAAAACTGCGCTCAATGACATTAAGTCATCAAGGCAATGAAAGTTAAAATTACGATGAGATAACATTATATATACAGTTGAATGACTAAAATTTGAAAAAACTGACAATACTAACTGTTGTTGAAAATGTAAAGCAACTTGAATTCTCACATATGGCTGTCGGGGATGTAAAGTGACATCATTCTTGAAAACATTTTGTCAGTTTCTTATAAAGTTAAATATATATTGCCATATGGCCTAGAAATTTTACTCTTGGTATTTACTCTGAGAAATGAAAATATATGCCCACACAAAGACTTGTACACAAATGTTCATTACAGTTATATTCATAATAGCCAAAGACTGGAAACTCCCTAACTACCCATGAACAGTTAAAAGATGATTTCTTTAAAAATCATTAAAAATGATTTTTAAAAAATGATTCCAGTGCAATTAAATAATGTGGCAGTTTTAATATATATCCACAGATCCTTTGTCAAATTGTTTGGGTCTTCCCTTAAATCTACACTGACCATGATAATGTACTTAAAAGCAACATAACGCAACCAAAGTGACGCTACGTAACCTCCATGACTAGGTCAGAAAAGGCCAAACGGCTTCTGCCTGGAATCCTGACCTACCATGCAATGATTCTCACTATTCTGAGACCATGAAGCTGTGAGAAGACGACGTACAAGTGTTCCAGTCCATACATGCCTTTGAGGTCTCTATCAGTAATTAGCATCAATCCTTAGGCACGTGAGTGAGAGCTCCCCCATTACACTGGCACTCAAGCATTTATTCACCCTTAGTCTGCCTATATTCCCAGCTGAGGCCCTATATATCACAGAGCTGTCACTATTGTGGTCTGATGAAAGTCTGACCTACGGGATCAATGAGCATGCTAAAATGATTGTTCCCTGCCACTGAGTTTGAGGTGAGTAGTTATGCAGCAATAGTAACTGGAACAATAAATGAACCTGTTAAACATTATGCTGAGTGAAAGATGCTGGGCACAAAACATGCATTCTGGATGATCCCCTTTGCTTGACACTAGAAACGACAAACTTAATTTATAGTGTTAGCAGATCAGTGATTGCCTGGGACCCAGGGTGAAGTTGGGGCTGACAAGGAAGGGGCATAAAAGAATGAGTAATGGAAATGTTTTATATTATGATTGCAGAAACTGTTACATTTGTTAAAAGTAAGTGCATTTTATTTTACATGTATATAAATTATACCTTAATAAAGTCATATCTCCAGAAAGGAGATATGAGGCAAACGTATGTAGGTAGCTAGAAACTAGAAAAAAGTGCTACCTACCTGCCCAAAGGTTGGGTAGATGCCTGCAAATATTAGTCCAACTATTGGTCTCTAAATGGCTCACCACCACATCCTCAGGGAAAAAGCCAGGGATGGGGAGGTAGAGACACAGGTTTGGGGCTGTTTAGAATGTTTCAATGAAAAATGCTACCTGCTTAATACTGCACTTTAAACAGTCAGAAAAAAAATAACTTATTTTCTCATCTTCACCCAGAAGTTTTCATGTCCTAGCCATGTTTCTTTCTTTTCCATAGAAAAGGCCTGCTTTTGAGAAGAGGGTAAGTTCTTTGTTTCTGACAGCAGGTGTCACAATTGCCTAATAAAAGAGAAGCAAGCTGCAAGATTTCCTAATGCAAAAAGGCAAGCCACCAACACCTAAAAATACAGACTACAGACTCATTTGGTTAGTATTATTAACATATTACAACGGCTATCGTAATGAGCGCATTTCCTGCATTCACAGATATCATGCTGGAAGACATGGAATAGACACCATATATTTCATCATACTTTTTGAGGGGAAAAAGGGGAACACTACCTTATGCAGTGTGTATGTTTCTATGTGTATATGTATATGTGCAAAAAATATACATACGTATATACTACAAGCAGTATCCCAACTTCATATATGTTAAAATGTGAAAGCACTTGAAATATGATAACCAACCACATGCTATTTGGAAGGTACCCAGTGAGTCACACATCCCTGCCAATGCTTTCCATTTTGCCAGGTGTCTCTCTACCTAGTTCTGCTTTCTTTGCACAGAGGCTGACTCTGGAAGGTGCCATTGCCCATGCTGGTCAATGACTCATGACAACAATGGAGAATTTTGAGGCAGCAGGGCCTGAATGGTAAAGGATGGTGGTAGGCATGGTGCTATTTGCTGATGGATACAGGAGGTGGTACTCTTTCTTTCAACTTGCATTTTTAGAGTAATTAGCAGAGAAATAAAGAATTCTTTCTGCTCTTTGTAATCGGAGCCTATAATAGATGCCTATTGTCCTGGTCTAGGGCCATAGGAGAAACTCAAAAAACACAGAGAAAACACAACCACCAGCAATCTCTAGCTGGTGATAGTTGCCTAGCAGGCCATGAAAAAGTTCATTTCCCAGCATTTAACCAATTTTTTTTTTTTTTTTTTGAGATGGAGTCTTGCTCAACTGTTGCCCAAGCTGGAGTGCAGTGCTGTGATCTCAGCTCACTGCAACCTCTGCCTTCTAGGTTCAAGTGATTCATCTGCCTTAGCCTCCTGAGTAGCTAGGATTACAGGCACCCACGACCACACCCAGCTAATTTTTGTATTTTTAGTAGAAACAGGGTTTCACCATGTTGGCCAGACTGATCTTGAACTTCTGACCTCATGGTCTGCCCGCTTCAGCCTCCTGAAGTGCTGAGATTACAGGCATGAGCCACCGCACCCGACCTCAGCCAAAGTTTTTATCTTCCTGTGCTCACATGCTTAGCGAGGACTTTACTATTGAGTACTGTGTGGATTTTTCTTTCCTTTAAAAAAGTAATTTAGTATTGAGTTTTTCATGTCTCTGCACTCAACCCAGGGCCTTCCATTTTAGCTAAGATTATTACATCTGTTTTGGTGAATATTCTTTTGTAGTATGAGGTCTATATCTACTGTGTCAAAAAGATGTCCTCAGAGTAGCTGAGCTGTAAAATTCCCAGATACAAGTCCATCTTCTTCAAATTGATTATTTCTTCTGTATCTCTCTTTAACCCACAGGGGAAGGAATAGTACCCTAAATAATCTAATGAATAAATAAATAATATTAAAGTTAAAAAGTATTAATCTTTTAAATGCTCAGTTACCAAAGGACATGAGATTCCCCCTGCACCACCACATAGAGATAGCCCCCTCCAGGGTAAAAGCTGAAAGATTCATTTGCTAAATTGAATTTCTGTGCTAAAACTGTTGTCTAAGCAAATATAAATGATGCCTCTGACTTGGAGGATGAAGAAGAGAGAATGACATTCAGGTCAATAACCTGGTGCAGGGAGGAAGCTATTGAGTATGGGCCCAGAAGGCCATCACATGGCAGGATTAGGGGAGAGCTTCAGAATGCAGAGCAGGACACACGTGTAGGTCAAATCTAATCTGGGTTGTTGATAACTGAGCTGGCTGCACAATGTGGTTAGAAATAGTCATCAGTGTCTAAATAATGTGACAAGTCAATGGAGAGCCCTGGATTTACAATCCTGTAGACAAGGTATATTAAGAAAACGCAATGTCAAAATTCAGAACCTACATAAAAACTACTAGAATAAGTTAGCTTAGCAAAGTTACAGGATCAATATACAAATCAATAGAACAGAATAGAGAGGCCAAGAATTGGTTCTCACATATATTCTTAATGACTTTGTTATTTTACAAATGTAGCAAGGCAATGCAATAAAAACAGGATACATTATTTTCCAGTAAATGGTGCTAGACCAACTCACCATATATATGGAATAAATGAACATTGGACCTTACCTGACACCATATATGAAATGTAATTTGAAATATACCATATAACCAAATATAAAACCTAAAAGAATGTAAGTTATGAAAGAAAACATGAAAGAAATTATTATCAACCAGGAGGGAAAAAAGACGTGTTAGTACTGAGCAAATACACAGCATAAAAGAGAAAAGATAAATTGGATTTCAACAAAATTGAACATTTTTAACCTTGAAAAGATGACGTTAAGAGGATGAAAAGGCAAGCCCTAGCCTGGGAGGAAATGCTCTATCTACATACATATATGTGACATATCTGGAATATTTGAAAAATGTTTATAAGACAAAGAACTTGTGCCTAGAATTCTAATCCTCAAAAATGACAGTAGGTAGGTAGTCATGATCCAAGAGATTTATCTAAATACGGGAAATGAGGCAAGCCTGCAGTTGCAAGTAGAACCATCAAGGACAAAGCACAGGAACAAGCCATCTGGCATCTGTGGCTTGAGGCTGAGGTTAAGGAGAAGGGAGGGAGATTGTGTAGAAGGTGTGCTAGGCCACTCTTTGTGTTGCTGTAAAGAAATACCTGAGACTGGGTAATTCATAAAGAAAAGAGGTATAATTTTGCTCATGGTTCTTCAGGCTGTACAGGAAGCATGGTGCTAGCATTTGCTTGGCTTCTGGGGAGGCCTCAGGAAGCTTACAATCATGATGGAAGGTGAAGGAGGAACAGGCATCTCATATAACAAGAGAGGGACCAAGACAGAGGGAAGAGGAGGTGCTCCACACTATTAGCCAGATCTCAGGAGAACTCACTCATTATCACGGACCTCACCAAGCCATGAGGGATCGACCTCCATAACCCAAACACCTCCCACCAGGCCACACCTCCAACATTGGGGATTATATTTCAACATGAGATTTGGGTGGGAGAAATATCCAAACCGTATCAGAAGGTAATGAGAAGGTAGCTTTTTCTTTGAGTAAAAGGGGATAGAGAAGGTTGAATGAACACTAGGATAGGAGACACTGTGGTTGGACTAATTATGATACTTCAGAGGAACAGATTATGTTGTCATCTTGCCAGTTATTGCCCTAGTAATGAAACTCAGGGAGTTTAGCCCTAAACTCCCTGAAAATCCCTTACCTGGAAATCCACCTGACAGGCCTGAGCAGGTTTCTTTCTGGCCAGCTGGGCTGACGTTACCTGCCTGGCCTGCTAGTCTGGGCAGGAGGTCTGTTTCCGTTCAAAGACTGTGAGATATGTCAGTCTGGAGCTGGTGATCTGCTCCCAAAAGCTTTAACCCGGACCCCTGATTCCTCTAATCCCCTTTTCCCCCTTCTTTTCATATCCATGGACAATAAGCCAGAATCTCCTTAGTATTTGGCCTTTTCCTTTGGCACTCCTGAGTAGAGACAATAAACCTGTGGTCAACCATACCCTGCACAGACTCCAGGTGACAGCTCTGTGGGTCTCTGTGGAAGCTGTTGGCCACTCTCTGGTTTGGTGGCGCTCAGCTTGTGAACATGTGTGTTCACGAGGCACGTTAACAGTGCCCCAGAGACACCGTTTCCAGAGCTTGCATGTTTTCTCCTTCCAAGATTCTTCTTAGGCTGAAAACTGGCCAAATCAGCCATAAATAAGGTAGAGGATCCTTGCAAACTCTTAGTCTCAAATTCAGTTTCAAATAAAAAGTGGAACCGAGATATTTGGGTGGAAGATAGAGATTGATTATTTCTTCATTCAACAGGTAACAGGAGAGGAGTTGGTTCTGCTGAACTGAATGAATGAGGCTTGGCCAGGGATGCAGTTTTCAGCCCAAGAAGCTCAGCTTTTGTTAAGGTGACCTGAAGGGCATGCATATTGGCTGAGGGTAGAGGCTTTGGGCAGACTGTGGTTCAGGGACAGGTCCAGTGGAAGCTGTCTGTGAAGCTGAGTTTCTCCTCTCTGCCACGGTCACGTGCTCACATACGGCTCGACCAGCACAGCCGGAGGCCTGCAGTAAAGCCGTTCTCCGCGGGTTACGTTATCACCTAGGATTCAACAGAAGATGGAGACCTGGGCTTTGCTGCTGTCAACATTATGGCCACACGAGGGCGTAAAAGGTCCCGGGTTTTGCCCACATAGGCCTGTGTCTGAGTCAGGTCCACACACCAGGATTCAGGGATCTCCTACTCTGCCTACCTACAGTACACCAGTCACAGCCCCTCTGATGCACGAGAAATGCAGAGGAAATGCAAAGGCAAAGAAAGGCAAGAAGTCCTTGGTCCCGAAGGCCCTCTCCTCTAGCCCTGCTCTGTGGGCACAGAGGCCTGTGGGGCTGAGGAAGTGGGTTCACCTTCCCTGTCACCTGCTAAGTGGGCTCCTGGTGGAAGGCATCCGTGGAGATCAGAGGCTTTCCTGGGAGCTTATAGGGAAGGGCCTTGCCGACTGTTCGCAAGCAGGATTTTTAAAGATGCAGGGTATCAGGAACTAAGGAGGAAAGATTAGGAAATCGGTAATAAAATGCAATTCCCTACCTGGAAATGGAGGAGCCGAAGGGGAACCGGGCATGATACATAAAGACTTGCCAGTCCATTGGCCTGGAGTTTGTCTTAATATCAGAGAGCTGTACCCTGGAAAAGTGACTCTACTTAAGTTGCATGTTATCACTGTATTTATTTCTTTTTTATTAAGGACAGAGTAAAATTATTTTTTCAAAAAGCCCTTTATTTAGCTTTGCTTTTCTTTTTTGTTATTGAAGATGCAGTTGAAAGAAGGAAGTCTAACTCTCTCAGGAATTGGCGTGGTGCATCCCCAGAGGGAGAGTGAGTGAACCCAGACCACGCTCAACCTGGCAGTCAGGGACTGTCTTCACAATATTTGAAAAGTTTTGCATTTTTTCTCCTAAATGCCTACTTCTAATTTAATTCATCAGTACTGAATTTTCAAATCTTGACTCTTCCTCTTATTTTCTTCCCACATGTCCATGAAAACCTCGTTATGTTCCCTCTCCTCTGATTTCTCACTGTTTTCTTGTATCCTGGGGCCATTATTATACCCGAGATAATAGCATGTTGGGTTTTTTATTTTTTCAAAAAAATCTCTGTGATGGGTAGGGGGGGCTCTGTCTTCTTTTTGCAGGTTTCTCTCTTCTTGCCTCTTATCCTTTGTAGATGGAGATACTACAATATAGGTTAATGTGATTTCAGAATGAAATATTCTGCCAATTTAGGGTTGTTACTAGATGGTGGTGGGTTTGGGGGTGGACAAAGTTAGAAAGATGTTGTATGCAGTCCTCTTCTCCCATTCTCTCATGATGCATTGGTTCATTCATTCATTCTTTCTTTCTTTCTTTCATTTTTCTCGTGTCTAGCTGAGGGCAAGGTATTGTACTATGTGCTAAGTGGTGAGGTGCTGGGCCTTTGGACACCCTTTTCCTTTTTTCTCAATCCCTCATTCTAAAGAAAACTCCAGGAAGAAAGTCCAATTGAGGGATATCGTCTGGCACAAGATTCTAAATGTTCACCTTAGAATACCTCCCGTAAAACACAGCATTTGTTCCATACTTTTCGTCTGTTCTCCATTTGAGTGTATCACAGCAGGTAAAGTCCTCTCCAACGTTCTTATTCATAGATATTTCTCATTTGGTATTGACTTTCTGAATCTCGGCCCTGCAAAATTATCTTCTAAACCATGTCTTTCATACAATGGCCTTCTTTTTAAACTTTTTTGTATTTTTTAATTGATATATCATAGCTTTACATATTTTGGGGGTCCATGTGATATTTTGATCCATGTATACAACACGCAGTGATCAAATCAGGGTAATTGGGGTATCCATCACCTCCAACATTTGTTTTGTGTGTTTCTTTCAAACTCGACTTCTGTAAAAGCTCAAAATATTTGTCTTCCTTTTTAAATGGCCACATTTTAATTTCTTCCTTTTCCAAAAGCATACTGCTACATGACTTCCTTAATGAAGGTCCTTTCTTGGTTCTAATTTTGTTCCCTCCTCTACCTTGCAATGCCACTTTAATCAGCAAACTCTTCATCAGTTCTCCATTGCATCTTCATTTGTCACCATCAACAGCAAATCAGTTTGATCAGTGAAATCTCCCATGTGCTGCCACCTCCCTTCCCATAGCCCCGTGCCAACATCTGTGCTCTTCTTAGGTCTCCCCAGGGGTGATTGAACTCTGCATTGACCTTATCCAGCATCCTCACTCACTGACATTCTAGGGCAGCTGGCTTCCCAGACTTCTCTTTGGATGTGTCATGATCTTTCCCTGTTCCAACGGAGTACTCTGAAGAAGCACACACATGTGTGTACATATGTGGGCACAAACTCATATGCACATGTATCTGACATATCCCTTGGTTTCTGTGATGTCTAAGGCTTGGTTGGATTAGTCTTTTCATCTAGTCTAATTATTAAGGGTACATGTTTCCTTTTCAATTTGTTTTTAGACCAAGATAATAACCACATTTAAAAAATTATGACATGACCCCTAGAGCACTTCATATCTATTTTTCTCTTGGCCAGTTGCTAATGCTATGAGAGCTTACAGAGATTCCTATGTGCTAGGATCCACTGTGCTTAAATCCCAACACAATGCTGGGACTGTGTTAGAAACCTAACATCTTTCTTTCCTTTTTTTTTTAAATGATGAAGTCTGGGATCTTATTGTATTCATCACCAGAATAATGTACATTATAGCCATTAAGTAATTTCTGATTACCTACCCCTCTCACACCCACCCACCCTTCTGAGTCTCCAATGTCTATCATTCCATACTCTATGCCCATGTGTACACATTATTTAGCTCCCACTTGTAAGTGAGAAAATGAGGTATTTGGCTTTCTGCTTCTGAATTATTTCACTTAAGACAATGTCCTCCGGTTCCAGCCATGTTGCTGCAAAAACATCATTTCATTTTTTTCTTATGGCTGAGTAGTATTCCATGGTAAATATATTCTATTTTTTAACGTTTATTTTAAGTTTAGGGGTACATGTGCAGGATGTGCAAGCTTATTACATAAGTAAACTTGTATCATGGGGGTTTGTTGTACAGATTATTTCATCACTCAGGTACTAAGCCCACTACCCATTAGTTGTTTTTACTGATCCTCTCCCTCTTTCCACCCTCCACCCTCCAACTGGCCCCACTGTGTGTTGTTCCCCTCTAAGTGTACATGTGTCTCATCATTTAACTCCCACTTATGAGTGAGAACATGCTGTATTTGGTTTTCTGTTCCTGTGTTAGTTTGCTAAGGATAATGGCTTCCAGCTCTGTCCATATCCATGCAAAGGACAGCATCTTGTTCTTTTTTATGGCTGCATAGTATTCCATGGTGTATATGTACCACATTTTGTTTATCCATTCTATCATTGATGAACATTTATGTTGGTGCCATCTTTTTGCTATTGTGAATAGTGCTGCAGTAAACATACACATGCATGCATCTTTGTAATAGAATTATTTATACTCCTTCGGGTACATACCCAGTAATGAGTTTGGGGGATCTAATGGTATTTTAGGTCTTTGGTGAATTGCCACACTGTCTTTCACAATGTCTGAGCTAATTTATACTTCCACCAGCAGGGTATGAGTGTTCCTTTTTCTCAATAACCATGCCAAGATCTGTTATTTTTTTGACTTTTTAATAGTAGCCATTCTGACTGGTGTGAAATGGTATCTCATTGTGGTTTTGATTTGCATTTCTCTAATGCAAAGCTGGAGGCATCATGCTGCCCAACATCATGCTACTGGTATAAGAACAGACACATAGAGCAATGGAACAGAATAGAGAAGTCAGAAATAAGACCACACACCTACAATTATCTAATCTTTGACAAACATGACAAAAACAGGCAATGGAGAAAAGTTTCCCTATTCAATAAATGTTGCTGGGATAACCAGCACTGGGATAACTGTCTAGCCATATGCAGAACATTGAAAGTGGACCCCTTCCTTATGCCATATACAAAATTTAACTCAATATGGATTAAAGACTTAAATGTAAAACCCCAAACTGTAAAACCCCTAGAAGACAACCTAGGCAATATCATTCCGGATATAGGCACAGGCAAAGATTTCATGACAAAAATGTCAAAAGCAATTGCAACAAATCAAAAATAGACAAATGGGATCTAATTAAACTAAAGTGCTTCTGCAGAGCAAAAGAAACTATCAACAGAGTAACTAGGCAACCTACAGAATAGGAGAAAAATTTTGCAAGCTATGCATTGGACAAAGGTCTAATAGCCAGCGTCTATAAGGAACTTAAGCAAATTTACAAGAAAACAATAACCCCGTTAAAAAGTAGGCAAAAGACATGAACAGACACCTCTCAAAGGAAGACATAGATGTGGCCAACAATCATAGGAAAAAAAGCTCAACATCACTGATCGTTAGAGAAATGCAAATCAAAACCGCAATGAAATACCATCTCACACTAGTCAGAATGACTGCTATTAAAAAGTAAAAAAATCACAGATTCTGTCAAGGTTGTGGTGAAAAAGGAACACTTAGAAATTGTTGATGGGAGTGTAAATTAGTTCAGCCATTGTGGAAGGCAGCGTGGCAATTCCTCAAAGACCTAAAGACAGAAATACCATTTGACCCAGCAATACCATTACTGAGTATGTACCCAAAGGAGTATAAATCATTCTATTAAAAAGATGCATGCATATGTACATTCACTGCAGCACTATTCACAACAGCAAAGACAAGGAACCAGCATAAATGTTCATCAGTGATAGAGTGGATAAATGAAACTTGGTACATATACACCATGGAATACTATGCAGCCATAAAAAAGAAAAAGATCATGTCCTTTGCAGGGATGTGGATAGAGCTAGAGGCCATTATCCTTAGCAAACTAATGCAGGAACAGAAAACCAAATATGGCATGTTCTCACTTATAAGTGGGAGCTAAATGATGAGACACATGTACACATAAAGGGGAACAACACAGTGGGGCCAAATGGCGGGTGGAGGGTGGAAGGAGGGAGAGGATGAGTAAAAACAACTAATGGGTACGGAGCTTAATACCTGGGTGATGAAATAATCTGTACAGCAAACCCCCATGACACGCATTTCCCTATGTAACAAAACTGCACATCCTGCACGTGTACCCCTGAACTTAAAACACAAGTTTAAAAAAGTGTTTGGAAGAAAAAATATTCTTTAGATATCTTCTATCCTTGTTATTGAATAATACACCAGGTACATTACTAAAGTATACAGTATGTGTTCAATAAGCTTCCAGTATATAGTATATCTATTTGTTTATAGAAACTCAATATATGTGCTTTTTAATCACTAAAAATGGGAAATTTTGTTTATCCTTGTGTGGACTCAATTTTCTTCCAATTAATTACATTTCAATTTTATACATAAATTGTAAGGCTAAATATTTTTTACTTTAACAGTGAACTCCTAGTGTGAGGCAATTTGGTCAAGGAGCAATCAGTGTCTTTAGAAAGCAAATTACTGAGCACTATCTGCAGGCATTCATGCTTCAAGTTCACATTCATTTTTTAACATCATCCTCAGTCCTCTTAGGATTTATGACACCTTGTATGTATCAACAAATAAAGTGGCTCCTGAATGCTTTAATATGTGGCATTCGTCCATCTCAAGAGATAATTCCATCAGAATGGAGGATAAGTGGTAGAATTCCTAGCTTTAGGACTCTGAATTTGTGTTATAGGTTTCTTTTTCTTTTTCTCTTCTTTTCTTTTCTTTCTTTTTCTTTTTCCTTTTTTTCTTTTCTTTGGAACAGTGTCTCTTTCTGTTGTCCAGGCTGGAGTGTAGTTCCAGGTTCACTGCAGCCTCAAACTCCTGGCTCAAATGATCCTCCCACCTCAGCCTCCCAAGTAGCTGGGACCACAGGTACTCACCGTCACACACAGTCAATATTTTAATCTTTTATAGAGACAGGGTCTTCCTATGTTGCCCAGGCTGGTCTTGAACTCCTGAGCTCAAGCAATCCTTCCGCCTCTGCCTCTCAAAGTGCTGGCATTACAGGCATAAGCCACTGTGCCTGGCCTCTGTTTGCCGTAAGTTTTCTATAGAACCTTAGATAAATCATGTAACAACCTCTTTGGCCACAGATTCTGCCCCTATAAATTTTAAATAATAATGATTATCATCATATATGTCTCTTATTGATTTCACTAAGAATCAAACTAGATAAAAGATGCAAAAATGCTTTGAAAAACCTATCCATTGAACAGATAAATAATAGTGTTTTATTTCTGCTTTGGTTGGAAATGATTATGCCTTTGAAAAGTAATTGCTAGATGTTAAAAGTCATGTCATATTTAACTGTTAAACTGTATGCATTGTTGTCAAACATCAAAAGCAAACCATCCAGATGTTTGGTCTACCAACATACCAACCCTCTGGAGGTTTCTAAAAATAGCATTTAACTTTTTATCAAAGAAATGACTATTTTTCCCTAAATAATTCTATGATCCATGCTAAATTCAGTAGAAAACATTTCACTTAAATTAGTTATTTGGTGATATGTTAATTATGCACAACCTTTAAAGATTGCCCACATGTCTAAGCCAGTTTTCTTAAAAAAGTGGATCTTTTCATGACACACGAGGAATCATTTCAAAATTGAAATTTATTGAGTAGGACATTTGGGGTTAGGCAAGCGCTTGGATCTTCAACACTCAAAGCACTTGGGGTCAGGTGTCATTTCTGCTTCAAAATATACACCAGATTTCAGTGGTTGGATGCTATTAGGTAGAATTAGAAAGGATCCACCCTATTTCCTCCCTTCCCATATCTGTATAGCATCTCAAGCAATCAGGCAGAGTATTCTCTTAAGGCAGAAAATAATCAGAATCCTGACTCCTTTCTTTTGAGACTTATGTCTATAAATCCATGTTCAATCGACTGGAGTAAGCCTAACCAAAGGAATTTCAAAAAAAGAAAAAGAAAAAGAAAAGAAACCAGGGATTTTTTTAAGGAAAAACACTGGAAGAAAGACAGAAGGGCCACACTGTGCAGCTATACTTGCTCATTGGCTAGGAAGTCAGTGGAGAAGGGGTGGTGATCATATTTTTAGGCTAATAGAATCCATCCTACTGCATTCCCTGACCACTCTGATGACATTCATTTGCCTACCTTAGAGCAGGTAGCTACATATGGAACTTTAAAAGTTTATGTTTAAGGTTCTGTAATCAGTGGTATGCTGGTAAATTTTTAAAAGCTGACTCCCTGGTAGTCCTACTTTTAATTCTTTAAGGAATCTCCATGCTGTTTTTCATACTAGTTATACTAGTTTATATTCCCACCAGCAGTATAAAAGTGTTCCCTTTTTGGAACCAACCCAAATGCCCATCAACCAATGAGTAGATAAAGAAAATGTGGTATGTATAAATCTTGGAATACTACTCAGCCATAAAAAGGAATAATGTCTTTTACAGCAGCTTGGATGTAGCTGGAGGCCATTCTTCTCAGTGAAGTAACCCAGAAATGGAAAACCAAATATTGTATGTTCTCACTTATAAATGGGAGCTAAGCTATAAGGATGCAAATGCACAAGAATGATATAATAGACTTTGGGGGCTTGGGGGGAATTGTTGGAAGGAGGGTGAGGGATAAAGGACTATATATGAGTACACTGCACACTGCTCAGGTGATGGGTGTACCAGAATCTCAGAAATCATCACTAGATTACTTATCCAGGTAATCAAAAACTACCTGTACGCCCAAAACTATTGAAATAAAAATAAAAATTAATAATTAATAATTATTGATGAGAAAAAAGCTATCTCTTGGGGAAAAAAAGGATGTGTACATATAAGTACCTATGTTTATTCTAAATTTCGGTGATATAATGTGTAGCATGCAGTTTTTGAATAATAATTAAAAATACAATATTACTATAATTCCAAACAGGCAATTGATTTTAACAGAATGCTTCCGTTGGTTTCTGTTGAACTATTAAGCCTTAGCCAAACTATGCTGGCAAGCAATGAACGAGTATAGTTCCAACATTTTGGTTGATATTTTTGCTTACATCAATGAGTAAAATTGAAAGAATAAAGACATATATTAGAATTTCACTCATTCATTAAAAGTGTGAGTGACTATTGAGTTGGATGATAGTTTTCAAATAATGAAAAAATATCCTTTCAAAATTTTATGCTTTCACATTTTAATTGCTATAAACAAGACTTACTTTTAAGTTAAAACTCCATCACTTTCTTAAGTATAGACAATAAATAAAACAATAAATCAAACCTCGATTTGTAGCATTTGGCTATTCTGTGCTAAAGTCCTCCTGTCATATACCACTGCAACGTGATGTCACTGGCCAGACAGTAGGGAAGAGGTCTCAGTAGCACATGCTTATATAGTATTTACATCACATAACTATGTTAGAGTTAAATAACTATAGAGCATAGATGAGTCAAATGTAGTAGAATAGGGAGTGATATGTTTTGAGTATTTCCTTTGCTTTTGCTAGAATTTAATTATGAATTTATACACGTTGGGTTTCGGTAGTGGCCGTGTTTAGCAACCAGCTCACAATATTTCTTAAAGTTTAACAGTTGACATTCACAAGCCTGTACTAGAAGTCTCCAGCATGCCACTGATTTTAATCCCTGCAGCTCAGTGAGTTTTGCTATAAGAAGCCCCTACCTGAGCACAAGGTCAGGGGTTGGGGGTGGGGTGGAAAGGATGTCCTAAGAAGCCCTTTTTCCTTCGAAGAATTGGCTGGAAGTTCGTATCAAACCCGTGGGCAGTGGAGATCTTGGCAAGGCATATCCTGGGGCTGCAGCCGGGCTGATATGCACACCTGGCATACAGCTTCACAGGAAACACTGGCAGTGCCAGCCCATCGATGACATCAAGGCCATGAAGGGGGAGATGGCCAACACTGTCATGCAGGGCATCCCAGGAGGCCCTTGGTTTCAAAGCCCAATCTTTAAAAACATGTCTAAGTTTCTAGTCTCCCAGCATAGGCATCTGTGGAAATTTAGGTAACTTTCATTAATTGTTAAAAATTATTTCAAGAAAGAAGCCTCAGGAAGAAGCCTAGTCTTCCTGTGTGACTGGCCTCACATCATGCCATTTTGGGCATGAAAAGATGATACAACCTCCTCTTCTCATGTTCATATAGCATTGCTTGGCTATCTGTGACAATATTATCAAATTACCAGAGCGATGATTTTCCAATGATGTGAGCTTCAGCACCTAACACAAACCTACAAAAGAAGCTTGAAAATACTCAGTTTTGAAAATGACCACACAGAAAAGCCTCAAAAGTTGTGTTTTTATTGACATTATGGTTCAATAAATCATTAAGCCTTCTTTGCTGGCTCAATTAAAATGTAAGCAATGTAGACTTCTCAAAATAAACTTCATATATGATGATGAAGGAGATGTGTGTATAGGATATACATGATAAAATGAAAAATATTTACATTGAATCATTCTTGACATGATGTAGAAAAATACTGCACTTTCAAGAGCAAGGCGAAGTGAACACAGAGGAATAACATAAAACCTGAATTCTATTCTTCTTTCTATTGCCAAAGCCTTCACCCATCAAGTGGTATTATTTTTTTTATAGGCCATACTAGTAAGATGAAAGAAGCATTAAAGCATAGTACTTGTAATTTAACAATTCTGGAGTGTTAACTCTGAATAGTTTAGCCGTGCATTTTAAGGTGATTTGATGGAAGACTGCTTTCTTTTGTTCTCCAAAGGGC